>NC_000002.12:240215839-240543788 GCF_000001405.40 Homo sapiens
GGGCAGCCCCGGGGAGGCCTCAGGCTGGCCCCAGGCACCCACCAGAGGCCCTCAAGACTGCCCTGAGTGAGGGGTGCACGGTGAGCTGGTCTGACCTCGGCTCCTCTGGGGAGGGAACCACACAGCAAGACCCTGTGCTCATGAAGAACAATCGTGCAGAACAGAAAGGAAGCTTCACATCACCAGAGAGGGCCAGAGCTGTATCCTGGGCCCGCCACTGACCAGGTGAGTCTCAGAGCTATCAGCTCCTCCTCAGGGGTCTGCCTCCTGACCTGAGAGGGCTGGGGGCTGGAGTGGGCATCCCTAAGGCAGGTCCTCTTGGGGTCTTGGCTGGGATCGGTTGAGCACAGCTCAGCCAGGTGGCATCAGATTCCCGTCTTCCTCTTGTAGCCCTGCCAGCCGGATCCCCACGCCTGTGGGGGGTCAGTCTACTCCAGACCAGAGACACGACCCAAGAAAAAGGGTACATAGGAAGCAGACGGCACTTTCCTCTGAAATGCGCCAACAGATTTACTAGGCAGGACAGCCTCAGCAGACACCCACGCTCACCTGCTGGGCTGCACTGCAACTGCCAGCCTCAGAGAGCTGCATGGTCCCTGTGCACCCCCACTTCACAGAGATGAGCAACCTCTCCACAGTCAGACACTGCCCTGCAGGGAGGCAGAAGTGGAGGTGCACAGAACAAGGGGGTCTTGAGGGGAGGGGAACAGTGCAGGAACCTGGGGAGCAGGGGGAGGTGGGAGAGCCAGGAAGTGGGACAGCTGGGCGTGGAGGTGGATGCAGGGTGAGGGGTGGGTGGGGTGGGGTGGAAGGATGGGGGTGGGGGTGGATGCAGGGTGAGGGGTGGGGGTGGGGTGGGGTGGAGAGAAAGGGGGTGGGGGTGGATGCAGGGTGGGGGTGGGGTGGGGTGGGGTGGAAGGATGGGGGTGGGGGTGGATGCAGGGTGAGGGGTGGGTGGGGTGGGGTGGAAGGATGGGGGTGGGGGTGGATGCAGGGTGAGGGGTGGGTGGGGTTGAGTGGAAGGATGGGGGTGGGGGTGGATGCAGGGTGAGGGGTGGGTGGGGTGGGGTGGAAGGATGGGGGTGGGGGTGGATGCAGGGTGAGGGGTGGGTGGGGTGGGGTGGAGGGACAGGGGTGGGGGTGGATGCAGGGTGAGGGGTGGGTGGGGTGGGGTGGAAGGATGGGGGTGGGGTGGATGCAGGGTGAGGGGTGGGTGGGGTGGGGTGGAGGGACGGGGTGTGGGTGGATGCAGGGTGAGGGGTGGGGGGGTGGAGGGACAGAGCATGGGGGTGCTGGGGCCCCTGGGTGAGGTGGCGCCTCCTGGCTGTGGAGTTCATGCTCCTAAGGGGAAGATGGAGGTTAGAGGCCTGGGGTTTTGAGGCTGTCTCTGCCAACAGAAACTCAGGCAAGCAGAGGTCAGGGTCAGGGCTAGGGCTTAGCTTTAAGGTTGGGATTTGAAGGAGGTCAGGAAAGAAAATGGGTGGGAGGGTGCAATGTTGTGCCATGGTATTTGGGTCACCAGGGGCTCTGAGCAAAGGCAGCCTCCATCTCCAAGGAGCACCAAGGACAGGACTCCAGGTGGGGCTGAACCCTTAGGAGACTGCAGTCAGACAGCAACTCTACTCACGCTCCACCCACCGTCCACCTCCACCGGCTCCACCCACCTCTACCAGCTCTGCCCATCTCCACCAGCTCAACCCACCCCTTTAGCTCCTCCTACCCCCACCAGCTCCGCCCACTCTTTCAGCTCCACCCACCTTCACCAGCTCCACCCACGCCCTCAGTCCCACTCACCTCCACCAACTCCACCCACCCCTTCAGCCCTGACCACCTCCACCAACTCCACCCACCCCTCAGCTCAGCTCACTTCCACCAGCTCAGCCCACCCCTTCAGCTCCACCCATCTCCACCATCTCCACCCACCATCAGCTGTACCCACTCTGCCTCCCCCACTTACCACTTTGGCTCCACCCACTTCTGCCAGCTCCACCCACCACCCACCTCTGCTCTGCAAACAGGTAGCATG
Source organism: Homo sapiens (assembly GCF_000001405.40). Lineage (NCBI taxonomy): Eukaryota > Metazoa > Chordata > Mammalia > Primates > Hominidae > Homo > Homo sapiens. The sequence continues at coordinate 240,217,866 of NC_000002.12, forward strand.
CACCGCCTTTCCGCACCTGCTGTAGTCCAACCACACGGGCACTGGGCGGTGGCCTTGATCTCAGTCCCCGTTGCTCACGGGGTCTCAGATCCCACCTGTGAGGGGCTGTGCTGACCCGAGGCCCCTTCCAGGACCCGCGGGGTTCACAATTCAAGTGACTCAGGCCCTAGAAGGCTTGTACCATACAAGTGCAGGTTGACGCCCCATAGCAGGGCTCACAGCTTTGCGCTGTTCTAGATCCAGAATGGCAGCAGAGCTCATCCTACAGTAGGGGCTGCCGTGTGCTGGGGCATGTGCCTCGATGGATTAGTGATGTCCAGCACAGGCATGGGATGGGGACAGGTGGTGTGACTGGAGGGATCCCTCACCAGAGCTGGAAGCTCTTCTGAGACACCCTCCGCCATCCTCGCAGTTCTCTGCCCAGTGGGGTACTCAGGTGCACCTGTCAGGTGGCTTTTCCCAAAGCTCAGGCTGATCAGGATCTGTAAGCCCCACACTGCCAGGTGGTGACTTGCACAGGTTCTGTGTCTTTTCACTTGAGGAGGACACCAGGAGGGGGGCAAAATCTCAGGGGCTGTCCTCCACCCTCCAGCATAGCATGGATTTCCGGACCCCTCTCAGCACTCACCTCTACCCTGTTCTTTTGAAAAGAATAACTTGAAACAGGTTTATGCTCCATATCCTCTTCCTTCAGGTGATGTTGACTCCTGAGTTCTGTGAGTCACACATCAAAACCAGGCAGTGAAGATCACTGTTTCCTCCACTAAAATAAAACTTGATTGTTAGGAAGAGGCGCAGCTTCCCCTAGAGATCCCCAACCCGGTTGGGGTGTTTCCGCCAGCTCTTCCTTCATGGTTTACCTTTGAGTAAGGTGATGGAAACCTGCCTGCTCCAAGCTGCAAAATCAGTTCCGTAGACAGATAAACCCCGCAGAGGAAACACCCTTGGCCCCCGTGGTAGAAGACATGGATACATTCCTGCCTAGACAGAACATAAAAAATTAGATGCAGACATTTTCCCTGATTATTTTTGAATACTAGAAAAGCAAAACAATATTGAAATGCAGACTGCAACCTCCAAGGAAGGTGGATTTCAGCTTCTGGTGAGTCTATGCATAAAACCATACTCTCTAGCTCAGAATCCTGGTGGGGCAGCCCAAGGGTGGTTCGGAACCACAAGGGCCTGGCTCAAAGGTCCTTCTGCGTCACTCACTAAAGCACAAAACTTCAGGTGAGTGTCTTACCTTCTTTGAGGCTGTTTTTTCCTCAATCAAAAGGGGAAGGCTCATTTATTCCTTCATTCATTCAACAACAAATTGAACTTTCAGTGAGGGTGCAGTTAAGCCCCACTGGGCAGAAATACACAGAGCTCAGTCTTAAATGAGAACGTGTGCGACGCTCTTGGATCCTGCCTGGGCCACAGTGAGTGCCAGAATTCAGTATCTGATGTGGACCCGTTTCCTGGTTCATGGATGCTGTCTTCTCGCATCTCACATGGCAGAAGGGGTAAGGGGTCTGTCTTTACCTCTGTTGTAGGTCACTCAACGCCCGACGAGGGCTCCACATTCATGACCCAATCTGGGCCAATCATGACCCACTCTGACCTTTCCAAAAGGTTCCACCTCCCAAAACCATCACCCTGGGGGCTGGAATCTCAACATGGGAATTAAGGGGAACACATTCATACTGTAGCACCCTCATTCTGGATATTCCAGAGTTTGTTTAAGCAAATCCTTTTTTTATTGGACCTCCTTCTCATGTGTGCCCCACATTCAGCCCGGACTCCAATTTCCATGGAATCTGGCCTCCACAGGTGCTCTGCTCTGTCCCGTCTCCATTCCTGCCAACACCCCAGGTCGTCGCCGTCATCTCTTGCCTGATCTCTCCAGTGGCCTCCTCCCTGAACTCCTCGCTCCCATCCTCCCTGAACTCCTCGCTCCCATCCTCCCTCATCCGAGGAGCAGGCAGAGGTTACAGCAGCTGGTTGGTCTGTTTCCATCTTCAGCAAAGTAGACATGTATGTAGTTTAAAGAAGAAAACAGTTCTACAAGTCTTGTGAAAATGACAGTTCCTACCTCCCTTCCCCTAAATTCCATTGTGTTAGCAGGGCCCTTTTGCCATTTAACTCCTTATTTACCCTGCATACGTTGCTACTTCTTACTGACTGGTTTTAGGCATTCTCTCTAGATGTCCACTATGAAAGGTGAAGGACGCAGCTCTTCTGCACATGCCCCTCACATACACAGGTATGCTGTCACTCTCTCTTTCTCTCTCTCTCTCTCTCACACACACACACACACTCATGCACACACGCACACACGCACACTGCTCTCCTTCCATTCTCTCAATTTGGTCATTACTTGACTAGATCAGCACTTTGTTTCTTCGTTGTAAGACATGTAAATATTATTTCTAGTTGAGCCGTAGCATGTACGATGCTGTTTTCCTCTCTTGCACAACATTTTTGTTTGTGTTTTTCCTGGAGTTTGTGTGTGTTAGATTTTCTTTGTATATGTCACGAATTCAACCTCAAACTCTCCACCAGTTGTCTAAATTTTCATGCAAACCTCTCAGATATTGTATTAATTTCACCTTCTTGAAGGAATCTCCCTTGAGCCTTCTGGCCGCCCTCAGGGCAGGTCTTTTCCTGGCAATTCCCTTCCCTGTCTCCTGGAGATTCCCTTCACCCACTCCTGTCTAATTCTGCTGCTTCTCACTTCCTGACTCACTGTTGCTTTGCAGGAGCACCTCCTCCTACATTCACTGAGAGCTGGTATTTGAGAAGCATGTTTTTTTGAAAGAAGTTGCTTATCTGCAAATGTCTCGTTTTTTTTTTTTCAAGTTTGTTAAGAAAACTTTCAAATATTCAGTGAACACCCACTGAGATTCTACCAGAAACATTTTACTATATTTGCTTTCTCACGTATCTATCCACCTATCCAGCCCTCTAATTGTCCATTAACCCAGTTTATTAATTACAGACGTCAGCACACTTCCCCAAATGAAACACCTTAGCACACACAGCATTAACAAGATTTCAATATTAATAGTTTTCAGTGTAGTAAACTTACACATATTTTGTTAACTTTAATCTGAAGTCTTTTATATGTTTGATCCTACTGTAAATGGATTTTTAAATTTTCATTTTCCAATTGTTTGCTGCTAGTTTATTTAAAAAACTATTTTTGCCCAATGACTTTATATCCTTTGAGTCTGCTAAATTCACTGTGTAGCTTGATTGATTGTTTTGTATATTTCTTAAGATTTTCTATATAAGCAATCATGTTGTTTGTGAACAAAGGCAACTTTATTTCCTTTTGGAGCTTAATGACTTTTATTTTTCTTTCTTAACTTACTGCAATGGCTAGGACCCTTGTTACAATGTTGGATTGAAGTGACGAGAAAAGTCATCTTGTTTTGTTCCCAATCTTAGTGGGAAAGTATTTAATTGTTCACTCACTATTAAGTAGCTAATTATTCACTCCCTAGTAAGTATGGCTTTTTTGTAATTTTTTTAAATCAGATTGATGTTCCTTTCTCTTCCTAGTTTGTTCAGGGTTTTTATCATTAATATGGGTTGAATTTTGTCAAATGCTTTTTTAGCATCTATTGAAAAGATCATTTGTTTTTTCTGCTTTATTTTGCAGTATTGTATTGCTTGATTTCTACATGTTAAGCCATTTCAATTACATTATATTTTCATGTATATATGTGAAACATATTTATAATATATACATATATATTTTTTGGGGTTAGATTTGCTAATATTTTACAGAGTATTTTTTAATGTACATGTGTAGATGTATTTATATGTAGATACATATACATATTTGTTTATATAAATTATTTATAAATATAGATAATATAAATATATAATATATCTAGATTAAATTTACTAATACTTTGTAGAATATTTAAAAAATTTTTCATGAGAAATATTGGTCTAAAATTGTCTCTTTTTTGTGACATCTTTGCCAGGTTATGGCACTAGGATTATGCTGGCCTTGTTAGGGTTAGGGTTAGGGTTAGGGTTAGGGTTAGTTCAGAAGCTTCCTTCCTCCTGTATTTTCAAAGAATTTGTGTCAACCTGGTGCTATCTTATCTCTAAACTTATTTTTAATTTACTGATGAAAGCATATAGTCCTGAAGATGTTTTCATAGAAAGGTTCTTAAAAATAAATATATTTATTAAGTATATAGCCATTCATATTTTCTGTTTTATCATGCATTAGCTTTGGTAAGTCATATTTCAAGAAATCTATTTTATCTAAGTCAAGTTTATAGGCATAAAGGTATTCATACAAATCTCTAGATAGTCTTTTAATGTCTATAGCATCTGTAGTGCTGCTTCCTCATTCCTCAAATCGGCAATTTATATTCTTTTTTGCTTGCTTGATTACTTGATTTTTTTTATTAGTCTAGCTGGGAAGTTTATCAATTTTGTTCATCTAGTCAAGGAATCAATCTTGGGCTTTGTTACTTTTCTGTAATGTGTACATCATATTTTATCGATTTCTGCTCTTGTCTTTGTTATTTCCTTCTACTTATTCTCAGTTAATTTACTTCCTTTCTTGTTTCTTTCCTTCCTTTCTTCCTTCTTTCCTTCCTCTCTTCCTTTCTTTTCTTTCCTTCCTTTTTCCTTTCTTTCTTCTTTTTCCCTTTCTCCTTTCTCCTTTCCTTTCCTTTCCTTGACAGGGTCACCCAGGCTGGAGTGCAGTAGCAGCCTCAAACTCCTAGGCTGAAGCAATCCTCCTGCCTTTGCTTCCCAAACTGCTGAGATTACAGGTGTGAACTACCTTACCCGGCCTCTATTTTCTTAAGGGGAAAGCTGAGGCCATTATTTGATACCTTTTTTTCTTTTCTAATACAGGCATCTGGGCTATATACATTCTGTCTTCTTATCATTCAGCTCAGAATACTTTTTAATTTTCCTTCTGAGTTTTTCTTTGACCCATGGATTATTAAGAAGTGTATTATTTAGTTTCCAAACCTTTGGAGATTTTCTATCAGAGTTGTGTCCACCCTGCATAGTGCTGTCTTTGGCCTGCCCTCAGCATAAATGCTAGAAAAACAAGCAAAAACAAAACTTCCCCTTCTCTAGGCTCTGCTTGCTCATTTGTTTATTTATGTATTTAACTTTCCAGTGCCTTCAAATTTTGGGGATTTTTTCTTTTGCCTTATTTCCAGAGTTTGTTAGTGTTTTCTTTTTTCCCTTTATTAGCAGGAAGATTGAGTCCAGCAGCAGCATCTTCAGCCATGCCAGACTCAGGAGGCTACAACGCCAATGGCTTGGCTAAATATATCTTTCTAGCTTGCAGATAGTTTTCCCTCGGCCTTGTGAAGGCATGGCTCCTTTGATAACTTCTAAGGTTGCCATTGAGACACGTGAAATCATCCTAATTCCCAGTTGTTTGTTTGTGATCTGAAGCTTCTAGGTGCCTTGCTTTGCCCGCCATTGTGAAACCTCAGCTCATAAGCCTTGACGTGAATATATTTTCACCGACTGTGCTGGATACTTTGGGAACTTTTCATCTGGAAACCGCTACCTTTCCACTCTGGGGACTTTCTGGAGTTACTTCTTTTGTTTCCTCACCCCTACTTTCCCAGGGGTACAGTACCCAGCCCCTCTCCTGCTGTAAGAATGTCACCATGCTCTCTCCTCCATGTTCTTTGTAGTTGTGAGTTTATGCCATCTGAAAAATCTCTTTACTGTCATTTCACGGGGTTTCAGAAGGGAGAAGAAGGAAGAAAGTAAATGTATGTGCTAAATCTGTCATTTCTACCCAGATGACTCCATTCTTAGGGTAATTTTTCTCCAAGGCACATCTCCTGTCTCTCCGACCTGGTCAGAGCAACTTCCCACCTCGGCACCCTCCTTCCTTGGTGATGTGGCCTCCGCCAGCCCCTCTGGTGCGAAATCACATGAACCTGCATAGACGCTGGCTTGGCCACACCATGCCTCTGAGTTTTGGTGTCTCTGCCCCTGTGCCTGGAACACTCACTCCTCTGTCTGGTTAGTTCCTTCTGGTCTGTAAAACTCAACTTGAGTAGCACCTCCATGAAGACTTCCAGGACCCCCCACCGGATTTTTAAGCCCCTCTGTGTGGTCCCAAAGCACCCTGGGCAGTTTCCCATCAGAGCTTTGGCCACGTTGCCCTGCAGTCTCTCATCTCTCTGTCTGCCCTGTAGACATAGCTTGGCACACAGCAGGTGCTCAGTAAATGAATGAATAAATAAATCTGGAAAATGGGAGGTCAAAAACAACATGTCTTATTGTATGCGAGACATTCTGTGATGAGCATTGTGGTATGAAGGATACACTTTTATGGGAAACCATCTTGGGGAATCATGTGAAAGCACCTATATATCCTGGTCCAGCTCAAGGCTCGAGGTCTTGGCTGTGTCTCTGCTACCCGAGGGTAGGGCGTGTCTCTGGTGCCTCACTTTGGGATGTGCAGACAGTAGGACTTCAACTAATGCTTGTGAGCAAAGCAGAAAGAGGTGAACTGCTCATCTGCTCTGCTTCCTCCGTGTAACTCTGGGAAAATCATCTTATCCCCGTCAAAGGAAGGAGATGAGAAATAGTGCTTCTTGTTCTTTCTCAGCAAGGATCATGCAGAGGTGTATAAAGAAATCACCCCCGAGCTCCTCCTCCCTCATCCATCCTCTCCAGGGATAATCATTTTTTTCATTGCTTATTCTTCCTCACGTCTCTCTGTGTTCATAAAAGATGAACGCACGCCTTTCTCTACATAGGTGTTGTTTTTTATCAAAATGGACCCCCTCTGAACACATGAGTTAGCACCTTGCTACCACAAGCACTTTCAAAATTAAACTTTCCTGTAAGTCTGGGGATTATTACCTTCTAAAATAAGGAGACTTTTCCTATTGCCTTTAGCAATGCCTGCCTGCAACTTGCAAAAATAAATCATGGGAACGTCAGCTTCCAGAGTGGAAGGAATAGTTTCCTTGCTATGCACTGCAGCCCAGCCCTCAGTCACTGCTTGGAAACCTCATGAATAAGCATCAAACCATGACGGCAAAATGCCATTCTGGAAACTCAGTATTTCCTTATCTTGAGGACATGGTCATGCATTTCCCAGTTGAGATTCCAAAAAAGCCTTTAAATGTTACAGGTGTGTGCCATAGCTGGGCTTGCTGAGATAGGAATTGGGGAAGGTGGAAACCCAGGTCAGTGCCGTCCCGTGCGGCATCCTGTTTGTCAGTGTGCAGAAAATTCAGCTTTTGTTAACCGTGCTGACTGGAGTCAGAGGATCTTACAGTCCACACTATATCACCTCGATTCTGGCCTGCCTGGACCTTGTGTCTTTAACTGTCTTTATCCGGACACCACAGTCTACTGGAGGCCTCTTCCCCGTGTGTGCCTCCTGAGGCTCTGTGTGTCCTGAGCATTCCTGGGCTAAGCCCCACCCAGACATGGCCGACCCTGCCAGGAAGCCCAGGGGGTTGGAGAGGACCAGGCCAAGAGCCTCCCAAGAGAGGACATCCCATGCCCACAGCAGGGGCCCCAGTGTCCCATTCAAATAGGCTGCTCCAGAGGCAGGGCCCACTTAGCCATCTTTGACCCTGCTTGGGTTCACCCAGGGTTGGGTGAGATGGGGACAGGTGTCCTCAACATGAGGCACTTCTGCAGATATGGGGTTCTCTCCAGGCTTTGAGCTGCAGCACTAAACTTCTGCCTAGTTCAGAACAGTCCTGAGGGTTCGAGATGAGGCATGCCAGGAGCTTCTAGTCAGGAGAAGGAAGGCTGGGTAGAAAAGACAGGGAGGGTAAGGATGAGAGCAGCGGTGGTGCTGGGCGGGGGAGTCGCTCCTTGATGGGGACTCTCCCCCGACTCTAAACCTCACATCTCTTCCCAGAGCTTGAGGCTGCTCAAGGAAAATGGCTTGTTGGCAGTGGTTGGCAGTGCTTAGTAGTCATTGGCAACAGTTGGCAATTGTTGGCAGTGTCTAGCAGTGGTTGCCAATGATTGGCAATGGTTGGTAGTGGTTGACAGTGGTTAGCAATGGTTGGCAATGGTTAGCAGTGGTTAGCAATGATTGGTAGTGGTTATCAATGATTGGTAGTGGTTATCAATGATTGGCAGTGGTCGGCAGTGGTCAGCAGTAGTTAGTAATGCTTAACAGTGGTTATCAGTAGTTGACAGTAGGTGGCAGTGGTTGGCACTGGTTGGCAGTGGCTAGAAACGGTTAGCAGTGGTTGGCAATTATTTGCAGTTGTTGGCAGTGGTTGGCAGTTGTTGGCAGTGGTTAGTAGTGGTTGGCAATGGTCAGAAGTGGTTGCTAATGGCTAGCAGTGGTTATCAGTTGTTGGCAGTGGTTAGCAATGCTTAACAGTAGTTATCGGTGGTTGGTAGTAGTTGGCAGTGGTTGGCATTGGTTGGCAGTGGTTAGAAATGGTAAGCAGTGGTTGGCAATGATTCGCAGTTGTTGGCAGTGCTTTGCAGTGGTTGGCAATGGTTGGCAGTGTTCAGCAATGGTCAGCAGTGGTCAGCAGTGGTTAGCAGTAATTAGCAGTGGTTGGCAGTTGTTGGCAGTGGTTAGCAGTTGTTGGCAGTGGTTAGCAGTGGTTGGCAGTGGTTAGCAGTGGTTGGCAATGGTGGGCAGTGGTTAGCAGTAGTCAGCAGTGGTCAGTAGTGGTTAGCAGTAGTTAGCAGTGGCTGGCAGTTGTTGGCAGTGCTTAGCAGTGGTTAGCAGTGGTCAGCAGTGGTTGGCAGTGGTTAACAGCTATTCCTGGGCTCCTTGCCTCATTTCTCGGCAGGATTGGGCCAATCAGGCAGAGGGGCAGTGCACAGCTCACCTATGAGATGTTGGATCCTCTCTGTAGGACTATAAAGAACCCTGCTTTGAATGGAGACTAAGAAAGACCCTGGGAAGTGGTGTGTGGAGGTGACCACCTGGACTGGCCCAAAGACCAGCTCTGGAGAACAGACGGACCCTCCAGGGCTGGGCTGTCATGGCAGGAGCTGGCTCTCCTCCTCAACAGCCTGTCCAAGGGGACCTGGGAAAAGCCTGAGTCCCCGGGCCTGCAGCTCCTGCACCACCCCTGCCAGCCCACCTTGCCCCTCAGCAGGCAGGTCCAGGGAGGGGGACAGGGAATGCAGGCTCAGGGGAGAGGGCTCTGTTTCCAAGATGCCCCAGGAGAGACTAGGCTCTCAGTTGGAAAGGAGTGAGGTAGGGCCACAGCAGGACAGGAATGCTGTGGGCAGGGTCACAGACGGAGGTCTGCAAGTTCCACACACCCCTTGTGGAGGGTGTCAGCAAAGAGAAGCAGGCCCTCCCTGGGCCTCCAAGACCAGTGCTATGTGGCTGAACAGTAGGCCTGGCCCTGAGTGATCACCTCCAGCCCCTGAGGCCTCCAGTGCAGGCTGCTGGGTAGGAGTGAGGCCAGCAGGGGCCTTCGCACCTGCCAGGGCACCAGCACACCAGGCGGGCCTCAGAACAGCTGCAGCGTGGTGGGAAGCCACATTGTCCGGCTGTTTGGCCAGCTGTGCTGCAGGTCCCTGGCCAGGGACTGAGATTTCTGACAGTGGGGCTGGCACTGGCACTGTGAACGTGCTGACACTGACAGGGCAGCTCCCAAGGCTGTGGTGAGGCAGGAGGTTACATGGCCTCCCTCTTCTTTGACACTTGGCAGGGAGCTATAGCCACACAGATGCCACTGGACTGGAGCCCCAGGCAGAGTGCTGCAGGCAGAGAAGGCGGCAAAGCAGGCTACGTTCTAGGATCTGCTCAGACAGGGCTGATGTGGACATGGGAGGAGCTGTTTGGTCTCTGCAGTCCTCACCCTTCTCTAGGCAGTGGCTGCCTGCCTTTCTGTAGTCCAGCTGAAGAAAGAAGGAAACAGCAGAGAAAAATAAAGAGTATCATTCCAAGGGGCCTATACCTTGAGGCACTGCCGGGTGCAGTAGGGAGATACTAAGACCTGCCTTTGATGGGCAGTAACTGCAGGCCTGGCCCAGAATCACACCACTTAGACCTGTCCCCGCCCTCCCAGGAGCCATCATTGCAGCCTTCCAGGCGAGCTTCTGGAGGCCCTGAGAGGTTATCTGATGTGCCTGAAGCCCCACATCTAAGACAGATGGACACCTTGAAGACAGCGAGTTTTTCCTGGTAGAACAGATTCAAACGAGTATCTATTTCATCCAGGCTGGGCGCAGCTCTTCCAGCCAGAGGTGCTGGTCTGGACCCACTTCCTGAGCAGTCTCCAAACTGGGGACCCTCTGGGTTCCTGAGGGGGTGCTGCGAGGGCCTCCACCCCACTGTGATACCCCAGCTGTAGAGTGTGATGGGGTCTGGGAGTCATGCTGCAGAGTGGGGGACACGTCAGAAACAGGCGGTGTGGGCAAAGCTGGCATAGCTGCTGCTCCCCGGAAGCCGGTGCAGTGCCTCCAGCCCAGGGCCAGGAGGTGCTGGCTGTGGCTGACTCTCAGGGAGGGGATGACACCCGTTGAAGGGGCACATCATGGATTCTGGGTGGAAAAAGTTTTCCTAAATAATCAGACCCCAGGCTTGTCCTTTAAGCATATGAGGGATCCAGATTTATACCACATGGAATTCTAAGCTAAGAAGTTAACATTTAGTCCCTTTGCTGAGCATGAGCTCAGGTCAACCCAAGGTGTCTGGCATAAACAAAGGCAAAATCATACCACAGGCTCCCAATGTGGTCCCCATAGCATGTGGATGGGGGCTTCGGGATTGGGTTCAGGGGGTCAGCATTTACCAGGTATAGGAAGAGCTACACCTCTCAGCACTTAATCTAAACGACCTGAAAGTAAACAGAAAGGAAAGCGTTAGATACATTTCAAAATGAAGAAATCTAAATTCTGAGAACCAGATTGTGATTGTGTAAATAAGATGTGTGTGTGTGTGTGTGTGTGTGTGTGTGTGTGTGTGTGTGTCAGGGTCTCACTCTGTTGCCCAGGCTGGAGTATAATCATGGCTCACTGCAACCTCAGCCTCCCAGGCTCAAGTGATCCTCCCACCTCAGCCTCCCAAGTAGCTGGGAGTACAGGCACGCATCATCACACCCAGCTAATTTTTAAATTTTTTTTGTACAGATGGGATCTCACTATGTTGCCTAGGTTAGTCTTGAACTCCTGGGCTCAAGCAGTCCTCCTGCCTCAAACTCACAAAGTGTTGGGTTTACAGGCATGAGTCACCATGCCTGGCAAATAAGATTTTATTCAAAATAGAACCAAAACAAACCTCTACAAATGACTACATGGGTATTCATAATTGAAACTTAGTGGAATACTTAAAAAGCAAATTAGATTCAGCTGAAGAGAGAATTAGTGAACTGGAAAATAGACATTCTAGGCTGAAGTGTGTTCCCGCAAAATTCATGTTGAAGTCTTACCCCCAGTACCTCAGAATGTGAATGTATTTGGAGACAGGGTCTTTAAAGGAGTAATTAATTTAAAGTGAGGTCTTGGGGGGGCCTTAATCCAATATAACTAGTGCCCTTATAATAAGAGGAGATTGGGACACACACAGAGAGGTGATCATGTAAAGACAGGAAGAAGACAAGCCAAGGAGAGAGGCCCCAGAGGAACCAGTCCTGCCGATACCTTGATCTCAGACTTCCAGCCTCCAGAACTGTGGGAAAACAAATTTTTGTTGTTTAAACTGCCCCATCTGTAGTACTTTGTTGGAGGAGCCCTAGCAGATGAATGCAATAGATTTAATAAATTACCCAGAATATGCATGGGAAAATAAAGAGATAGGAGGCAGAATAAAGTGAGAGGGATGATGCAAGAGCTAGAAGGACCAATACGTAAATCACCAAAGTCCCAAAGGGAGAGAGAGGCTGGCCACTGGAGCAGAGGAAATGCATGCACATTTTCCAGAACTGATAAACATGAATCCTCAGATTCAAGAAGCACAAGAGAGCCAGAGCAGAACATAGAAAACTAAAACCCCACCTAGACACATGATTGTGAAACTGCATGTGTCATACTCTGTAAATCATCTGCTCAGCTCCCACGCTAACCCTCTTTTAGCTTTTCCTCTCTATCTTTCCATCTCTATCTGAAATGCATGCTTCCTCAACTCCTTAGCAGTGAGGGTGCAGGCATGGGACATTGATTCTCCAGAATATTGCACCTGCCCATTTCTTGGATGCCAACGTGGGAAGTATCGGTGGCAGCTGCAGGTGGAGAGGCTGGGCCCTGTGACAACCTGACAGTAGAGGTGTGGCTTGTCACCAGTCTCAAAGGTACCAGTGCTAATGGCAAGGATGACAACAGGATGCCACTGCAATGGTTGGGTCGGATATTTTTTCAGACAAACATTTGGAATGATAAAGAATGGACTGTTCCCAGGGGACTTGAGGGGAAAATTGGCAAGGGTGTTGAAGACGATGGGGAAAGAGGCTGGGCTGCAAGAAAGCCATGGTGGAAGGGAACAGTCAGAAGACGCAGCCAGAGAACAGCGAGGCTGGGGGTCCCAGCAGAGGGGAGAGGTGCCTCAGCGATGGTCCAGGGAGGGAGAGCAGAAATGACAGAACAGTGAGTGTTGCTGGAGCGGAGGGGTCCGGCTGGTGTGCTGAGAGTTCCCAGGGAGAGCACCACCCTCTTTCAGAATGACAGGAGGAGTCAGATACAGAGGAAGACTAGGAGGGTCAGGATGTCTCTCAGGGTCTCAGGAGGGAAAGTGACACACAGATTGGAGGGGGAAGTGTGTCTTAGCAGATGGCCCTAGCTGCAAGGAAACAGCTGGCTTCATTCAACTGTGAAGAAGTGAAGAAGGGAAGGGGCCTGGGGGCAGGGAAGGTCTTCCCCATTCTGAATTCTGTGGAGTGAAAAACGGGCTTCGGTATAGCAGGAGCAGGGGATGAACTGCAGGGAAGGCAGTGTGTTTTCCACCGAAACTGCATCCCTGGGACATCCAGGGCTGCATGGAAGGAAGCCAAGCAGTAGGCCCAGCTCTGCTGGGGGTCCAGGGACTGGCTAAGGGGTCAGCAGATCTTCCACCAGGGGGAAGGGCAGGGGTGTCCACCAAAGGAACTGGCCCCAACTGGGTTGGCTGGACCTCCACGGAAACCTCCCTGGCTCTGACGCTAGAAAAGCTTTTAGTAAAAATAGACACCTACTACTTACTGGAAGAATAAAAGTCACGGTGCAGAGAGACTATGTTTTAATATGATGAATATCCCTTAACATAACACCCCACATTATACCTAACAGTGAACTCCAGGGAAATGGCCCTTAAAAATCAGAAATTAAAAACAGGTGTTTGCCAACTGCATTAAGATTGAACAGGCTGGGCCGGGCGCGGTGGCTCACACCTGTTATCCCAGCACTTTGGGAGGCCAAGGTGGGCGGATCACAAGGTCAGGAGATCGAGACCATCCTGGCCAACATGATGAAACCTCGTCTCTACTAAAAATATAAAAAATTAGCCGGGCTTGGTGGCAGGTGCCTGTAGTCCCAGCTACTCAGGAGGCTGAGGCAGGAGGATGGCATGAACCCAGGAGGCGGAGCTTGCAGTGAGCCGAGATCGTGCCATTGCACTCCAGCCTGGGCGACAAAGCGAGACTCTATCTCAAAAAACAACAACAACAACAAAAAGATTTAACAGGCCGGAGGATGTCGATGCCATGAGTCATGAACCCATCCTGCCTCTCACCCTGGCAACTGGCAACGGGACCTCCAAAAGCAGGAGGTAATGGCTTTGGCACCCAGAAACGCACAAGACAGAGAGCTATGGTTTCCCCAGTGTCTGGTCCTTGGAGGCTCCATGTGACCTAATTACACGCTGCCTTCCAAGCCTGATTGAGAGCAGAGGTGGTCAGGATGCTCAAAGCCCCTCCCAGACATTCTGTCCAGCCAGCAGCAGACCCACCAGTCCCCGCTCACCTATGCAGATGAGTGGCACTGTGCCACTTGCTCAGATGGAGCAGTCAGTAAGTAGCCAAGGGCATCTGGGTTGCAGACCTCAGTTTGAAAAAAAAAGGGAAGCAGGCGTTCGTCCAACATCACCCAGTACTGAAGACGCACCTTCCCTGTGCCAGGCATGGCCCTGGAGCTGAGCACGTCACTGACCAAAACAGACCAACAGTACCACCCTGGAGGGACTCATCTGTCTCCCAGGGAGTCGGCTTTGTTGGGGCCAGGAACCAGCCACCTTTGGGACCCTCCAGTGGCCAAGCCTGGAACCCTCTCTCAGGTGCCACCTGCCTGGGGACTGCGCAACAGTGCTGAGTGAAGGTGAAGCTTGGGAAGCCTCTCCCACAGGTGAGGCTATGTTGTTCTGCAAATCTACAAAGACAGATGACCAGGAGGGACCGCGGCAGGCAGCGCCTTCAGGCTGGGCGCAGACCCTTGAGTGTGAGCAGCAAGGAATCGACGGGAACAGACTGGGAGAAGGGCCCTGCACGCCCGCAGCTCTGCCCTGCACCTTCTGTTCAGAGATCACTTCTCATCAGGAGGCTGCGAAGGGAACTGGTGCTCCAGCTAAGGGTGGTCCCACAGGGTGACCTTGTCTGTCCTGAAACGGAAGCTGTTGTACTAGACTGGGTGCCACAGAATTTAACGTATACCCAATGGCCATACCCAGGCCTGCAGGTTTATGTCCCCGTGACTTTCAATATGCCCAGCTTGTCCTAGCTGCTTCACTAGGAAGTCCTGAGCCTCCGACAGGACACTTTCTGGGAGAATCACAGAGGCGTGTCTCTAGCGAGCGGCTTCCACTCTTTCTTCCAGACAGCCCGATTTCCCCACATGCACCTGGGCCTTGAGAACAGTCCCTGGAGGAGCATCCGACACTAGCAGGCCCAGGAGAACCACATCAGTCCCTCTCTTTGGGCAGCAGCCCTCCCCCTGCTGGGCTGGACTTCGCCCTCGTGGCACAGCGGGCAATTCTGAGCCAAAGCCAAAATGCCAGCTCCCAGCCTCCTAGGAAGGACGGGTCTGTGCGGAAGGCTCTGCGGCCGGCTCTGCCCCCAGGGCTCCCAGCAGCGGGCTCCCGAGGCCTGGCTTCTCCCGGAGGAGACCCCAGCTTCTCCAGCGTTCTTACATTTCTGTATTTCAGACCCAAATAGACCTTGTTCCAGGTTCTCAATGTCCTCCCCAGGGTGGGGCTGGTGGAGGCCTCCAGGTCCTGGGGTGTGTGTGGGCTGCTGGAGGGCAGGCCCGAGACCCAAAGGCGCGTCTCCCTCACCCGCCTCGCCGACACCAGGGGGCGCTGGAGCTCAGCAAAGGGCCCGGAGGCCGCTCTGAAACTCAGGCCTTAAAATACAGGCAGGATCAGCCTTTGGAGCCCTCCCTGCCGGCCGGGCCTGCCCGGCGCCCAGTCAGCGTGCTGCCGGGCCTGTGCCCCTGACGGACCTGGCACAAGGGGGCACCCAGGGGTCTGCAGCCGGATGATGCGAGCTCAGGCCTCCCCCACCTGGGGTGAGACGCCCCCATCCCATCAGCGCACCCCTGCAGCAGGGAAGCATAAGCCTGGCTGCGGCCCCGCCCACAGCACCTCTCTGGTCCAGCCCCGCCCACAGCACCTCCACCTCCAGCCCCGCCCACAGCACCTCCCCTCTCCAGCCCCACCCACGGCGCCTCCCTTCTCCGGCCCCGCCCACAGCACCTCCCCCACTTCAACCCCACCCACAGCACCTCCCTCCTCCCCGGCTGCAGCTCTCCCCTCAAGCCCCGCCCACAGCCCCACAGCACCTCCCCACAGCCCTGCCCACAACACCTCCCCCTCCAGCCCCACCCACAGCACCTCCACCTCAGACCCCGCCCACAGCACCTCCCGCCTCCAGCCCTGCCCATAATACCCCCCTCCTCTGACCCCGCCCACAGTGTCTCCCCCCTCTGGCCCACCCACAGTGCCTCCCCCTCCAGCTCCTCCCACAGCACTCCCTCCTCCGACCCTGCCCACAGCATCTACCCCTCCAACCCCGCCCACAGCACCTCCCTCCTCCGGCCCTGCCCACAGTGCCTCGCCCCTCCCGCCCCATCCACAGTGCCTCTTTCCTCTGGCCCCGCCCACAGCACCCTGATCCTCCAGCCCCACCCACAGTCCCCCCCTCCAACTCCGTGGCTGCAGCCCCGCCCTCAGCACCTCCCTCCTCGGGGGGTGCCGCAGGACCTGGGACGCACCTGATGTTTCTGGGGGGGAAGGGGCACCCTTCTGCAGTTTGCATTGGTCACCTTAACAGCGGGGCACTGTGGTCACAGATCAAGTCCTAAAGGAAAGTAAACCTCTGTTCAGTGGCCAGGGAGGAAACAGGTTGTGAGAAATAACGGAACATTCTTCAGACAGGACAACAATTCGGAGTCTTACACCATCCCAGGTTTTTTGACACGAGGGCTGTCCCCGCGTTGCTCTCCCTGGGCCTGTGGCACCCACTTGCTGGCTAAGGTTAGGACCCACCCTGGGGCGCCTGCCCAGCGGTGACTGTGTCCACAGCACTCTGGGTGGCACCTGCCCAGCTACTTCTGGTTGTGCCCTGGTCACACAGGCATGGTTGGGGCAGAGTGTGGCAGGTGCTGCCTGCACCAGAGCTCCCCATGTGCCAGGCTTGGTGCCCACGTGTGCTGGTGATGCTCTCACCTGGTCCTCAGTGCAGTGGAATGCGGGACACACTGTCACAGCCTCAATTTACAGCTGGGGAAGCTGAACCCCAGAGGAGTTTGGTGACCTATCCAAAGTCACACCGTCTGGAAGTGGCTGAGCCATCATCTACCAATGCCTGTGAGCTTGAGCTCACGTCTCCAAGAGGGTGCAAGCCTGGGTAAGCAGGGACTTGCTCAGCCTCCAAGGAAAACCCACACCTGCAGCAAATGGCTCCAGGTTCAGGCTGGCCCCCGACTCTGTGAAACCACAATGACCAGCCCTGGGATGTTAAGCTCTGGATCGGAAGAGGAGAGGTCAAGAGAGCAAAATCCTGCAAGCCATGAGCCGTGGGAAATGAGTGAGGTGCTGGTTATTACGGAATGTGCCCAGCCTGACGTGATCACACACAGACACAGGCCTCTGGGGGTGGTGCTCCCAGCTGACCTCTGCAGGATCTCTGCACCCTGAATGGCAGGTCCACGTATCATTGCTCTTGCATGTCCCTCACTACCCCAGGAAATGGCCACCAAATCCCCCAAATCACCCTGGACACCAACACTGAACACAGAATGCTTTTGGATTCCCTAAGGTACAAAGGAAATCTTGGTAACTTCTTTCCCCAGGTTGCCTTAGCTTTCAGGGTTTCCGTGAGCTGTGAGCTCACCTGTGCGTCCTGGCCAGCTGCAGAGCACTGCAAGACCTAAAAGGAGGGAGAAGAATGGGCTTGTGGGGCATGGCTGGGCTGCGGCTCTATATGCAGCAGTGAGGAGATTTCATCATGGCCTTGGGCTGCAGACCCCGGCTTCCTGGCATTTCTCATGCACCCTCCTGAGCCCCAGGTGCTGGGTTACATGTCAGTGTGGAGACTACACCCCGTGACCCAGGCACATGCCCTCGAAGGCTGGTTCTTGAGGGCCAGCTTTGGGAGGACAGGTGAGGGCTCAGGGGTGACAGAACACCTACCTGGGGTTCAACAGGCCACCCCCAGTCCTGGAGCCCCTGCTGCTGTCACCCCACCGGCCCAGGCCAAGGACTGCACTTCTCCTTGCAGTGGACCCCTATGAGCGTGCTGTGACCCCCTCACAAGGTCACCGTACCTGTCTGGCCCCAGCTGCAACCTGCCTGGGAGCAGGTCTAAAAACAGGCCCTGCTGCTGGGTGACTGGGCAACTGATCCGGGTTGGGGCGAGGGTGTGGCCGCCACCCGAGGCCGCCCTGTGTCTGGGCAGGTCTCAACTCTTCCTCTGATTCTCCCTCTGTCCCCGAGGAGCTCTCGGTCCCCGAGCCCGGTCAATACCTGAGCCAGGCATTCTTAACCTCCTGTGCACCGAGGCCCCATGGCAGGTAGTGAAAGTTAGGGACCCCTCATCAGAATAATGTTTTTAGGTGCATAAAATAAAATGCATAGAATCGCAAAGGAAACGCATTGCATTGAAATTGTTAGCACAGGTGAGAGCTGAGTTTTCCGCAGAGTGAGGTGCAGGCTCTTCTATCAACGCGTCACCTGGGGTGTACTCAGCAGTTTGAGCAGTGCTGGGCACCTCGCTGCCTGGGGATCCTGGCCACAGCTGCAGTGATGGGAAGACACTATGGCTTCTTCTGGAACCGAGTCACCTTCTTCCATGCTCACAATGGAAGGAGTACCATGTCAGCTTAGCTGAGCAATGGGACAGTTTCTCCCCATGCATGCTCAGGGGAGTGGCCACCCGGAACCTTCTCCCTCCAGCTCCCCTCCCTCATCCTTTGGGTGCACTGTGACCCTGAATCAGCTCTGTGGGGTGACTCCCAGCCCAGAACCCTCAGGCCCAGAACCCCCACCACCACGGGTGGTACACAACCAAGCTCCTTGGCCCCCCAAGAAGGTCTATGGGAATTGCCTGTTCCAGGTCTGCCTTCCAGGCTGGCCCTCACTGGCCTGGGACACCCATCGTCCTCCTGTTTGCACCTCTGCTCCTCCTGGGTAGACCGCATCCCTCCTCAGCCAGCATGTCTCTCCTGCCTCCTCCCCCAGTGACCTCCCCACCAGCAGCCATCCCCTCACCCCATCTCCCTAGGGACACCTCTCTCTAGCCATCCATCCCATTCGAGGCCTCATCCCCGCTCCCATCAGGGCCTCCTCCATCCCAGATCCCTGGGGACAGCAGGAGCCAGGACCTAGCGAAGGTTGTGTTGACCCTAGCGTTGGAAGAAGGCCTGCTTGGAGGGGGCTGGGTTAAGAAACAGGAGCTCCAAGTGGGCCTGGCTGTCCTTGGCCTGAAGGACTGCTGACAGGAAGCAGCTGGTTTCCAGTGACAGGCGGGCCGGGGGTGGTGGCACCTGTCATCATTTCTGCCCTGCCTGCTGAGCAGAGCTCAAGTGTCTGTGCCTGGGAGGGGCTGGGCCGGAATGAGCACTGCTCAAACCTGCAGCAGGGGGCCAAGGGGCTGCCCAGCCTCAGCCTGAAACTCCCAGAAAGCACTGAGCACAGAGGGTCCCTCCTGCCCCTCCCCTGCACCCCTGTGCCTCTGACAGTTCCCAGGCTCACTCCATCCAAAGGCCCCAGCCCCTGTGGAAAGACCCCTGGAAGCCCTCATGGACACCTGGTCGCAGAGACTGGTGCCCTCCCAGGCCTACTTGTCAGTCAGTCTCGGGCCCAGCTCCTGTCATCTCTGTCCCCTGCAGGACTCAGACCGCTGTGTGTATACATGTGGGGTGGGGTGGGGATTGGGGAAGGCTGGGGGGAGGGGGATTGGGCTGGATGTCCTTCCCTGTTTCCCATCAGAGAAGAGAATATTTTCTTATTTTCCCCTTCTGCTATTCCTTGTTTTAAGATAACTTTTTTTTTTGGAATTATTATTTTGTTCTTAGTGAGACTATATCTCACTAAAATTATGTACTCAAAATACTGTTTATTTTTTAAGTCACAGTCACATGAAGATTTCTTGGCACCAATTTGGTAAACAGTTAGGTTTACTTGTTCCTGCCAGTTTCCAATTTGTAGGGATTCCTTTCTTGTTCTTTAGGATTTGTTGTTGTTTTTTAGCAAAGCATCTACATGGTTCCAGAGGAGACATGAGCCATGTGAAGCTCAAGGTCAGCCCCAGAATTGGCCCCCCTTCCCCTCCCCCACCACCTTCTTTCCCCACCCCCACTGGAGGCCGTGTTTATTAGGTCGGGGTTTACCTGTTCACTGGTTATTTTATATGAGAAGCCCATGCATACCCATCTCCAAGCCGTTCTAGAAGCCTCTCTGACATGTCCTGCCTCTTACTGCATTTACACGACACTGCCTTTCACATCGCACGCACGGCTCCTTCTCACGACTTCCTGTTCCTACAACGCACTCCTTATGGGACTGACCAGGATTTAATCAAACAGTTGCCCTGGATGGGCAACTGGGAGTTTTCTGTTTTTGCTATCACCATGAAAGAGCGGCCTGTGCCAAAGTCGCTGTTTCCCTAGCGTTTTCTTGGCAGAGATTCATGGAACTGACATCGGTAGGTTGAAGGCCATGTGTATCTGCAACTTGGCCAACTATTTCCCTCCCTAGGAACTGCCTCATTGTGCATTCCCACCAGTAATCAATAAGAACACCTGTTTCTCCACAGCCTCACCAACACAATGAGTTGTCAAATCTTTGGATTTTTGCCAAGCTGATCAGTGAGAAATGGAATCTCAGTGTTGTCTGAATTCACATTTCTTTTATATGAGCAAGATTGAGTCACCTTTTCCTATGTTTAAGAGGCATTTGCATTTTTTCTTTTACAAACTATTTGTTCCTATCTTGTACCTATTTTCCTACAGATCTTTGGACATTTTCTTCATTTTGGGAACTTTTTGTATATCAGTGATATTAGCCTTGCATCTGTAATATTAGTTGCAAATATTGTCTTACCTGTCCTTTGACTTTGAAGATGGTGTATTTTCCCATATAAAGGTCTTAATTTTGTGGAGACAAATTTGTTCAACTTGCCTGATTGCTTCTGGATTTTGAGTCATGGTTATAAAAGCTTTTCTCCATCTTAGGTTGTAAAGGAAGTAACCTGATTTATTTTCTAATACTTGTGTAACTCCATCTCTGATTCACTTGGTGTCCACTGTGAGAAGTGGATCCAATTTTCTCTTTGCATGTGGCTCTGCAGCATCCCGAACCCCTTGGTTACAGAGTCCATCTTCTCCCACTCACTTGGGATGCCACCCACCTTGACAACAGCCCACTGCTTGTGGGTCTATCTCTGGATTCTCTATTCCACTGGTCCATTCATCTGTAAACGAATGAATGCCATGCTGTTGTGCTCACAGAAGCTTTATAACATGTATTATATGGCATAGTCTACCCCACCAACTTCACCCTGCCCTCCTTTTCCAGGGATTTCCTGGCTATTCCTGCTTTCTAATTCTTCCCTGTGAAAGATAACATCTAACTGCCTGGTCTTCCTGGACATACACCAAGTCCCTTCCTGTCCACAGGGCTCCTTGTATGCTCTTCCCACCTGCTCTGCCTGGCAAACTCACTCTAAGAGACCCTGCACAAAGGCCCCTTCCCTCAGGGTCCCAACCCCTGGCCTCAGGCAAGCTCAATCTTGCCTTTGGATGCTACTGAGTTGGCTCTTCTGCCTAGAGCCCCTGATCTCCAGAACTTTGCATGGATAGTTCCTCCCCATAAACGCCAGCATAAATGACCCAGCCAGAAGGCATCCCTGGCTCCCAGACCTTCTCCATCCATTACTCTGTTTTATTTCCTCATGGTTATCATCCATATCTAAAATAATCTTACATGATTGTTTGATGTTATATATGCCAGAAGGTATGAGAGAATGGCCTTAACTTATCTAATTCTGTGATGAATCTTCAGCATCAAGAACAGTATAGTGAAAGGAGCTCCAGGTGGGTGGGTGGATGGATGGATGGACAGATAGAGAGATGGGCAGATGGATGGACAAATGGATGGACAGATATGGATGGTTGGATGGATGGTTAAATGGATGGATGAGTGGATGGATGGATGAATGAGTAGATGAATGGATGTTCAGATGGATGGATAGGTAGATGGGTGGATGAATGGATGAGCAGATGGATGGATGGATGGATGGTTGGGTGGATGGATAGATGGCAGATGGATGGATGAGTAGATGGATAGATGGGCCGAGGGATGGATGGCTGGGTGGATGGATGGATGGCTGGGTGGATAGATGGTTGGGTGGATGGATGGACAAATAGATGATTGGGTGTGTGGGTGGATGGGCAGAGGGATGAATGGCTGGGTGGATGGATGGATAATTGGGTGGATGGATGGACAGATGGTTGGTTAGTTGAGTGGATGGCTGGATGGCTGGAAGGATGGAGACTGTCCTGCCTTTCTAGTCAGTTAGTTACCTTTCCTTTGTGCTGTCAGAGTACTCTGAACACCTATTATAGATCAGACCCAAGC
The DNA here is from genome assembly GCF_000001405.40 of Homo sapiens. Taxonomy (NCBI): domain Eukaryota; kingdom Metazoa; phylum Chordata; class Mammalia; order Primates; family Hominidae; genus Homo; species Homo sapiens. The sequence continues at coordinate 240,239,851 of NC_000002.12, forward strand.
TAAACACCTGTGAAAGGTATTTGGCACATGTCCCCACCTACTTGGGTGTGAGCTCTGTGGGGGCAGATCGATGTCTGATTGTTGTGCCCATCGAGAGGATGTGGACAGTAATAAACGCAGGTGAAAGAGTGACAAGGCAGAGAGTCATAGCACAGGGTAGCATCTTGGGTTCAAGGTTTTGAGGGACTTTAATGGTTCTTAGGGAACTGAAAGGTGATGTATTGAACCCCATGGCCAAAGGTCTAACACAGCCAGGCTCTCTGGAGCCTGTGGTACCAGCTGTCCTGTCTCAAGCCCTGAGATTTTCTTACACTGACTTTGGCTGAGAAAGCATGTGTTGTTTTCTAAGCATGAGTTCCGGCATTACCTTCCTAGTCCTACACCAGCAGCTGCTGAGGTAGGGGAAAGAGGGCAAGAGGGCTGAGGATGCAAACAGACTTAGGCTTTATAGGCTCAGCCACTGTGGATTTTGAGACCATAGTGACCTGATCCTTACAGATGAGAATGTGATGCCCACACTTAGAGCTGTGCTAAGGACTAAATGAGCAAAACAGGCAAAGCCTTGGGCTCACCATTTAAAGTGTACAATTCAATGGCTTCTCATATATTCAGAGTTGTGCATCACCCCATTCTAATTTTAGAACATTTTCATCACTCCCCTCCAAAAAAACCACATGTCCTGTTAAGTCTCTCCTTATGTTCCTCCCCCATCCCCTAGGCATCCCCTAATTTACTTTCTGTCACTATAGATTTGCCCATTTTGGACATTGCACATAAATAAAATCATGCTAAATATGGTTTTGTGTGACTGTCTTCTTTCTTTTAGTATAATATGTCCAAGGTCCATCCACTGCTGTGTCATTGTGTCAGTACCGCATTCCTTTTTATTATCAAACAATATTACATTGTAAGATACCACATGTAATCTGTCTATTCCTCAGTTGGTGAAAAATTGGGTTGTTTATACTTTTTGGATATTATGAACACTGTTACATTCTATGCAAGTTTTTTTGTATGCACATTTGTTTCAGTTTCTCTTGAGCACATACATATCTAGTAGTAAAATCACTGAGTCATATGGTAACTCTATGTTTTGCATTTTAAAGAACTTCAAGACTGTTTTCCAGAACAGCTGCACCATTTTAGATTCCCACCAGCCATGTCTGAGTAGTCCAGTTTCTTCATAACCTTGTCAACACTTGTTATTGTCTGGGGTTTTTTTATTGCAGTTATCCTACTCGGTCTAAAGTGGCATCTTGTGATTTTGATTTGCATTTTTTAAATGGCTAATGAAACATCTTTTCTTGTGCTTAGGAGACATTGTGTATCTTCTTGGAGAAATGTCTATTCAAATCCTTTGCCCATTTTTAAATTGGGTTATTTATATTTTTCTTGTTGAGGTCTAAGAGTTCTTCATATATTCTGGATACACGTCTCTTACCAGATAAATGATTTGAAAATATTTTCTCTCATTCTGTGGATTTTCTTTTCACTTTATTGGTGGTATTTTTTCAGCACAGAGGTTTTAAATTTTAATGAAATTCAATTTACCTATGTTTTTTCTTTTGTCACTTGTGTTTTTGGTGTCTTATCTAATAAATTATTGTTTCTATGTATTTGTAACCCAAGGTCATACAGATTTATTCCTATACTTTGTTCTAAGATTTATATAGTTTTAGCTCTTGCACTAGGTCTATGTTCCATTTTGACTTAAATTTTGTGCATGCTGGGGAAGGAGACACGCTTCATTCTTTTACCTGTGGAGATCCAGTTGGCTTCTCACATTTGTTGAAATGTCCTTTTTGTTTTTTAAGTGAGCTTTGCTTTTCTTTTCTGATTCTGAAAGTAATATACATTTTTATATAAAACTTGGAGTTTGAAAAAATACAAAGAAGAAAACAAATGTTACCCATAATTCTGCCATCTGGACACATGGTGAGCATCATTTGCAGTTATGAGTTTTGTACAAAAATGAGATCCTCTCTTATGTTGCTCTAGCAGTCTTGGTGACTAGCTTTGGTGATGTTAAACACATCCGTACTATTAATACATCAAATATTCCATGTCATTAAATACTTTCCTCCCATGTCATTTTTAAAGGTTGCATAGCATTCTCATAGCTGGATTTATCATATGAGCTCTCCTATATTGTTGGAAATTTGGGTTGCTTCTGTATCTTGTTATTATAGTCAGTGTTGGTTTTAATACCAAAAATGTCTCATAAAGGAAGGGGAAGCTCAAACTCTAGTAGCTTGGTGTATTAGTAGGGATTCTCTTAGAGGAACAGAACTAATAATATATATATACTCATTATATATATATATATATACACATTATATATACACATTATATATATATACACACATTATATATATACACATTACATATACACATTATATATATACACATTATATATACACATTATATATACATACACATTATATATATACACATTATATATACACACATTATATATATACACATTATATATACACATTATACATATATACACATTATATATATATACCCATTATATATATATATATATACACACATATATATGTGAGTTTATTAACTTACACAATCACAAGGTCCCACAATAGGCTGTCTGTAAGCTGAGGAGCAAGGAAAGCCAGTCCAAGTTCCAAAACTGAAGAGCTTGGAGTCCGATGTTCTAGGGCAGGAAGCATCTAGCACAGGAGAAAGATGTAGGCTGGGAGGTTAGACCAGTCTCTCCTTTTCATGTTTTTCTGCCTGCCTTATATTCACTGGCAGCTGATTAGATGGTGCCCACCAGATTAAGGGTGGATCAGCCTTCCCCAGCCCACTGACTCAAATGTTAGTCTCTTTCAGCAACACCTTCACAGACACACCCAGGATCAATACTTTCAATCCAATCAAGTTGACACTCACTATTAACCATCACACTTGGTAAACTCATTTAAAATTAATAATATTTATTGATTTTTTTAAATTATAAAAGTAATACATAATTACAAGAGAAAATTCAGAGGCTGCAAAACAGTGGATGAAGGGAAATTCAGGCACAGATTCCCCACCTAGAGATGACGAGATGACTGCTTAAAAATATCAGTATATTTCCTTACATTCTTGTTCCTTTTTTTTTGGCTTGCTGCTTTTTTTTGTTTTTGTTTTTGTTTTTTGAGAGGAATCTCACTCTGTCTCCCAGGCTGGAGTGCAGTGGCATGATCTCGGCTCACTACAACCTCCGCCAATGGGGTTCAAGCAATTCTCCTGCCTCAGCCTCCCAAATAGCTGGGATTACAGGCGTCTGCCACCACGCCTGCTAACTTTTGTATTTTTTAGCAGAGACAGGGTTTTGCCATGTTGACCAGGCTGGTCTTGAACTTGTGACTTCAAGTGATCCGCCTGCCTCGGCCTCTCAAAGTGCTGGGATTACAGGCATGAGCCACCGCGTCCAGCTGGCTTGCTGATTTGTCTGATGAATTGGGTTCCTACGTTACAGAAAATCTTAGAGTAGCTGTGTAATATTCCAGTCCACGACCATGCCACGTTTCTCTTAGCTCCTCCATAGGTATAGCTTCAAGACATATATTGTTTTGCTTTCCTGAATACGTTACTGCATAAAGCCTTTTTCTTTATTTATGATTGTTTTTATAAAATAGGGTTGTAAAGGCGGATTAAACAGCAAAAAAAATGTGTTTCTTCACAGAATGCTTTACAAAATAGTTATAATACACCTTCCTACAATAATGGAGGATGTTTTTCTTAAAATTACCTCCACAATAACATTTTTCATTGATTTTATGACTGTTTTGTGAGAGCTTTCTATATGTTTCTTAATAAGTGATAGTTTCTTACATTACCTGTTTCTCAATGTCCATTTATTCATTGAGATTTCACTGTAGTGTTGTCATTGATTGGTTGTTGTATGTGTCTGATATTTATTTATAATATTTTTCTTTATCAGATTTTTGTCTTTTGCCTTAATAACAACTTGGTTATGTTGTTATTAAGCTTAAATATCTTCAGTTTGTATGTAGTTCTATCTATTGACTTTTTTCCTTTTTTTTTTTTTTTTTTTTTTTTGGCTTTCCTTTGCTTTTAAAATGTGATTTTCCCCATCAAGGGACTTAATCCTTATATTTGTATTCTATAAGCTTTTTATGGTTTGATTTTTATTACATTTAACTCTAACTTTTAAGCGATTTACTTTGATTCACTTTAGATGAGTTTTTGTGTTATTTTTCCTCCTCCGAAAATGTCTTAATTGATTATTCATTAAATAACCTTAATCTTCTCCATTGACTTATCATTTTGGCTTCGTTATATTTTAAAGATTTGCGTGACCTGCAATCTTCCTCTGGGCCGTCTGTCCTTGCACCAGCACCACACTGGCCTACGTATAAAGAGAGAAATCCTGATAGTGTTCATTTTAAAAAATATATGCTTTAAATACATAATAGGTGCAAATGGCACAGAATCAGACGGATAAAAGGTGTTTGATGGCAGACCAGTCTTCCCGCCCTGTCTCCTGGACATTCCGTATGTTACACATCAGAGATTCTCCCTCATTGATGTTTTGATTTCTGATGGGACTAGTCTTTCTTGTCACCTTGTTAGTTTTTTAAGTTTTAGTGGCTTATCTTTTTTTGTGTTTCATTCTTATATATTTATTTCTCCAGATTAACTTAGAATTGTTTCATCAAGTCCTTGGCAAAGAATTGGAGCGACATGTTAATTGGAAGGAAGCCTGTCTCATCTTCCGGTGCGTCCACGCGGAACGGCTCCTCCCTCCTGGCTTACCTTCCTGTACAGCTGACTAGAGAGTGCTGGGGACTGTGCCCCACGCCTTCGCATGTGGAAGACTAAATCCCCCGCGTGATGGCATCTGGAGGTCGGGCCTCTGGGGAGGTGATCGGGTCATGAAGGTGGAGCTCTCTGAGAGGGATCAATGCCCTTACAAGAGGAGGCCGGAGAGCCCTGGCTTCCTCTCCCTGCTCTCCACCATGGGAGGTTACAGAAGAAAACCACTGTCTGTAAACCAGGAAGCTGGTCCTCACCAGTCACGGGAGGATCTCAGACTCCCAGGCTCCAGAATTGCGAGAAATAAATGCTACTTAGTCTAGGGTATTCTGGCATAGCAACCCAAGCTAAGACACAGAGTTGCAGTTCTCCTTACGAAGTCCAGACATTTTCAGATTAAACCTTTCTTAAGAAGCGTGTTCTTATGGCAAGATTGAATTGGATTTTTGTTTTCCTTTCTCTCTCTTTTCTTTTTTTCAAGCTATTTCTGGTCTATAGTAAAAATACTGATAAACAGATATAGCTATAGATCTTACATAGCAGCTATAGATCTTATATATAAACAGCTAAATATAGCCATATTTACTAAGTTGTCAGGATTTTAAAAATATACTTTTACTTGAGTCTCAAATAAATACATTGTCTAGAAATGAGAATATTTTGTGCTTCTTTCTTCCTATTTCCTGTCTCAAGGGTTTGGCCCCCATGAGGGAGGGCCGCCATCTTGGTTTGTCCTCCAGGGGCCCCTGTGATGCGCCCGGAAGTGCAAAGTTTGGTGGTGTTGAGGAAATTATTATTTATGGCCAATACAGTGGATCCAATTTACTTTCCATATGGACTGGAAATGTCAAATAACCCTAGACTCTCCGAGCTGTGGTTTCATGACCCATAAACTGAGAGAGTTGAGTTAAAAGAAATGCTCAAATTTTTCTTGACCCAGGAGCCAGGTTTAAACACCCCAGGGAATGTCAAGCCTCTAATCTAAATCTCCAAGAACCCTGTCACTCCGTCATTCCAAGTTGTCCCTGACAACCTTTCCTTCAAATTGTTGTTTTCACAAGAAAATGAACCCTTTCCAGATCGCGCAAACACATCCCCCGGGACCAGCTCTGCTGTTGCCGCTCCCGAGGGAGGCCGCCTTGCGCAGCTGTTGGTTGGGAAAGACTTTTCCGAGCAGCTGGACCCCGGGGCTGTATGTGGGGCAGGGCTGCGGGTCTGCAATGAGTCGTGACCACGGGGTCGCACAGATGTGGTGGATTGTTTGAGAGCCGGCGCTCAGCTGCTCCGGGTGCTCAGATGGCCTGTGCATGCTCCTCGCGGTTTCTCCAGCCTTGGTCCCCTCCTCCCTACCCCCGCAGGCTGCAGCCTCCAGGGGGCAAAGCAGGAGAGGACATGGCGCAATGCAGCCCTAGAGGGGCCGAGGCTCGGCTGAAGCTGCAGAGGGGCATCCGGATGACTCTGACACCCACTGCAGTGCAGTGTGTGCACACGCATGAACACACGTGCACACACACACAGAGGACAGGATGGAGGAGACACACTTTTCTGACTCTACCCCAGACTCTGTACAGTCCACTCCTTCCCACACTCTGGTCAGAGGACCTGCCCCCCATTTGGCCACCCTCTAGGCCAAGACAGGCACAGGCACTCATGGCGACACCGTCACCTCATCTATAGGTGGGCACTGACCACACACACGTGTCCTAGGGCCTCACCCTTGGGAACTGACACTCCAAGCCTGACTTTCCTGTTCCAAAATCTGGTCCTCCCTCATCTCTGCCCCCAGTGCCTTGCCAGGCCGTCCTTCCACTAGTTAAGCCAAATATCTCGATTCCTCTCTCTCGCAGCCTCATCCCCCGGCTCTGCCCTCAGGATTTGTCCAGAATCCCACCTTCTCGCCGCACTTCCTAAAAAGTCTCCAGCCTTAGTCCACTTTGGCCAGCAGCCAAAGAGACCCTGTGGAAAGGGGGTCAGATAACGTGGGTCCCTGCTCAAACCCTCGAGCCCGGCCTGCCACATAAGCATGACTTCCTGAGACATAACACTAGAGGTGATGGAGGCAGCACGAAAGGACAGCACCACAGAGAAAGAGGTGAGGAAGGAACCCGGGAGGGCTGCCTGGAAGTGGTAGCATTGAAGCTGGGCGTGGTGAATGGGCTGCATTTCAACAGTCAGTTGTTGAGGAAGGAGCATTTCTAGCTCCCCCATGACCTTTCTTCTGGGGGCTTCTCCTCCCTCACCCCCTGATATGGTTTGGATCTGTGTCCCCACCCAAATCTCATGTCAATTGGTAATCTCCAATGTTGGAGGCGGGGCCTGGTGGGAGGTGATTGGATTATGAGGTGATTCTCTGGTTTAACACCATCCCCCTTGGTGCTGTCATGGAGAGAATGAGTTATCAAGAGATCTGGTTGTTGAAAAGTGTGTGGCACCTCCCTACTTTCTCTCTCTTCCTCCTGCTGCAGCCACATGAGACTTGCCTGCTTCCCCTTCACCTTCCACCACGATTGTAAGTTTCCTGAGGCCTCCCCAGCCATGCTTCCTGTACAGCCTGCAGAACCATGAGCCAATTAAACCTCTTTTCTTTGTAAATTACCCAGTCTCAGACATGTCTTGATAGCAGTGCAAGAACTGACTAGCGCATCCCACCCCAAACCCTCACTTTGGTGTCCCCTGATCCTGCTGGAGGTGGACAAAGCCCAGCTCTGTGCCTGCTGCACTTCTGCGGTGGAGCTCATCTGTGTTTTCATTCTGGTGTAAAAGCTCGTAGAAGCTTCACACTACCCCATGTGGTTTCATTTACTTGTTGGCACTGAGCAGGGCAGATGTGTGCGTAGGGATTCCTGCGGATCCATGCTGCCCTGGAGCACCGAGAGAGGGGTCCTACCTGGGAAGCACTGGGCTCCTGGGAAGGGAGCAGGGGAGATGTGTATAGAGATTCCTGAGAATCTGCGCCACCCTGGAGCACTGAGAGAGGGGTCCTCCCTTGGAACCACCAGTGTCCTGGGAAGCAGGCAGGGGAGCCTCTAGAAGCCAAGATAACTGATAGATGAGGGGAGGGCACAGGAGCCGCTCTGGGGCCTGGGATCGCCACCCTGTTGGGGAGGTCAGTCTGTAGCCCCCGGACCCTCCAGCTTATCTGCACAGATTCAGCTCTGCCTGGGGGAGGTTGAATGGCACAGCACAGCACCATGGTGGGTCTTTCTGTACTTGGGGAGACAGGACCTGCTGGGATTCTTCTTCCTGGAGGCCCCGAGGCTGGCCCCTGGCCCAGTCTCTCCAAACCCTTCTGTCTGTCCTTTCAGAAAGATGGAGATGCTGGTTTTTGGCACACTGCCCTGGGCATGCGTCTTTGGGCCTTTTAGAAGCTGGACGGTCCCCCAAGGGGGAGACTGGCTCAGTGCCTACGGGGTGGGCCCAGCCACCTTATAAATGCTCTTCCGTGGCAATGAGAAGCCCCTAAGGAGCGCTGCCGGGGCTGGGGGTTGGGCTGGTGACAGCGTGGCCCCCGTCTGGCAGCAGGCTGGAAACAGGCCAGGGCTGCCCAACCTTCCCAGTGCAGGCCTAGGAAAATCGCGAGCCTCTACAGGGCTCCTGCCTCCCTCCCAGGCCCATCCACCCCCTGCTCCTTCCCTGAAGGTGGGCCCCAGCCAGCCAGCTGGCCAGGAGCTCCAGCAGAGAACTATGTGTGTGGGGCTCCAGGGCCAGGGCCCTGCCTGTCCTCAGGGGCAGCTGCCTCAGGGTTCACTCTGCAGAAGGGACCCTCTGAGTTCATATTCTGCCATCATCATCCAGCACCAGCTGCAACCAGCAGCTGCTAATGCACAGGGGACACCTCCAGGGAGCAGAAGAGCTACAGACCCAGCCCCTGTGGCTTGGCCCAAGTGCATCAGTCCCTGGGCTCATCTGGACATGGGGCGTCTGCAGTTTCTCCCACTTCGAGGCTCCTTTCTTCCCTTTCCCGCCCCAGGTCAGGGATCCAGGCACGTGGGCTGTGGAGTGGGCTGGGAGGTGCTGGGTCTGTGCCGGCCGAGTGGGGAAGGCTAGGGGCTGTGCCAGCCAGCATCTGTCACCCTAAGGGTTGTCCCAAAGACACCCCAGGTGCTGGGATAACCGCATCATGCTCCACAGGCCCTGCCTCACCCTCTGCAGGGCCTGACCAGGCTTGGAAGAGAGAAAGTGGACCCATCTCCCTCAACTGCACACTTGTGACGATGATGCCTCCTCCTGTCCCGGCAAGCTCCAAGCTGAGCTTTTCCGTGCATTTCCCAGTTCATCTTCAACACCAGCCCTGAGGGAGGTACCATTATCCCCAGGTGAGTATGGGGGGCAGAGGGGCTGAGGCCCGCCCACAGTGAGTCACCAGCAAGGGCAGAGCCGGGTTCTAACTAGAGCCTGTCAGATGGCAAAGCCCAGGTGTAACAGTTTTCCATGCTGTGTGACAAAGAGCCACAGCCCCATGGCTTAAAGCAGCACACACCAGCTTAGGCTCTGTGGCCACGAGGCTGGGCAGGCCCAGCTGAGTCCTCTGCCCAGGGTCTCACTGGGCTTCCTCACGGGTGTCGGGACATGGCCTCTTCAGACTGCTCAGCTGGGAGAGACTCCTGGGCGTCCGAGTCCCTTCGGGTGGGTGGCGGGGGGACAGGTGGGACCCAGGCCTGGGCTTCGCTGGCTCTCTCCCAGAGCCCTCAGGTCCCAGAGGCAAGCCCAGGCTCCCTACCCCATGGGATCTCCCATGTGGCTGCTTCCTTCCTAGGGTCTCTCCCTCCAGTCTTCTTGGACAGAGTCCTGTGTGCCATCTCCCGTCTCCTTTGCACGTTCTGCAGTGGAAGCAAGTCCTGTGGCCGTGCTGCTCCACACACTGTGTCCTCCCAGCACAGGCCTCTGCCTGCCTCAGGCTACATTCCCAACCTGTTTCCCCACCAGGCACCTTTGCTGAGCCCAACAGTTACGTCTGCAGAAGGAACCGTCCGACAACGAGGCCACCCCATGCTACAGCCTGCACCGTGCACCTCACTGGCCGCACGCCCTGCCTCCGTCTGTGTCTTCTCAAAGCCCCACCTGCCTGCAACCCCCGCCCTCTGTCTGCCTGGGCATGCTGGAGGGCCCTCCCTGTAACAGGCTCCCCGGCCCTGCACCCTGGCTCAGCTGACCTGGCTGAGATGGTCTCAATGCTCACAGGGGAGATAGGGAGACCTCATGCTGCTTCTCCAGGCTCCCCTGACCTCTGAGTGGGGCGGATCCGTTTCTGTCACACTGAATGCATTTACTGTTTCCCATTTGGACTGAGCCAGCGGAGCACTGAGACCACGCCACACAGGGCCAGCCTGGGAGGAGAAGGGGCTCTTGTTTCTGCCGGGTCCTCAGCAGCTGCACAGTCTCCTCCTCCTGGGGCCTCCCTCCCTCCCAGGCTGCGAGCCAGTGGTTGAAGATTTTCTCTGGAGGCATTTTCAGATCTGGCCTAGCACGGCCCCAGGTATCCCGTCCTACCTGCCAGGTGGGCAGGGACCTTCCTGAGACACAGTACAAGGGAGTAGGCCTTGCCCCAGGGAGTTCTGGCTGGGGGCTCCTGTGGGACAGCTCTGGGGACCCCAACACCTGCCCTGGGGACCTCCCCTTCCCACCTCCTGAGACACTGCTGGGTCCCTCTGTCAATCACATTTCTAGCTCTCCCGCCTCTACCAGGCAGGCCAATCAGATGGTGCCACCTCCTCACCCGCCCCACCTTACAGTCATCCCTGCAAGGGTGGGATTGACAAGGGGGAAATCGGCCCAGCTTGGGGTGGAGGAGACGTTGATGAGGATCCTGGGAGACAAGGCCACCTCTTCCCAGCCATGGAGACTCCTGGGATGGACCCTCCCTCCCTTGACCCCCATAAAGGAGAGTCTTTGGGAAGGGAGAAGGAGGGCTGAAGAGGGAGGAGGGTTCCCACAAGAGTACAGCCCAAGCACTGCCGCGGCAGTGGAAGGCCCCAGCCCAGCCACACGGAGTCTCGAGGCTGAGGACAGAGAAGGCACCTGGGTGCAAGGAGGCCCTTGGGTGTAGTTTGCAGTAGGACCAGTGGGCACAAGCGCCCAGGATGAGAGCCACAGGCTGACGGAGCCCCATGTGAAGGGGTAGAGGTCAGGGCAGAGGGGGACCCTAGGGAAGGCTCAGGACCCGTGCCTGGAGAGGAAGACCCCACGGCACCCACTTTCTGGTTCCTGAAGCCTTCCTGGCCACCACACTGTCCCGTTCCTGACCTGCCCAGGGTGGGCACCAGGGCTGGGGCTGGCCACAGGGACCCCTAGGGTCAGACAGCAAGTCCCAGCTGGTGCCACTCTGGCCCCCACCAACTGCGTGGACAGCCCTCACCCCCGCTCAGCCTCCCTGAGAAGAAAGGGTGGGCACAAACCCTCCGCCCCCACCCATAAAGGGCATGAGGAGAGGGCCCGGTACCCCTGAGCCCAAGCAGCCGGCGGAGAAGGGGCTGCAGAGGCCTGGCTGCCAGTCCCTGGAGATGACCCAAGGTGCGTATGACCAGCAGGGCTGTGACCCCTAGCCCAGCCTGGGCTGACCACACGCCTGCAGGAGGCCACGCCTCTGGGTAGTGATGAGAAACCGCAGCCTCAGAGTAGGTGGGTGTGGCCTGAGAGCATGACTCACGCTGGGCTGCCCGGGGTCAGTCACGGGCTGGGTGAGACCTTTGTGTGCTGAGCCTGGGGCTCCCCACACTCGAGTGGTCCCCCGTGGCCTCACAGAGCAGCCTCAGAGGCCAGCCTGCCACCCCCTCATCCCACACAGAAGGAGGCTGAGTCCTCAGCGGGGGAGGGGCTGGTCATCCCATGGCCACGGATCCCGGAATAGCCGACCTCCAGCCCCCGCGCACGGGTACATTCTGTACGCCCAGGGTGGCTGGCGTGGGTGGCGGCTGGCCCTGAAGGCCGGGGGCTGTGTTCCTGTGGCCGACTCACTGCCCTTTGCCCTTGGTGAGCAAGTCTTCCCTGGGCCTGGCTGCTTCTCTGTAAGACGGAGGCCCAGCAGGGTGGGAGGGGACATCATGACCCCGCAGCACTGAGAGTACTTTGTAAGCTGGGAAGTACCGTGGCTCCGCCAGGGCCATGGTGACATCAGCCATTCACTACTGGCTGGGACTGGCAGATGTCCAGGGACCAGGCGAGGAGGGAGAAGGAGTCTCCCTGCACCTTCCCGCCCCAGCTCTCCCTCCCTCCCGCTCCCACTGCCTCCCCATCTGGGAGCAAGCCCTGGTTTAGAGATTGGGGTTTGTGCTGGGCAGACAGAATCAGCAGTGGCTCTCTCCCCCGCTCCTCCCCCAGGGGTGCTGGGCTGGCCCTTGGGGTTGAGGGTGACCCAGAACTTGCCATTGGCTGCCGGGTGACAGCCCCATCCATCTAGCTCACCCTGGAGCTGGGTTTGGGCACTGTAACATGTTGCAGGAGACCTGTCGGAGTTCAGTGCCATCCACTCCATTAGTCATAATTATTTTAATTAAGAAGATAAGAAACACAACTCATCAAAGGTTTAATTATAATTAGCAGCTAACGACACTCGGATGAATCACTGGCCCGAGCAGGTGCTCATTCACACTTCCCAGTTCACTGGATGCGCCGTGGGAGCCGCTGAGACGTGGGCACAGAAGGCACATCTCCCTGGGACCCGAGAAGGCAACAGAGCCCCCGCATCCCCCCAGCACGATGCAGAAGGGCTGGGCCCATAGCAGCTACCTGTGTGGTCACTCAGCCCTGAGCTCAGAAGTGCCGGGGCTCAGAGGACACCCTGCTGTTGCCACCGGGCACCCTTCACCATCTCTGAACAAGGCCTGGGATTTCTCTGTGACCTAGGCCCCCACAGGGTACAGTGGTCCTGACCCTACATCCATGTACAGGGAATGCTGACCGCGGCAGCTCCGTGTTCACAGCCCTGGACACACAGAAATGACTGTGATGTGGCCCTGACCTCAGTAGTGTAGAAGGAACCCACTGAAGGAGACCGAGGTGGGGAACCTACAGGGCCTAATGGAAACCCCAGCTGGGTGGGTGGCGGCCATGCAGCTGGGAGTGAGTGTGAGGGTGCCTGGGGATGGAGACGGTGCCGGGGATGGAGACAGACACGGTCTCCATGAGAAAGCTGGGCTTAATCCTGACAGAGGGAGGCGGCCTGGAGGCCATACAGGGAAGAGGGGCTCAGGAGGTTTGGAAACAGGATTTCAGGACTGCCTGCGCTGCAGGTGGGTGCTGGCCACTGGTCTAGCCTGATCTGGCACCCTGGTGGTGCATGCCATTGGAGGGGCTCCCTGTATCTGTACTGTGGGGCCTTCCTGTCACAGGGTGGGCTCACAGGTCCTGCCCATCCCTGCATGGGATGTGGGTGAGCTTTGCTCTGAGGAGGCCGACGTGAGCCTCCTGATCAGCCGGACACAAAGTGGGCAGAGGGGCACCGAGCCCCCGGAGGCTCTGGGAGTGGGAAACCACCGATCTGTATGAGCTCAGGTGCCTCCTGGGACAGCCTGGAGGACAGTGGCTGTGAGGGGCTGTCACTGCAGCTCATGGTAGGCAGCCCACCTTCCCATTCAGAAAGGCTTTCCAGAAGGGGACGGCTGTGGATGAACAGGCAGCGTCCTCCTGTCCTGTTTCCATGCCTCTGACCACCCTCTACCTCTTCCCCTCGTCCCCTAAGCAGGCGTCCCTGTGAAGCGGCTACACAACCAGAGCGGGGCTCTAGGGGAGGGTCCTGGCACCTCTTCCAGCACCCAGTGGCTCCCGGTTTCCCTGGTTTGTGGCCTCTCTGCTCCCGTCTCTGCCTCTGTCTTCATGCGGCCTCCCTACTGTGTCTGTCTCTGTCTCATTCTCCTTTCTTTTATGAAAACACAGCCATTGGATTTAGGGTCCACCTTAAATCTAGATGATCACGCCTCCAGATCCTTAACTTAATTACATCTGCAGAAACCAAATAAGGTCACATTGTTAGGTACCAGAGATTAGGGTGTGGCTGTGCCATTTGCGGGGGATCACTCCATAACCCACCATGCAGCCCTAAGCTGTGTGACCGGCAGCAAGTCCCTGTCCTTCTTGGGGCCTCTGATCCCTCGCATGTGAGCATGAGCCCCCCTCAGAGGGACACATAAGGGATCAAGTGAGTCCCACGTTCAGTGTGGTGCCTGTCATGTTGTCTAGGGGTCTCTGGGTTCTGCGAACCAGGAGGCAGAATTAGGAGCAAGAATTAGGACCAGATGGATGGGAGCTGACACTGTCCCAGTGTGACCAGGGAAACAGATCTCTCCAGGACCTCGACAGCATGCCCTGGGCAGAGGCCGGTTGTCATCACCCCGTAGGGCTCAGGCCTTCCCTGGCTTCCCAGAGGGAGGCAGGATGAGATCAGTTCCAAGGGTCCTTCCAGATCTCGCAGAAAGTGCCCTCGCTTTATTGCACCTCCATTCAAGCTGAAAGAGATGGCCAACCAAATTAGCCCAGGATTGAACAGAAATTGATTTTAATTTAAAGCCCTTTGAGTGCTTTCTCCTCTCAGATGAAAGAAGAGTAGGCTGAGATGTGTCTCCTGTTGCCCCATAACTGTATCTGAGCCAACTTTCAGCCCCACACTGTCTGCTCCAGATGAGGCAGCTTTTCTCATTGTCTCTGGGTGGTGACTGAGCTTTACCTCCAAACTGCAAAGGAATCTCATTCTTTTATTCCAGTCTGGTGCCATCGCACACACTCTGACACATATTCCCCTGCACTAAGAGATGAAGGTTGAACTGAGCCTTCCAGAACAGTGCAACGCAAGGGGCTGAAACAGGGGCCTGGGTCCACCATTCCCTAATCCAGGAGGAGCGACATCTGAGAGTCCCCAGCTCAGACACTTCCCTCCAGGGGAGCGGCCATCCCTGTGTGTGATGGACGGCGCAATCCCAAATGCACTGGCTGGGAGATTCTGGAGTCGGGAGCTCAGTGGCACCACCTTCGGAAGTTCAAGTTGAACACCTAGGAGACTTAGAGTTGGCACCGTGTTGGTGCCATGTGCTTAGCGTATGGCGCTGTGTGCTTAGGAGAGAGCCTGGGTCATGAGGATCCCCATGCCCCAGGGGCCCCTCTTTGGCCCTTAGCCCCAAATCCCATTAACCAGGCAGGTGAGGCCAGGGACATGTCTGTCCCTTCTGAGGCCCAAGCCCACTTGGTGTTCCTCATGGTGCGGCATGCAGGCAGATTGACCAAGATGGCTATTGAGGCTGGAGTCCCAAGCCCCTCACCCACGCAGGCTGGCCAAGAACCTGGAAGGAACCTCAGGCCCCACAAAACGTGAAACCATGGCTGCCCATCCTTCTTCCCCTAGTCCTTGAAATCCATCCCCTCCATCCATCCAGCCTGTGAATTTACCCCCAGGCCAAGGAGCATAGCTGCAGAGCAAGGGTCCCTCCTGCAGGGTCAGGCTCTGGAAGGTGACCAGAAACCCCAGAAACCCCACCCCTGCCTCCCCTCCCTAGCCATGACCGTAACTCCCACTGCACTGAGAAAATCAAGGGCCAGAAGCCCCTGCACCACCTCCCCCACTGCAGTAAAAGAGGGGTTCGCCCTTGCCCCCATCGCCCACCAGCACCCCCTTCACCCTGGTCACAGCCTTGCACCATGGGGCACCGCCTGCATCTCACCCCAGCCCTGCCCAGTTCCTCTGCCCTTGGCATTTTAGCTGCTCCAAGTGCCTCCTTTCTCAGAACCGTCCCCAGACCCTGCATCCCGCTAGCGATCTTCACCCTCTCCCGCTCCTGGTGGTCAAATCTTTAAAAGACCGCCTGTGTTTGCCATGCCTTCCTTCTGCCCTCTCAGTGACCAGGTCTCCAGGAGGGTCTTTCCTGAGCAGGTGCACGACACGCCTCTGAGGCCCCCCTGCAGCTCATGCTGCCTTTATCCTTGTGTCAGAAGCTCTTTTCTCTGCTCCCAGACTGATTTTGGAAGGCTGACTTTTAGAAATGATGATGCTATTTGATCCAAGGGTTTCAACAGATCATCTTAAGCCTGGAGCCTAGAATAATAAAACTCTAGACTTGAGGGACCTGCAGAAATCATGTGGCCCCAAATGCTGATGACACTGTGCAAAGTGTCATGAGGGCATGAAGGTGGTTTTCATTATGAAAGCTCAAACCGGTGCCCAGAAAGGGGAAGCAACTTACCCAAAGACGCACATTGGCTTAGCTGAGCTGGGACTGGGCACCACAGTCCTGATCCCTGGCTCCACCCTGTCCTGAGATCGCTCTTGTGTCACCAAATTTCTGCCTCTTTCCGCGACAGCGCTCCACTTTCTCGTCCTTACAGCTTCCGTAGAAGCAAGACGAGCAGTTTTCGTTGCTGAATTTTGAACATAATAAAAAGAAAAGTGCTTTCAAGGACATTGAGTCTCTTCAGTTGGTGACTCCCGCAGCCTGTGATGAAAGCGCCTTGCTTTCTGCCCAGGGAGGTGCCTGTGCATACCTGGAATTGTACACATTCCTTTGGATCATGTGTCTGAGCAAGTTTCCTCCTGAGATCAAAGCTGGCGAGGTGGACAGGCCCCTTTGAAGCTTTACGGGGGTTTTCAGAGAGGCAGGTCCTGGCAGCCACAGAGTTTTTGCTCCCAAGGAAGAAAGAGGTTGGAAAGTGGAGCCCCAACACCCCTGTGGAGGGCTGTTACCTGTAGAAATAGTTTTTCTCCATGGGAGCGCTTGCTGGCCATGCCTGGCATGGCTGCACTCAGGGGGCACGTGTGATTTCTGCCTGTCTACCATTCATTCCCTTTCTTAGGGAAAGGCTCTCTGTGTTTGCTCTGAAAATGACCCTCTCCCCAGTCCAGCAGCCCTGGCCACAGACACATGACCCAGTCGGGCCAATCAGCACCGCCCAGCTCGGGAGACAGGGACTGGATGGGCACATGACCCAGGCGGGCCACTCTGATTCCTGAGAGTCTTGGAAGGTTATTGAAAATAGAGAGTTGCTCTATGCCTGGAGCTTCTTATGGCCATCATGTCTACCTGGAGAGACAGCGTGCCCAAGAATGAAGCTACCCAAGGGGAAGCAGAGCAGAGATAGACAGGCAGATGGAGACAGCCTCTTTGGAGACCCTCCATGAGCTGCTCCACCCTCGGAGCAACAGTGAGCAGTGGGATCCTCCATGTGCTGCTCCACCATCAGGGGCGACAGTGAGCAGCAGGATCTTCCACGTCCTGCTCCACCATTGCTGGTCACCGTTGCTCCAAGTCTAGCCCCTGTGGCAAATCCATGGCTCGGTGGTCAGGATTCATGCCTGTGCAAGTGACTAACATCTGTTTCAAAACTTACAATGTGACAGTTGACTAGTTTATGGAATCAGAAAATGTAAGGGGTAGATGGGTTTCAGGCACAGCTGGATCCAGGAGGTGAGTCTGTCATCAGATTGCTGTCTCACTGGCTCCCGATGGTGGAGCAGCACATGGGAGGTCCCACTGCTCACTGGTCCCCGATGGGGAGCAGCTCATGGAAGGTCTTGCTGCTCTGGGTGGCCAGGAGCCCCCTGTGCCAGGAGCCTGGTGCTCAGGAGAGCTGCACCAGGCCCCACAATGTCCATGGGTGATGTCCTGGTGCTGCAGGCAGCAGGTCAGGGCTTAGTGACCATACAAGTTCGGGGTGCCCAGAGGAAGGAAAACCCAGCTGCCAAAATGGGATTCCCCCACGAGAGCCTCCAGCCCAACTGCCGCCCCTCAGTGACCTCATGAATCGATGCAGCTGCAGGTCAGGGTGCGGATTTCCTGAGTGCTGCATGTGCGCAAAGACCACTCGGCCCGCATTGGACGGAGCGGTGTGGCCCCCTAAGATGCTGACCAGCCCCGGCCAATCATCTCCAGCCACAGCCACCCAGGGCAAGTATTTGTAGGCCCAGCTACTTCCTGTCACTCACGTGTGAGCACACACAGGATAGAGGGTGACGCGGGTGGTGCCGTCCACCCAGCTTCCCCGCAGGCTTCGTTCCCAGCTCACCCACCTCCACACGCGTGCACACACACGCACACACATAAACACACGCGTGTGCGCACACACACAACCACAAATATCGTGAGACCACGCAGCCCTGGGTTTGAGAACCAAAAAGCCAAGAAATGGTGCGTGGGCTCAGCAGAAATGACTGTCCTGGGGGCTGGAACGGACGATGTGGCGACATCATCAGCCGACCGTAAACACCAGGCTCACACTGGCCTATTTTAAAAACAAACGCAAGACAAACTCATCCCTTCCTTCCCGCTTTCCACCTCCCCTGTGAAATCTATTTTAAAAGATCAGAATTTTCTTTACATCCACCTCCGAAATGTGCTGCGGGAGATAAGTGGGGCATAAACACATGGGGGTGCCGGGGGCGGCGGAGAGCCAGGAGCGGGAAGGAGCCGAGGGATTCGCAGCCCGAAGTGGAGGCTGATTCCCCAAACCCTCAGCTTCACAGCAGCCTTGGCCCCTGCCAGGTGAACGTGAAGGAGCAGCCTTCCGGATTCCAGAGCTCCAGGCTCTCAGGGACCCTGAGGCCCTGACCGTCTCCTCACAGGCCTCCTCCAGGGGCTTGAGTCAGGAACCTGGAGCAGGGCTTGGGAGGTGGCCGGTCCCTGTGCCAACGGGTGGAGACCAGCGTGTGTGACACCACCATGCACTAGGCCCCAGCTGGCCTCCCCGACACTCTACAGAGCTCACCTGTTGGGTGACAGAGCACTGTGTCTGCTTTCCATATGGACAGGGAGCGCCCGATCCTACCAGGGACCCTCACTGTTGGGAACCCAAACCCCAGCTCAGCTGCAGTCCCACTCACCCCCACTGGGCAGCCCTCATGCCCTGGGTCAGGAAGATGCCCGCTCTGCCCAACTCACAGCGCCCTATACCATAAAGGAGGCACCAGGGTCCACACCGGCCTGGGGAGAGACAGCCCACAGCAGCTCCAGCTCAGAGACGGAGACGGCAGAGTGGTACCCTGCAGAGCAAGCCGCTCTATCTCCTTGTCCCTCCACTTGAGAGGTTCATCGGGGTCCCCTATCTGGTCCAGAGAGGGTGGCCCCTGTGCAGTGCAGTGCCCCATCTCATCCAGTGGAAGCTGGAACGGAACTTGGGGGCTGGACAGTGTGGCCGGTACCCTCCCTCACCCTGGCTAGCTAGACTGGGGGTCCGCCTAGGCCATGGAAACAGCTCCAGCCAAGTTCCACTTGGAGCTCGCAGGTCAAAGGGCTGACACCCTCACCCAAGGGCGCCCTAAGAGCCCCTGGGAGCCCCTGCTGCTCTTCCCCGAGGGAGCCCACCCATCCTCACAGACCTGCTCCCCTAGGCTGATCGCCGGCTGACTGTGTGTCCCTGAGAGCTCTGGGAGGCGGCTGAGTGTGTGTGGGTTCACTCTCCTGCCCGAGCCCTGCAGCACAGACCACCCTGCCCTGGGTCTGGTTCAGGGTCCTAGGGCTCTTCAGCCCAGCACTCCCAGGGAGCCCCACCTTTGAGGCCCCATGGAGCTGGATGTGGAGTACAGGGGTCCCCACCGCCCTCACAGCCTGAGGCCCTGAGGGAGAATGGAAGGGGCAGGCCTAGTGAGCCCTTCCCCAGCCAGGCTTTTGTTTCCCCCACGAGCAAGAGGAGGCGGGGAGCGGGCAAACTCCACTCATGCTCTTGACCGCTCGGCCAGGCATCGTTCTTCTCAAGGCCAAGGGCAGACAGCAGCCTGGCCCAGGCCCATGCCAGGGCCCTTCTGGGAAAGGGAGACACAGTCTATTTTTGCTCTCTGACAACACAACAGAAACAGCCGCTGTGACTTATCTCCACTGCTGAAGGACTGAGGCAGCCACACAGCTGGCTCTGCGCCCTGGGGCTGCGCAGCCCCCTACCTCAGCCCCAGCTTGAGATAAGAGTGGCGTCAGGGAGGGGCTTCAACCAGGCCAAGAATACCCCCCACCTCTCACCTCTCTGTGGTCTGCACGCCTGAGTCTGCCCCTCCCACAATTCCTCCAGGACCCCTCTAGGACTTCCTGGCCTGAGCTGGACATCCCATGGGAAGTTTTTCGCAGCCCAGCTAGGATCTCACTTCTTTGTGCAACGTCACCTACTCCGAGGCCCAGAGCCCTTGGAGGCACCCTCCCATGTCAGAGGCCAGGAGCCTGGATTTCCGGAAACCCCAGGCTGTTGCCCCTCCTGCTGGAGGAGCTGCACGTCTTTCCTCTGAGGCCTGAGTGGAAGTGAATTTGCCAGATAATTTTAGCACAGAAATGAGCACTCAGAGGAGGGGCAGAGCTTAGAAAGGTCAACAAGGACGAAGAGAATGCCCATGAGGGGTGCTGTGGCCTGCAGGGCCAGCCCTGGCCTCCTGTGACCAGCAGTGACCCAGGCAGCCATCCCCACACTGCTCACCGCACACTAGGCTTGTTGGAAACCTCGGAGCCCCAGCAGAAGGCAGGTGGCCTGCCACACCGCTACGACATTGTCCCCTTTCTCACATGGCAGCCTGGAGTAGGTGCACCTTGCCAGGCTGGGCGTAGCTGGGAAGGCCACATGGCCACCTGGGATGACCCTGGGTGACGTCCCAGAGAGGTGATCTGCAGGCCTCAGCTGTCAATTCCCTGCCTGGAGGGTCATCAGGCTGGTTCCTGATTCCAAGGACTGAGCCCACATGATACAGCTGAGCTCTCCCCACCAAGGCCCATGCTGGGGGTCACAGAGCCCTCTGGAGGAGTAACTGTGACCATGTCTGGGCACTGTGGAGCCAGCTGCCTGGAGATGAATTCCTGCAAAGAGTTTGCCTGCAAGGGCTCCCTCTGCTCATCACAGTGAAGCCTGACCTGGGATTGTCTCTGGGCACCTCCTCCTTTTGTCTTCTTTTGATCAAAGTGTGGCCAGTGGTGGCCTGCAGCTTCCGCCTAATAAATCAGGGTGCTGGGCACAATAGGCTCTTCACGTCAGGTGTCGTTCAAGACCCCATTAAACAGGAAGATGGCCCAGGGTCTGTGTGGTATTTTTCACCGCTGTGAACGTGAATGTGGAGAGGCAGAGTGAAGGGTCCTTTTGAACTTTGTGGAAGAGGCAGCTCCCTCTCTGTTCTCCAAAGCTTCCTTGGGGTGAGTTACATAAACGGCAGCAAATCCAGACCCTGGATTGGGCACTGAGCACCTGCTAACATGATTCCGTGGAGTATGTCTATGGTGCTGTGACCCGCATGAAAATCCCAGTAGGCCTTGTGTGACTGGATCAAGTTACAAGACTGTGGACATACAGGTGACCTCGTTATTACCACTTGTTTGGAAGGAAATTTTACATAGGACAGAATGCACACATGCTCAAAGGCACAATCTGATGAGTCTTGGTAACTTTATATCCCCAGGGCCAGCAGCACAATCAAGACAGAGCATTTCCAGGGCTCCATAAAGTTCTCTCCTGCCCAATTCCAGTCAAATTCCAGTCAATCTCCACCCCTACACCCAAAACTTTTCCTAATTTCTGTCAGCATCTATGAGTTTTGCCTTTTCTTGGACTTCATATAAATAGAATTACATAGAGAGGATTGTTTTCTGTTTGGCTGCTTTTGAGGTAGGAGTTGGGACTTGACTCTGGAAGTGGCACTTGAGCTGTGTACCAGATTGAAGACTGGATGAAACAGGGAAGAGGCAAAAGCACCTTTCTATAAGACAGGCCCACCAGTGCCATGTCACTTTACCATTGTCATGGCAACAACCAGAAGTCATCACCTCTTTCCATGGTGATGACCTGACAACCTGGAAGTCACCAGCCTTTTTCTAGAAATTTCCGCATAATCCACCGTTAATTTGCATGTAAATAAAAGTGAGTATAAATATGATGGCAGAACTGCCCCTGAGCTACTACTCTGGGCACACTGCCTGTTGGGCTAGCCCTGCTTTGAAAGGAGCAGCACATCTGCTACTGCCTTGCACCGCCGCTTCAGTAACATTTGCTGTCTAACACCACTGGCTCACCCTTGAATTCTTTCCTGGGCAAAGCCAAGAACACTCTCAGGCTAAGCCCCAATTTTGTAGCTCACCTGCTGATATGGTTTGGCTTTGTGTCCCCACTCAAGTCTCAGTTCTAATTGTAATCCCCATGTCTTCAGGGAGGGACCTGATGGGAAGTAACTGGATCGTGGGGGGCAGACTTCCCCTTGCTGTTCTCATGATAGTGAGTGAGTACTTGTGAGATCTGATGGTTTAGAAGTGTGTGGTGCTTCCCCCTTCATTCTCTCTCTCTTCTGCCATGATTTAAGACATCCCTTGCTTCCTCTTCACCTTCTGCCATGATTGTAAGTTTCCTGAGGCCTCCCCAGCCATGCAGAACTGTGAGTCAATTAAAACTCTTTCCTTCATAAATACCCAGGCTCAGGTAATTCTTTATAGCCAGGTGAGAATGAATTAATACAGAAAATTTATACCAGGAAGGTGGGGCACTGCTATAAAGATACCTGAAAATGTGGCAGTAATGTTGGAACTGGGTAATGGGCAGAGGTTGAAACAGTTTGGGGGGCTCAGAAGAAGATACGAAGATTAGGGCAAGTTCAAAACTTCCTACAGACTTGTTGAATGTTTTTAACCCAAATACTGATAGTGATACAGACAATGAAGTCCAGGCAGAGGTGGTCTCAGATGGAGATGAGGAACTTATTGGGAACTGGAGTAAAGGTCACTCTTGCTATGCTTTAGCAAAGAGACTGGTGGCATCTTGCCCCTGCCCTAGAGATCTTTGGAACTATAAACTTGAAAGAGAGGATTTAGGGCAACTGGAGGAAGAAATTTCTAAGCAGCAAAGCATTCAAAAGGTAACCTGGCTGTTTCTAGAAGTGTATGCTCATATGTGTGAAGAAAGAGATGATCTGAAGTTGGAACTTATATTTAAAAGGGAAGCAGAGCATACAAGTTTAGAAAATTTGCAGCCTGACCGTGTGGTTGAAAAGAAAAATTCATTTACTGGGGAGAAATTCAAGCTGTTGCAGAATTTCCATAAGCAACAAGCAGCCAAATGTTAATAGCCAAGACAATGGGGAAAATGTCTCCAGGGCATTTCAGAAATTTTTGTGGCTGCCCCTCCCATCACAGGCCTGGAGGTCTAGGAGGGAAAAATGGTTCTGTGGGCTAGGTCAAGGACCCCACTGTTCTGTGCAACCTTGGGACATGGTTCCTCGAGCCCCAGCCACTCCAGCTCCAGCCATGGCTAAAAGGGGCCAAGGTACAGCTCAAGCCACTGCTTCAGAGGGTGCAAGCCCCAGGCCTTGGTGGCTTCCATGTTGTTTTGGGCATGCAGGTGCACAGAAAACAAGAATTGAGCTTTGGGAACCTCCACCTAGATTTCAGAGGATATATGGAAATGCCTGGATGTCCAGGCAGAATTCTGCTGCAGGGGCAGGGCCCTCATGGAGAACCTCTACTAGGGCAGTGCAGAGGGGAAATGTGGGATTGGAACCCATACAGAGTCTCAACTGGAGCCCTACCTAATGGAGCTGTGAGAAGAGGGCCATTGTCCTCCAGACCCCAGAATGCTAGATCCACTGACACCTTGCATCATGTGCTTGCAAAAGCTGCAGGCATGCAATGTCTGCCTGTGAAAGTAGCCATGAAGCCTGTACCCTTCAGAGCCACAGGGGTAGAGCTCCCCAAGGCCTTGGGAACCCATTTCTTGCATCAGTGTGGCCTGGATGTGAGACATAGAGTCAAAGGAGATCATTTTGGAACTTTAAGATTTAATGACTGCCCTGCTGGACTTCAGATTTGCAGGGGGCCTGTAGCCCATTTGTTTTGGCCCATTTATCCCTTTTGGAATAGGAGCATTTACCCAATGTCTGTAATCCCATTGTATATTGGAAGTAATTAACTTGTTTTTGATTTTACAGGCTACTAGGCAGAAGGGACTTGCCTTGTCTCAGATGATACTTTGGACTTGGATTTTGAGTTAGTGCTGGAATAAATTAAGACTTTAGGGGACTGTTGGAAAGCATGACTGATTTTGAAATGTGAGATGGACATGATATTTGGGAGTGGCCACAGGCAGAATGATATGATTTGGTTCTGGGTCCCTACCCAAATCTC
The DNA here is from genome assembly GCF_000001405.40 of Homo sapiens. Taxonomy (NCBI): domain Eukaryota; kingdom Metazoa; phylum Chordata; class Mammalia; order Primates; family Hominidae; genus Homo; species Homo sapiens. Next base: position 240,263,682 of record NC_000002.12, read on the forward strand.
ATGTCGAATTGTAATCCCCATGTGTTGGGGTAGGAGGCTGGTAGGAGGTGACTGAATCATGGGGGTGGACTTCTCCCTTACTATTCTCATGATAGTGAGTGACTTGTCACGAGATCTGATGGTTTAAAAGTGTGTGGCACTTCCCTCTTTGCTCTCTCTCTCTCCTGCTCTGCCATGTAAGATGCGTTTGCTTCCCTGTTGCCTTCCACCATGACAGTAAGTTTCCTGAGGCCTCCCAGTCTTGCTTCCTGTACAGCCCATGGAACTGTGAGTCAATTCAACCTCTTTTCTTCATAAGTTACCCAGTCTCAGGTAGTTCTTTATAGCAGTGTGAGAATGGACTAACACACCTGCCCAGTATCACTTTCACTTAACATAGTATTTTTGAGATTCCTCCATGTTGTCACATGTTCCCTTTCATTACCAAGCAGTATTTCATGGTGTGACTATACCATCACTTTGTTTATCCAATTTTCTGTTGTAGGTCATGTGACTTGTTTTCCAGTTTTTATCTATTATCAGTGAAGCTGCTATAAACATTTAAGTATTTTGGGGGATATGTATTTTCATTTCTCTAGGGTAAGTATCTAGAAGAATTACTGGGTCACAGGAAAGATGTATATTTAACTTAATAAGAAATGACCAAGCAGTGTTCCAAAGTGGCTGTACAATTTTAAAACCCCACCAAGCATGTTCAAGAATTCTCATTGTTTATATTCTCACCAGTATTAAGTGTTGTCAGTCTTTTTAAAAATTTTTTAACCATCTAGTGGGTGTGAAAAGCTATATCATTGTGCATTTCATTGTATGCCCTTCTGACTTATGATTTCTAATGATTTCTAATGGTGTTCACTTTTGTTATTGATTAGTATGGATTTTTATATATTTAGCATAAAAATCCTATGTTAGGTATATGTACTGTGAATCTTTTCTACCTATCTTTGGATTACATTTTATTTTCTTATCAGTGTCTTTGTGTGAGCAGGAGTTTATAATTGTAATAAAGTCAAGTTTATCCATGTTCCCTTGTATGTTTTTGTGTCTTCTCTGAGGAAATAGTTTCCTTTATTTTCTTTTGCAAGCTTTATAGTTTAAGATTTTATGCTTTGATCTATGATTGATCTCCAATTTGTATGTGTGTGTGAGAGAGAAGTTGAAATTTGTGTTCTCTCCATCTGTCTAACTACTTGTTTCAGCATCATTTGTTGAGAAGATTTTCCTTTTCTAATTGAATTACCTAAGCACCTGGTTAAAACAAAAATCATCTAACCTTGTGATTTCACAACACATAAATGCACTAAGTGCCACTAGTTAGACACTTCAAAATGGCTAATTGTATGTTATGTAAATTTCACCTCAATTTTTTTAAAAGTCCACATCTGGACTTTCTATTGCAGTCCACTGATCTAAATGTCTACCTTACACCAACCTCACACCTTCCTGGTTATTGTACCTACACAGTGTGTCCTGAAAAGAGGTAGTATGACTCCAAATTTGTTATTCTTCAAGACTGTCTGGGTATTTAGGACTCTTTGCATTTTCACATACATTTTAGAATTAAAAGTCAATTCTATAAAATGACTGCTGGGATATTTTTTCCTCTCCTTTAATTTTAGGTTCAGGGGGTACATGTGCAGATTTGTTACATGGGCAAATTATGTGTCACTGAGCTTGGTGTAAGAAAGATCCCATCACCCAGGTAATGAGCATAGTACCTGATACGTAGTCTTCTAACTCACGCTCACCTCTTTCCCTCTCTCCCCACTCAAGCAGTCCTCAATGCCTATTGTTCTCATCTTTGTGTCCACAAGTACCCAATGTTTAGCTCCCACTTATATGTGAGAACATACAATATTTGGTTTTCTGTTCCTGAATTAATTCACTTAGGATAATGGCCTCCAGCTACATTCATGTTGCTGCAAAGGACATGATTTTATTCTTTTTATGGCTGCATAGTATTCCATGGTATATACGTACCACATTTTCTTTATCCAGCCCACTGTTGATGCACATCTTTGTTGATTTTATGTCTTTGCTATTGTAAATAGTGCTGCAATGAACATACAAGTACATGTGTCTTTTTGATAGAACAATTTATTTTCCTTTCGGTGTCTTCCCAGTAGTGGGATTGCTGGGCAGGATGGTAGTTCTCAGTTCTTTGAGAAATCTCCACACTGCTTTCCACAGTGGCTGAACTAATTCACATTTTCACTTACAATGTATAAGCATTCCATTTTCTCTGCAACTTCATTAGTATCTGTTGTTTTTTGACTTGCTAATAATGGCCAGTCTGACTGGTGTGAAATGTTATCTCATCATGGTTTTGTTTTGCGTTTCTCTAATGATTACTGATGATGAACATTTTTTCCCATATTTGTTGGCTGCATATATGTCTTCTTCTGAGAAGTGTCTGTTCATGTCTTTTGCCTGTTTTTTAATCAGCATATTTGGTTTTTCTTTGTTGAATTGTTTATATTTTTTATAGATTCTGCAATTAGACCTTTGTTGGATACATAGTTTGCAAATACTTTCTCCCATTCTGGAAGTTATCTGTTTACTCTGTTGATGGTTTTTTGTTTTTGTTTTTGTTTTGCTGTGCAGAAATTCTTTAGTTTAATTGGTCCCACTTATAAATTTTTGTTTTTGTTGCAATTGCTTTTGGGAACTTAGTATAAATTCATTTCCAAGGTTGATGTTCAGAATGCTATTTCCTAGGTTTTCTTCCAGGTTTTTTACTGTTTTAGGTCTTATATTTAAGTATTTAATCCATCTTGAGTTAATTTTTGTTTATGGTGAAAGGTAGAGTCCAGCTTCAACCTTCTGTGTATGGCTAGCCACTTATCCCAGCACCCTTTATTAAATAGGGAGTTTTTTCCTACAACCAACAGATGGTTGTAGGTGTGTGACTTCATTTCTGTGTTCTCTAATCCGTTCCATTGGTCTATGTATCTTTTTTGTACCAGTACCATGAGCTTTTGGTTACTGGAGCCTAGTAGTATAGTTTAAAGTTGGGTAGTGTGATGCCTCCAGCGTTGTTCTTTTTTCTTAGGATTGCTTTGGGGAATCGGGATCTGTTTGGGTCCCATACAAATTGTAAAACTGTTTTTTCTAATTCTGTGGAAACTTATGTTGGTAGTGTCATTGAAATAGCATTGAATCTGTAATTGCTTTGGGCAGTATGGCCATTTTAACAATATTGATTCTTCCTACACATAAGCATGGAATTTTTTTTTTTATTTGTGTTGTCTCTGATTTCTTTCAGCAGTGTTTTGTAATTCTCATTTTAGAGATCTTTCACCTTTTTGGTAAGCTGTATTATTCCTTGATATTTTATTCTTTTTGTGTCTATTCTAAATGGGATTGCATTCTTGATTTGGTACTTAGCTTGGATATTATTGGTATATAGAAAAGCTACTGATTTTTGTACCTTAATTTTGTATCCTGAAACTCGACTTTTTTTTTATTTCTGCCTTAATTTTATTCTTTGCCTAAATGTCAATCAGGAGCAGGTTGTTTAGATTGCATTTAATTGTATGGTTTTGATAGATCTTTTTGGTATTGATTTATACATTTATTGCACTGTGGTCCAAGAATGTGGTTGGTATGATTTATATTTTGTTAAATTTATTAAGATTTGATTTATGGTCAAGCTTGCGGTCAATCTTAGAGTATGGGCCATGTGCAGGTGAAAAGAATGTATATTCTGTGGTTTGGTGGAGTGTTGTGTAGATGTCTCTTAGGTACAATTGGTCAAGTGTCCAGTTTAAATCCTTCTATCTTTGTTAGTTTTTTGCCTTCATGATCTGTCTAATGCTGTCAGTGAGGTGTTGAAATCCCCCACTATTATTGTGTGGTAGTCTAACTCTCTTCATAGATCTCCAAGTACTTGTTTTATGAATCTGATTGCTTCAGTGTTGGATGTGTATATATTTAGGATAGTCAAGGCTTCTTATTGGATTGAATGCTTCATCATCATTTTGTAATGCCTTTCTTTGTCATTTTTTATAATTGCTGGTTTAAACTCTGTCTTATTTAACATAGAAAAGCAACTCCTGCTTTTTTTAAAATTTCCATTTGCATGGTAGATCTTTCTCCGATCCTTGCTTTTTTTTTTTTTTTTTTTTTTTTTTGAGACAGAGTCTTGCTTTGTCACCCAGGCTGGAGTGCAGTGGTGCGATCTTGGCTCACTGCAAGCTCCACCTCCCGGGTTCACGCCGTTCTCCTGCCTCAGCCTCCCAAGTAGCTGGGACTACAGGCCCCTGGCTAATTTTTTGTGTTTTTAGTAGAGGCAAGTTTTCACCATGTTAGCCAGGAGGGTCTCTATCTCCTGACCTCGTGATTCACCTGCCTTGGCCTCCCAAAGTGCTGGGATTACAGGCCTAAGCCACCATGCCTGGCCTCCTTGCTTCTTTATAGAACTTGCCACTCTATGCCCCATAAGTGGGACATTTAGCCCATTTATATTTAGGGTCAATATTGATATGTGAGGATTTGATACTATCATCATGCTATTAGCTGAGAGTTATGTAGACTTGACTGTATAGTTGTTTAATAGTGTCAATGGGCTATGTACTTGAGTGTGTTTTTGTGGTGGCTGGTATAGTTCTTTCATTTCCATGTTTAGCACTTCCTTTAGGACCCTTGTAATGCAGGTCTAGTGATAATAATTCCCTTAGCATTTGCTTGTCTGAAAATGGTGTAGTTTCTCCTTCACTTGTGAAGCTTAATTTGGTGGGATGTAAAATTCTTGGTTTGAATTTCTTTTCAAGGATGTTAAAAATAGGATCCCAATCCCTTTTGGTTTGTAAGGTTTCTGCTGGAAGGTCTGCTATTAGCCTGATGGTTTTCCCTTTGTAAGTTACCTGTCCTTTCTCTCTAGCTACCCAAGATCTTTTTCATTCATATTGACATTAGAGAATCTGATGACTATGTGTTTTGGGAATGGTTGTCTGGTATAGTGTCTCCCAGAGGTTCTGTGAATTTCTTGAATTTGCATGTAGACCTCTCTAGTGAGATTGGGACAGTTTTCATGAACTATATCCTCAAATGTGTTTTCCAACTTGCTCGCTCACTCTCCTTCCCTTTTAGGAATGCCAATGAGTTGTAGGTTTGGTCTCTTCACAGTATGCTATATTTCTCTATCTCAAAGGTTTTGTTTACTTTTTAATTTCTTTAAAATTTTTTGTCTGTCTGTGTTGCTTTGAAGAAGCGGAATTCAAGCTCTGAGTTTCTTTTTTTAGTTTGATCTGTTCTGTTGTTAATACTTCTAGTTGTGTTTTGAAATTCCTGTAGTGAATTTTTTATTTCCAGAAGTTCAGTTTGGTTCTTTCTTAAAATGATTATGTCATTTTTCAACTCTTGGATTGTTTCACTGTTCTCCTTGGATTGGGTTTCAACCTTCCTTTATATCTCAACAAGTTTCCTTGCTACCCAGACCCTGAATTCTATGTCTGACATTTCAACCATTTTGATCTGCTCAAGGACCATTGCTGGGGAGCTAGTGTGATCTCCTGAAGGTAGGAAGACACTCTGGCTTTCAAAGTTGCCAGAGTTCTTGCACTGGTTCTTTCTCATCTATGAGGGCTGATGTTCTTTTATCCTTTGAAGTTGCTGTTCTTTGGATGGGGCATTTTGTTTTTATGTTCTTTATTGCCTTTCAGGGTTTGACAGTTGCAAGTTGTGTATAGTTGAATAGCTTTATTTTTGGATGCTTTCAGAGGGCCAAGGTCCAGCTCCTTGCTCCTGGTCAGGGTCCTCTAACCCTGGGTACTGGAACCAGACTTGTGGCTTTATCCTCTGGTCCCTTGAGGTTAAGCCCTGGCTGGGCTGGAGTGGCCAAGCTGTTCCCAGACTGCTGGCAACAGCACTCCATCAGAGGCAGCAAGAGTGCCTCAGGCATAAGCTCTCTAGTGGAGGCGGCAGCAGGGTCACAAGCAAATGCAGTCTTGTGGGAGGCTCATAGCAAAATTGCTCCGGCAGGGGCAGTGAAGAGACTGTGGGAAGTGCTCTGATGGAGATGCCAGGAGTACTGCGGTGAATCCACTCTGGAGGTCTGGTAGTGGGGTCATGGATGAATGAGCTCAGGCAGGAGATTATTAGCAAAATTGTTCCAGTGGGGGTGGCAGGGTATCCACAGGTGGGAAGTGCTCCAGTGGGGGCAGCAGGGTCTCCAAGGGTGGGAAGTGCTCCAGTGGGGGCACTGTAGGCAGGGAGTGCTCCAGCAGCAAGCAGTCAGGGTGCCATAGGCAAATCCACTCTGGAGGGACTGGTGGCGGGATCATGAGCAAACATACTTTGCTGGGAGGCTATCAGCAAAAGAGCTCTGGTGGGATGGTGGGGGCCTCTGGCAAAAGCACTGTGATGGTAGCCACTGGCAAAATGGTCCTTCAGGGTAGCTGAGGCTGTGCTGCACAGCCAGGCAGGGACTTTGGGAAGGGCAAGCAGACAAGGGATTGTGCAGAGCAGACTTGTCCTGGTCTCTCCAGGTCCAGCAGGCCACACAGGTAAGAGCCACCTAGAGGAGTATGGATAACCTTGGGGGATGGGCACCAATGGCCATATTCCACTATAGCTGCCCCTGCACCAGCCCACCTGAGCTCCATGCAGATTCAAGTTCTGTCTCTGCCTACTTTTCTGGCAGCTCCCCCTGCCCACACAATGTCCATGGGGGTTATGGTGTTTCCTGCAGCTATAATCCTAGAGGTCTGTGCCAAGAGTGGGCTGTTCCACATTTGCTCTACTCACCCCTTCCTTAGTAGACAATCAAGGCCTGGCATGCATCCTGGAGGTTGGAAACCCTGTGCAGGGTTTTCAGTTCCTCCTCTATTCAATCCCAGCATCTGGGTCATCTCTCTCTCCACCCTCAATACATCCTCTCAGATGATCTGTTCAGAGTATGCCAGTCTACTTGATATTCTGTTCTGTCTCAGTAGGAGTTCTCCCTGGCTGTCTATACTTGGCCATCTTGTCCCCCCTCAACTCCTGGGATTTTGACTGAGATAGCAATTAATCAATTTGGAGATGATTAGCATTTTTAACAATACTGAGTCTCACAGCCCATAACAGGGTATATTTCTGCATGCTGGTATAATGTACCTGTTTAACTTTACTCCTAAGAGTTTTAGATTTTTAACACTATTGTAATCAGTTTTAAATTTTATTTTTCCAAATATTTGCTGCTACTCTATAGATATACAATTACTTATGTTGATTTTGTATTCTGTGAACTTCATAAATTTACTTATTATACCTAGATAATTTCTTTGTTGTTGTTGACTTTTTTAGGATTTTCCATGTCAATAATTATGATGCCTGTAAATAAAAACAATTTTAATTATTTCTTTCCAATCTCCATAACTTGTATGACTTTGATTGTCATATGACACTGGCTAGGATCTACAGTACAATGTTTAATAGTAGTAGTAAGAACAGATTTCTGTGTGATTCCTGATATTAGGGGTAAAACACTCAATATTTTAGTATTAACTATCAAGTTAACTGTAAGTTTTTCATAAATGTCCTTTATCATTATGAGAAAGTTTCCTTCTATTGCCAGTTTCTGAGAGTTTTTATTATAAATGGATGTTAAGTGTTGTCAAACGTTTTTTCTGTATCTCTTAAGATGAACATACATTTTTTCTCTCTTCTGGTAATGTGCTGCATTGTATTAACTGGAGTTTTGAATGTTAAACTAACCTTGCATTTCTGGGGTAAACCTCATCAGGTCCTAATATGTTATTATTATTAAATATTCCTGGATTCAATTTCCTAAATTTATTCAAGGATTTTTACATCTGTGATCAGGAAGGATATTGGTTTGTAATGTCTTTGTCTGGTTTTATATTAGGGTCATCCTGACCTCATAAAATAAGTTTAAATGTTTTCCTTCTTCTCTTCTGTTTTCTGAAAGTGTTTCTGTAAGATTAGTATTTTTTTTCTTTAATGTTTGAGAAAATTTTACAGTGAAATTGGGCCTGAAGTTTACTTTGTGGGAAGGTTTTTGATACATTTAATTTCTTTAATATATAGGGCTATTTAGATATTTTGTGACTTCTAGGGTCAGCATTGGTAACTTGAGTCTTCCAAGGAATTGTCCATGTCACTTACTTTGATGAAGAGAGAATTTGGGGTTGACAGTTTTTCTTTTAATACTTTAAAGATGTAGTTCCATTGCCTTCTGGCCTCCATTATTTCTGATGAAAAGTCATCCATCATTTGTGTTACTTTCCCCAGCGATATTATGAGCCCTTTTCCTCAGGCTGTATACGAGATTTTCTCTTTCTCTTTAGCTCTAAACAGTTTGTGGTGTGCCTCGCAGTGGTTTGCTTTGAATTTATTCGACTTAGGGTTCATTGGCCTTAATCTGTACATTTGTGCTTTCACCAAATTTAGGAGAATTTCTACCTTTTTTCTAATATTTTGTCTACTCTACTTGCTGTCTCCATTCCTTTTGTGACTCCAGTTACAAGTGTATTAGGTTGTTTGGTAATGTTTCATAGGTCATGAGGAACTGTTCTTTGTACATTTTTCCTCTCTCTTTCTTCAAATTTGGTCATTTAAAAAATCTGTTTTCAAGTTTACTAATGTTTTCTTCTGCCAGCTTCAATCTTTTGCTAAGCCTATCCAGTGACTTTTTCATTTTAGCTATCTTACACTTAAGTGTTAAAGTATCTGTTTGGTTCCTTACATATTTTCCCATTTTATGTTGAGAATTCTTTCATCCATTCACTCATTACAGTCTGCCTTTCTCATAATTCCTTGAACATTTCTGTAACAATATTTTAAATTATTTGTCTGCTAATTCCAAAATATAGGTCAAATCACAGTATATTTACATTGATTGCTTTTCTTTTTTCTATGGCTCACATTTTTCAGTTTCTTCACATATCTACTCATTTTTTATTGTTTATTGGCTATTGTTCAGACTTTGGATTCTATTATCTTTCTGTGAAAATTGTTGATTTTTTTCTAATAAGCAATTAATTTATCAGATAATCATCTTGTATTTGTGGAGATTTATTTAAACTTTTTTTGGGGGGTAACTCTATTTAGACTTTTCCTTTAGCTAAAAAAAGTCTTAATTCTGGAACATAGGCTTTACTCCTAAGTTATAATCTTTTGGGGATTTCAATGGAAGCCTAAGGTTTTTTACCAAGCTCCTGTAACTTGGCAGGATTTAAATTGCAAATCTGGCTCTTCTGTTGTGAGCAGCAGCTGAAATATCAATTCAGCTTTTCCAGCTTCAATTTCCCTTCAACCTCCTTAAGATCTCCCTTATATGCATCACCAAGGATTTGAAGGGAGTTTATTCACAGATTTGTGGCTCTCCCTTCTGTGACTCCCTCTCCTATTGGATTTCCTTCCTCAATTTCCAACTACTTTGGGAACCCAAATGCTATGTTATGATACTTCCAAACAACTTTACTACACTTTTTGCTTGAGTTCTGTCTTCCCTACATCATGGAGACTGTCGGCTGCCCTCAAACATTGAGTCTTCTTCAGCTTCTATTATAGGTTGTACTTCAATGCTTTAAAATATATTACAGTGTCTGTCTTTTTGTTTGTTCAAAGTTTTTAATTGCTTTCTTAAGTAAAACTAGTCCGGTAAAGCTATTTTAGCCATTATCAGCCTTCATAACTTCTTTCTTAAGTTTGTTGAATGGTATGTTCTGACTGGACCAGACAATGTATGGACTTATCAGGCAAGAGTCATTTTAAGAGAGCCATTTATTGTTGAAGTCCCTGGTCTTCTACCCCTTTGTCTTTTCCTACTTCCCATTCCAACTCTCATTAATCAGAGGTCATCTATGAGCCTGGCATTTTGTGTACAGCTTCATTGGACATTCAAAGGGCACTGTACAAGAATCTTACCACAACCTCTAATTTATGGGGCTTGGAACCACGATGAGAAATAATGTTAACCTTGTCTACAATTGGATTCTGAGCCATGCAGATGTTTCAAAGGGCTCAAGGGCTACATAGGAGCCAGATCACAGCAATGGATAAGGAAGTTTTTGACAGCCATAAGGGGAGGTAGTGGGATTAATGCAAAAGAGCCACAATTCTGGCCATATAAAGAAGCTGGGCTTGACTAATGAACCACCCCCACCTCCAATCCATGTCTCAGCTTGTGCCCATAGTCTCTGAGCAGAAGAGGGTCATTTGGGAAAATGGATAGAGAACATATCATGAGAGGGAGGAGCTCAAGTTGCAACACTGCTTCTTCCTCTACTTCCCAGAGAACTGGGGAGGAGAATAGAAAAACTAGTCTCATGGGGGCAAAGATCCCCACCAAGGGTCACAGGCAGGAAGAGGGAAAGGTGTCCTGGGTATGAGAGAGCCCCTCACACTGGGGCCCAGTGTTCCATGAGACAAGACATCAGTGGCACAGCAAAGTGAGCCACCAACCACAGGTCCCTGAGATTAGGGCCGGCCAAGGTACAGGAGGGATAACCTTGAGGTATTCTTCACATTTCAAAGATCAAGAAGAAGTCCTACAGGCATTCAGGTTGGGGGAGAAACCTCAATGGTTAAGAGCAGAGGGAGGGAATGTCACTATCATAGTCCTCATTCAGGGCACCAAATGCAACTGGACAACAGGACAGCAACTCAGACTTTCGAGGAGCCAAAATTCATCACCCAAGATTTCTGTATTCTCTCAGGCCAGTGTTTACATTGTGAGGATGATAGAGAGATACGTTCATAGATATAGGACTCAAAAGGTTAGATGAGCAAGAACTGGATGAAAATAAAGATTACAAGGAAGGCATGGTCCAAAGACATGACAGTAGGAATCCAACCCAGCAGGGCATATATTAATGTCCAGATGATTAATATGCTTATAGAGTGTAAAGGCAAAAATAGTTATTGCAAGAATACATAACAAATAAAATGTGTCATAAATCAAGCACAAGATGCCCGTGTTAGTCAAACAAAACCTGAGTGTTGGAAGCAAGGAAAGGAGAAAATCGAGCATGCTAAAGTTTCTCATTTTATATGGGGTGAAAGACAGTTGTTGGTATATTATTAATGCTGGTGGAGAAATAGAGGTATAAATATGGGGATTAAGTAAGGTGGACTTGGTAGAATAAAAGCGTTTTGCTTTTAAATTACAAAAAAAAAAGAGTCAGCAAGAAAATAACCTTAGCAATATAATGAATAATAATAGCAAAGCATGGAAGCGTGAAACAACAGGAAGCATAACAGACGACTTAAAATAAGACCAAATAAAACCTGATTACAGTAAGACCGAGAGAGAGAACATCCAACTATCAAATGAGTCAGAAGATAAAATCTAACTCTCTTTCTCATTCACAAGCTGTGGAAAATCAAACACAGCAGCACTGTGGAGCTCAGGCAGCCCCCCAGAGCAGCCCGCGTGGGTTCCAAGGAGTGTTCTGCTGTGCACCATGTGAAGCCCAGAACCAGGGAGATGCACAGTAAAGAAAGAACAGAGATGCAAGTGAGGACATCAGAAAAAAGTACAATACCACTGGAAACGTGTAGAAGGATGTCAAAAGGTTGTCTGCGTATTAAAAATTACAATTCCACACAAAGCCAACATTTGCTATGTGCCTTGCATGGTTCTATACAATTTACAATCATCGATTTGTGATTCACTCCTGCAGACAACTCTCACAATTGCTCTTTCTGTGTCAGAGATGAGGAAGCTGTGTTTTTGGAGCCCCTATCTCCTGCTTAAAATAGCTCTGAATCCCTCCTCCTCTCCACTGTCTCCAACCAGGGCATCCCCAGGAGCACTTTAAGTCAGACATCACAGACTTTGAGAGCTCAGAAGCAATGAACACACAGGGGACTGTGAACACCCAGCCAGCCTTGAGAGATGAAGAGCAGAAGAGGTTTGAACACGATGATATGATTAATACACTTGGCTCTGTGGCTCAGACTTTGTTCCCCAAAGACACATCAGGTGGATATTTTTTCAAACACCCGTGAGTCATTTAAGAATATCTACCTAAGAGAGATGGCTTGGGGCATCAAACCAGATCCTGGACCAAAAAGAACATCTTGGAAAATTATTTTTTTTAAATGTTGAAATCATACAGGCCACATTCTCTGACCACATTGCAATAAGTTAGATATCTATCACAAAAGAGGGAAAACAGAAAAATACCAAACCACTTGGAAGCTTTCCAAAATCTTTCTTAACTCTTTGCTTAATGAAAAAATAAAAAATCGTAACTCATGTGATTTGGCTGTATGTCCCCACTCAAATCTCATCTCAAATTATAATCCCCACGTGTTGAGGGAGGAAACTGTAATCCCCATGTGCCAAGGGAGGGAAGTGATTGGATCACGGAGGCAGTTTCCCCCATGCTGTTCTGGTAATAGTGAGTAAGTTCTCACAAAATCTGATGGTTTTATAAGGGTTTGGAAGTTTCTCCTTCATTCTTCTCTCTCCTGCAGCCTTGTGAAGAAGGTGTTTGCTTCCCCTTTGCCTTCTGTCATGATTGTAAGTTTCTTGAGGCCTCCCCAGCCATGTGGAACTGTGAGTCCATTAAATTTCTTTCCTTTACAAATTATCCAGTCTTGTGTATTTCTTTATAGCAGTGTGAGAATGGACTAATACAGTAAAAAATTCCGGTAAAGTCCTGGTAGCCACAATACCACATATCAAAACACATGAGATGAGGCTAATGTTGTAATTAGAAGAAAATTTATATTTCTCAGTGCTCTAATCATTAGAAAGAGAGAAGTGAAATTCACTATTATGCATAAGAGGAGCCACAAAATAAATGATGGGAAAGCAGGAGATTGTGTGTCAATCTACCCAGCTTTTCCATTTCTGCTGCTAATGTCTGCTGTATCATAACTAATTACAAAGTCAAGAGCAGGTGCCTTAAAAACAAACACAGTAAGAAGTAAAAACTAAAAGAAGATCAAGCATTCATTACCAGCCTGGGCAACAGAGTGAGACCCTGCTTCAAACATAAAAATAAAAAGAAGGAAGGAAGGGAGGGAGGAAAGAAGGAAGGAAGGAGAGAGAGACAGAGAGAGAGAAAGACAGACAGAGACTTTGGCAAAACTGGAAAAGAATAAAGATAGGAAGCATAACTATGTACTGTTAAGAAGGCTGACAGGTTTAACCAGAAATGCACAAGAAATTTGTTTTTAAATTATAAGAGATAAGGAGGCAGAACAAGATGACCAATTAGAAGCCTCCACCAATCGTCCTTCCCACAGAAACACCAAACTGGACAACTGTTCACACTAAAACAGCATAATAAGAACCAAAAATCATGTGAGTGATCACAGTACCTGGTTTTAACATCATATTAAGGAAAGAGGCACTGAAAAGGGCAGAAAAGAGTCTTGAATCACCTTCCCCAACCCTGAGCAGCAGCCATGTGGTATGGACAGAGAATCTGTGCATTCAGAGAGGGAGAGAGCAGTGACTGTGGGACTTTGCATTGGAACTCAGAGCTGCCTTATCACAGCGGAAAGCAGCACAGCGCAGAATGCAGCCAGTGCCCATGGAGGGAGCATTCAGACCAGCCGTAGGCAGAGGGGAATCACCTGACCTGGCTCGGAACCTGAGTTCCAGCAAGGCTCACCACCTTTCAAGTCCTCAATAAACTCGAGGCCACAAGGACTGCAACTCCTCCTGGGCAAGTCCTGCTGTTATGCTGGGCTCAGAGCCAGTAGGTTCGAGGGACATGCAACATAGTGAGAAACCAGCCTGAGTGACTAAGTGAGGGCTTGCACCACCCCTCTCCCAACTCCAGGCAGTGCAGCTCAAAGCTCCAGGAGAGACCTCTTTCTCTCCTTGAGGAGAGGAGAGGGGAGAATCAAGAGGACTTTGTTTTGCATCTTGGACACTAGCTCAGCAACAGCAGGATAGGGCACTGGGCAGAGTCCTGAGGTCCTCATAACAGGCCCTAGCTCCCAGATGACATTTCTAGACACACCCTGCATCAGGAGGGAACCCGCTACCTTGAAGGGAAGGATCCAGCCCTGGCAGGATTCATCACCTGCTGAATAAAGAGCTCTTGAATCCTGAATAATCAGCAGCGGTAACAAGGCAGTACTCACCATGGGCCTTAGTTGAGACTCAGAGCTCTGCTGGCTTCAGCTGTGGTGGCTATAGGGGTTTAGGGAGAGACCCCTTTTGCTTGAGGAAAGGAGAGACACCACAGTAAAGTGTAAAGTGGATTTTGTCTTGAGCTTAGGTGCCAGCTTGGTCACAGTTGGATAGAGCACCAAGCAGTTTCCTGAGGTCCCTGATTCCAGGCCTTGGCTCCTAGGTGGCATTTATGGACCTACCTTGGGCCAGCAGGGAGTCAAATGCCCTGAAGGGTGAGTCCCAGGCCTGGCAGCATTCACCACAAGCTAATTGAAGAGCCCTTGAGCCTTTAGTGAACATTGGCGGTAGCCAGGCAATATTCCCTACAGGTCTGGGATTGGAATGGCCATAGGGAGACTCCTCTGCTTGAGGAAAGGGGAGGAAAGAGTGGAAAGGACTTTGACTTGTGGCTTAAATGCTAGCTCAGCTGCAATAGAATAGAGCGCCAAGCAGATTCCTAAGGTTCCCAACTCCAGGCCCAGGCTCTCAGATGGCATCTCTGGACCAATCTGGGGCTGGGAGAAACCTGCCACCCATAAGGGAAGGACACAAGCCTGGCTGGATTCATCACCTGCTGATTGTAGAGCCCTTGGGCCCTGAGTAAACACAGCAGCCAGGCAGTGGTCACTTCAGGCCTTAGGTGAGACTCAGTGCTGTGCTGGCTTTGGGTCTGACACAGTACCGTCCCAGGGGTAGTGACCTCAGGAGTGTTTATGTCACCCTACTCCAGCTCCAGGTAGCTCAACATAGACAGAAAGACTCCATTTGTTTGAAGGTAAGTAAGGGAAAAGAACAAGAGTCTCTTTCTGGTAATTGAGGGAATTCTCACAGATCTTACCCAAACCACCAGGGTGGTACCTCTGTGAGTCTGCAGAAGCCACAGCATTACTGGGCTTAGGGTGTCCCCTAAAGCAGATATGGCTGCAGTGACTAAAGACTTAGATTACAACACTCAAGTCCCTTTGAATACCTAGAAAGCCTTCCCAAGAAGGGTGGGTACAAAAAAGCCCAGACTGCAAAGACTACAGTAAATATCTAACTCTTCAATACCAGACATGAATGAACATCTGCAAACATCAAGACCATCCAGGAAAACATGACCTCACCAAAAAACTAAATAAGGCACCATGAGTAATCCTGGAGAGGCAGGGATATGTGGCCTCTCAGACACAGAATTCAAAATAGCTGTTTGAGGAAGCTCAACAAAATCCAAGATAACACAGAGAAGGAATTCAGGATCTTATCAGACAAATTTAACAAAGAGATTGAAGTAATTTAATAGAATCAAGCAGAAATTCTGGAGCTGAAAAGTGCAATTGACATATTGAAGAATGCATCAGAGTATCTTGATAGCAGACATGATCAAGCAGAAGAAAGAATTCACAAGCTTGAAGACAGGACATTTGAAAATACACAGAAGAGACAAAAGATAAAAGAATAAAATAGAATGAGTCACACCTACAAGATCTAGAGAATAGCCTCAAAAGAGCACATCTAAAACTATTGGCCTTAAAGAGAAAGGAGAGAGAGAGATCGGGGTAGAATGTTAATTCGAAGGGATTATAATGTAGAACTTCCCAAATCTAGGGAAAGATATCAATATTCAAGTATGAAAAGGTGATAGAATACCAAGCAGATTTAACCCAAATAATACTATCCCAAGACATTGAATAATCAAACTCCCAAAGGTCAAAGATAAAGAAAGAATCCTAAAGGCAGCAAAAGAAAAGAAACAACTAACATACAATGAAGCTCTAATACATCTGGCAGCAGACTTCTTTGTGGAAACTTTACAGGCCAGGAGAGAGTGGCATGACACATTTAAGGCGATGAAGGGAAAAACCTTTTATCCCAGAATAGTATATCCAGTGAAAATATCCTTCAGACATGAAGGAGAAATAAAAACTTTCCCAAACAAAAGCTGAAAGATCTCATCAACACCAGACCTGCCCTACAAGAAATGCTAAAAGGAGTTCTGAAAGAACCTGAAAGAAAAGGATATTAATGAGTAATAAGAAATCATCTGAAGATACAGAACTCACTGGTAATTGTAAGTACACAGAAAAACACGGAATATTATAACACTGTAATTGTCGTGTGTAAACTACTTATATCTTGAGTAGGAAGACTAAAAGATGAACCTGTCAAAAATAGTAACTATAACAACTTTTCAAGACATAGACAATATAAGATATAAATAGAAACAACAAAAAGTTAAAAAGCAGGGGGATTAAGTTAAAGTGTAGAGTTTCTATTAGTTTTCTCTTTGCTTGCTTGTTTGTTTTTGCAATCAGTGTTATCTTTTCATCAGTTTAAAAATAATGGGCTATACAGTATTATTTGAGAGCCTCACGGTAACCTCAAATAAAAAAAATACAACAGATACATAAAAAATAAAAAGCAATAAATTAAACATACCACCTGAGAAAATCATCTTCACTATTAAGGAAGGCAGGAAGAAAGGAAAGAAGAAGGAGAAGACCGCAAAACAACCAGGAAACAAATAACAAAATGGCAGGAGTAAGTCCTTATTTATCAATAATAACATTGAATATAAACAGACAAAACCCTCCAAAGACATAGAGTGGCTGAATGAACAACAACAAAAAAAAGAACCAACGATCTGTTGCCTAACAGAAATGCACTCAACTATAAAGACACACACAGACTGAAAATAAAGAAACAGAGAAAGCTATTCCATGCAAATGGAAACCAAAAGAAAAAGCAAGAGTAGCTATACTTATATAAGACAAAATATATTTCAAGACAAAAACTATAAAAAGAGACAAAAAAGGTCATTATATAATGATAAAGGTGTTAATTCAGCAAGAGGAAATAATAATTCTAAATATATATGCACCAAACACTGGAGCATCCAGATATATAAAGCAAATATTATTAGAGCTTAAAAAGAGAGATAGACCCAATACAATAATAGCTACAAACTTCAAAACCCCATTTTCAGATCTTCCAGAGAGAAAATCAACAAAGAAACCTCGGACTTAAACTGCACTATAAACCAAACCAAACGGACCTAATAAATATTTACAGAACATTTCATCCAACAGCTGCAAAATACACATTCTTCTCCTCAGCACATGAATCATTCTCAAAGATAGACCATAAGTCAAGCCACAAAGCAAGTCTTAAAAAATTGAAATCATATCAAGTATCTGACCACAATGGAATAAAACTAGAAATCAATTACAAGAGGAGTTTGTATCAAATTCCTCTTACTATTGATTGTTTGGAAACCATACAAGCACATGGAAATTAATGTGCTGAATGACCAGTGGGTCAATGAAGACATTAAGAAGAAAATTTAAATTTGTCTTCAAATAAATGAAAATGGAAACACAACATACCCAAACCTATGAGACACAGTGAAAGCACTACTAAGATGAAAGTTTATGGTAATAAGCACCAACATCAAAAAAGTAGAAAAACATCAAGCAAGGATGCAAGGATGGTTCAACATATGGATATCTAATGAAGCATCTTAAAGAACTAGAAAAGCAAAAGCAAACCAAATCTAAAATTAGTAGAAAAAAAGAAATAATAAGATCAGAGCAGAAATAAGTGAAATCAAAACAAAAAAAACAAAAGATCAACGCAACGAAAGTTGTTTTTTTTTTAAAGATAAGAAAAATCAACAAGACTTTAGCCAAGTTAACTAAGAAAAAAGAGAAATGGCCCAAATAAATAAAATCGGAAATGAAAAAGGAGATATTACAACCAATTCTGCAGGAATTCAAAGGATCTTTAGAGGCTACTATGAGCAACTATATGCCAATAAATTGAAAAATCTAGAAAAAATTGGATAAATTCCTAGACACATACAACCTACCAAGATTGAACCATGAAGAAGTCCAGAACCTGAACACAGCAATAACAAGTAACAACATTAAGCCATAATAAAAAGTCTCCCAAAAAAGAAACGTCAAGGACCTCTTGGCTTCAGTGCTGAATTTTACCAAACATTTAAATAAGAACTCATACCAATCCTACTCAGGCTATTCTTAAAAACAGAAGAGGAGGGACTTCTGTTCTCTGTTTGGAAGAGGAAATACTTCCAAACTCATTCTATGAGGCCAGTATTACCCCGATACCAAAACCAGACCAAGTGAGATCCAGGGATACAAGGAAGGTTCAACATATGCAAATCAATCAATGTAATATATCAAATAAACAGAATGAAGGACAAAAACCATATGACCATTTCAATTGGTGCTGAAAATGCATTTGATAAAATTCAAAATTCCTTCATGATAAAAAACCTGTGATAAAAGGAACGTTCCTTGGCACAATTAAAACCATATGCTACAGACTCACAGCTGGTATCATACTGAATGGGGAAAAACTGAAAGCCTTTCCTCTTAGATCTGGAATAAGACAAGGATGCCCACTTTCACCACTGTTATTCAACATAGTACTGGAAGTCCCAGGTAGAGCAATCAGACAAAGAAAAAAAATAAAGGGCATCTAAATTGGAAAGGAAGAATATAATATGATCTTATGTTTAGAAAAATCTAAAGAGTCCACCAAAAAAAAGATTAGAACTGATAAACACATTCAGTAGAGTTGCAGGATACAAAATTTAAAAAAATCAGTAGCATTTCTATATGCCAACAGTGAACAATCTGAATAAGAAATAAAGTAATCCCATGTACAATAATGACAAATAAAATAAAATACCCAGGAATAAACTTAACCAAAGAAGTGAAAGATAACTACAATGAAATCTATAAAGCATTGATGCAAGAAAGTGAAGAGGACACCAAAAAAATGGAGAGATATTCCATGTTAATGGATTGGAAGAATCAACATTAAAATGTCCATACTACCCAAAGCAATCTGCAGATTCAGTTCAGTCTCTCTCAAAATACCAATGATGTTCTTCACATATATAGAAACAATAATCCTAAAATTTATATGGAACCACAAAAGACCCAAAATAGCTAAAGCTATCCTGAGCAAAAAGAATAAAAGTGGAGGAATCCCATTACCTGGATTCAAATTTTATGACAGACCTATAGTAATCCAAAGAGTGTGATACTGGCATAAAAACAGACACATAGAACTTGGAACAGAATAGAGGACCAGAAATAAATCCATACATCTACAGTGAACTCATTTTTGACAAAGGTGCCAAGTACATACATTGGGGAAAGGACAGTCTCTTCAACAAATGATGCTGGGAAAACTGGATATCCAGATCCAGAAGAAAAAAAAATACAGACCTCTATCTCTCACTACATAAAAAATCAAAACAAAATGGATTAAAGACTTAATCTAAGACCTAAAACTATACAACTACTAAAAGAAAACATTAGGGAAACTCTCCAGGACCTTGGACTGGGCAAAGATTTCTTGAGAAATGCCCCACAAGCACAGGCAACAATGCAAAAATGGACAAATAGGATCACATCAAGCTAAAAGGCTTATGCACAACAAGGGAAACAATCAACACAGTGAAGAGACAACCCACAGAGTGGGAGAAAATACTTGCAAACTACTCATCCAACAAGGGATTAATAACCAGAATATATAAGGAGCTCAAACAACTCAACAGAAAAAAAAATCTAATAATGGGGAAAATATCTGAATATACATTTCTCGAAAGGAGACAAACAAATGGCAAGCAGGTATCTATGCAAAGGTGCTCAATATCATTGATCATCAGAGAAATGCAAACCAAAGCTACAATGTGATATCTCACCCCAGTTAAAGTGGTTTATATCCAAAAGATAAACAATAACAAGTGCTGGCGAGGATGTGGAGAAAAGGGAAGCCATGTACACTGTTGGTGGGAATATAAATTAGAACAGCTGCCATGGAGAACAGTTTGGAGGTTTCCCAAAAAACTAAAAGTAGAACAGCTACAGGACCCAGCAATCCCACCGCTAGGTATCTGCACTTCCATGTTTGTTGCAGCACTGCTCACAATGGCCAAAATGTGGAAGAAAGCTGTGTCTATCAACAGATGACTAGACAAAGAAAATGTGGTGCATATACACAATGGAGTACTATTCAGCCATAAAAAAGAATGAGATCCAGTTATGTGCTACAACATGGCTGGAACTGAGATCATTATGTTAAGTGAATTAAGCCAGGCTCAGAAAGACAAACTGTGCATGTTCTCACTTATTTGTGGGAGCCAAGAATTAACACAATTGAACAAATGGGGATAGAGAGTAGAATGATGGTTACCAAAGGCAGAGAAGGGTAATGGGGGTGGCAGAGGGCAGTGGGGATGGTTA
Source organism: Homo sapiens (assembly GCF_000001405.40). Lineage (NCBI taxonomy): Eukaryota > Metazoa > Chordata > Mammalia > Primates > Hominidae > Homo > Homo sapiens. The sequence continues at coordinate 240,284,025 of NC_000002.12, forward strand.
ATGGGTACAACAATATAATGAAATAGAATGAATAAGATCTAGTGTTTGATAGCATAACAGAGTAACTGTAGTGAACAATAATTTGTTGTACATTTAAAAATAACTAAAAGAGTGTAATTAGGTTGTTTGTAACACAGAGAAAGGATAAATGCTTGAGGTGATGGATACCCCATTTACCCTGAGTGATTATTACACACGCATGCCTGTATCCACATATCTCATGCGTCCTATAAATATATACATTTGCTATGTACCCGTAGAAGTTTTTTTAAAAATTACAAAAGACCTTGGTGTATAATTTTGTGGAAAGCAATTTTACCATATCCACAAACTAAATAATTTTCTAGGAAAATATAAATTACCAAAGATGGCTTTTGAGAAATAAGAAACACATAAAGTTTGATAACATTACAAAATTGAGAGTTACTTTTAAAATTCCCCTTAAAAGACTCCCTGTCAAGTGATGGATAAGTCTATGGTTTTAAATCACATTGAATGGTGATACCAAACCAGGCCTCAGGGAGCTGGGGCATTAACTCCCGTAGAGTGGTTCCCATCCCCAAAGACACAGCCCCTGCTGCTGCCGTGAGCACTTCCAACTGTGGGGTAGGCCGCTGTCACCTACATGTCACAGTCTAGAACGCTGAGGAACAGAGAGGTAAGTGACCCCACCCAGGCTGCTCAGCTGGTGAGAGCTGTGTGGGCAGTGGGACCCGGGCACACTTGGGATCACCATGTTCTACTGGTAACCCTGAAGAGATGGCTAAGGAAGGAGGATCAAGCCTCGGTCAGGAGATCAGAGGGCACTCAGAGATCTGCGTCAATGCCTTGGCTGTGCAGGTGGAGAAACTGAGGCCCAGATATGAGGACTGTCTACTCCTAGGTCACAGGACAAGCTGCAGGAGATGCCAGCATTGTGAAGTGCTCCATCCTCTAAGTCCCGCCAAGTTGATTTTCTCTCCCCAGAGTCGCACAGCGACCCCCATGGGCAAGGGCTTTCTGCCTCAGAGCCTTGCCGTCCATGCTGCATGCCAGAGGCCAGGTCTCACTTGGTCCTCATGTCACCCCAAGGCCACCGTGTGAACAGCCCCAGTGGGCACAAAGCCACCTCCAGCTGCAGAGCCTCGCTCCTTTCCATGTGCTGTCCAGAAACCCTGGACTTTCCAAGTCTCCAAAGGTCCCCCTTTTGATGCACAGAGTCTAAAAATAAATGTAAAAGGCTCACTGGTGATTCTTACAGCACTACAAATTTATTTCATCATAAGACACCCTTAACAGTGAAATGCAAATTACAGAGTGGAAGAAGATTTTTGCAATACACATGCCTGACTAAAGCCTCAAATCCAGAATATAAAAAGAACTTGAAATCAGAAAGACAGGCAACTGAATGCAAGAAGGAGCAAAAAACCTGAAGAGATGGCTTTGAGAACTGGGCCTCTCACAGGGCTCATGAGCCCATGAACAGGTGCTTGGCGTCCTCACTCCCCAGGGAAGAGCAGCTTCAGGCCACCACACTTCAGAATGGCTCTAATTAAACAAACAAACAAACAGAACCCATGGGGGAATGCTGAGCAGTCGAAATTCTCATACAGTATTGATGGGAATGTAAATTGTTAGAGCTGCTTTGGAAAACACTTTGGCAGGGTTTTCTTAAAACCGAATATTTTCATATTCTATGATGCACAAATTGCATGTGTATAAATATATAAATATTTCCAATAGAAATGCATCCATATATGCACCAAAAGGTGTGCTGATAATGTGCATAAATCATAAATGTAATAGCCCCCAACTACTAACTAACCCAACACCTGTGGACCCATCGAGTTGCCCGTATCCATCAGATGGGTCTATTCACACATCGGAATACTATACAGCCATGAACAGTCACAAACTGCAGTTACCCACAGTGAGAAGGATACAATAAAGGCCCAACACAGCACAAAACACTCCACAAACTGCAGTTACGCACAGTGAGGATACAATAAAAGCTCAACACAGCACAAAACTCTCCATGTCATTCACTTTATAAGAAGCTTTGAAACAGGCAATACTCACTTTGGTGATGGACATCAGACTAGGGGTTAGTTTTAAGAAGAACATAAGGAGGTTTCTGGAAAACTGGAAATGCTCTGCCTTTTCCTGTGTGCTGGTTACATGGATGTATTCACTTTGCGAACACTCGCTGGGCCGGACGCTGTGCTTTATGTCACTTCTTGAATGTGTGATATATTTCATAAAAATAACATAAAAGGCTCACCAGCAATTTAAAAACAACTGATTTTTGCTAAAACCAGGAAAAAACTCCATTGAAGTCCCCTCCCCTTGGAAAAAAGAATAAGCTCATCTTTTTGAGTTTGAAACAACAGAAGTAACAAACCCTGCAGTTGTGCTTGCAGAATACGTTTGTTTCTGACCTGAACTCATACTTTGTCCCAGGCATTTAATTAAAATACACAGGCAGAGCTGAGTGTTGCTCAGCAGAGAGGGACAAGTCCCAGAGCATCACCTCCTTGTGCCTTTGGGTGTGTTTGTGCCTGTGCTTAGGGGTGAAGGGAGGAAGGAAATAGCTTGAATTAAGCACCTGAGAGACTGGGAATACTAGCAAGGTCGAGAACAAAGCAATAGCTTTTGGACTGCTCTCATCAGACTGAAACATGGGGGTTCCAGCTTGTACGTGGGCACCGCACCCTGCACCACGCTGGTGAGGGAGCCACAGTGTGCCCTGACAACAGCCCTGCTTCTGCCCGCCTCTATGCCTCCTAGCAGCAGGGCAAGCCTCCTCTGCAAGCATCTGCTGGCCTATTGATGGGAGAGGACGGGCAGGCTGGCAGTGCCACTGCTGAGAACCTCAGTGAAACAGGAGGGGATTTTGGCTGCAGCATGGTGTTTGAAAGCCCTATTTCTATTCTTTATCATTTTTTATTGTTTCTATTTGTTAGAAGTAAAGGATCTAATCTGAGCAAATAGACTTCAGATTGGAAACGGGGAATTTTCTGGGCAGCCCAGTGGGTCCCTGCCCCTCCAGCTCTGGGAGATGCCCCACCCGTCAGAGAAATGCAACAAACAGAGAGGCCACATGGGGTCCCGTGACAGAGGCCATGTGAGAGACAAGAACCCCAGGTGTTGACAGGGACATGCAACACAGCAGTGACCGTGTGTGCCAGGGATGGTCAGCGGTGACCGTGTGTGCCAGGGGCGGTCAGCGGTGACCGTGTGTGCCAGGGGCAGTCAGCGGTGACCGTTTGCGCTGAGGACGGTCAGCAGCATCTATTGGATTCCCTCCCTCTTGGGGCTGGTGTGAGCAGCCATTCCCTGAGCAGCCCTGTCCCGCACACAGGCAGCTGCCCACAGAGAACACGCTGGCACCAGGAGGGATGAATGCAGAGGAGAATCATGAAGCGCTGCATGTGGTCAGACAAGCAAGTCTTCCTGGCGCTGACCAACGCCTTGAAAGACGGATGTGGGGTGTAGGGAAGTGTGAATGTGTGAGAGTTGGGGAGCCCGTGGAAGGGGTGAGACGTGGCAGTACCCTGTACCTTCCATCAGAGGCACTCAGCGGACATCCCCACTGCAGCCAGCCTGGTCTGCCACCGAGGGGCACCCAGCACCACCGCCGGCTCAGCAGCCTCAGGACAGGGGTGCTCAGCCCTGGCTGCACACTGGGGTCATCTGGGAAGCTTAGAACAATCTGCTGACCCCTGAGTCCCAGCCCCAGCGGGCTTGGCTCAGCCCGTCCAGGTTTCAAGCGCTCCCAGGCAGATTGCACACCCAGCCCAGGCCAGAGCCACTGCATGGGAGGAATCTGCACTTAGAACAGCACAGTGTTGATATCTGAGGGACCCAGGGGCTGCCAACTCGGAGGAAAACATGCCCTGAGGCTGCATCAGCCACTGCCCCACATCCATTTGAACAATGTGGCACCTGACCCACCACCTCCAACTCCAGCCCCAGGCCTGGTCCAGCTCCAGCACCTCCCTCAGCCCCCACCCAGCCTGTGTGGCCTCCCAGTGAACACTTCAGGTTAGCTCCTCCGCAGGCTCCCCATGGTCAGCCACTCAGAGCCTGGCCCTGGGGGTGGGGCTTGGTCCTCCCCATGCCAACAGCATGATCTACATCCAGGGCCTGCCCTGCTGCCCCCGACAGGCCAAGGTGACGAGGGCTGCAAAAGCCACCTGAGCAGGGGAGTGGGCGAGGGGGATTGCTTTTCCACCCTCATGTGTTCTGAGGTCTGGGATGAGCCTGAGCAACAGAGAGGCCACTGGGAGACCAGCTGGTGTCCACAGGGGTGGGTGAGCCACCGAGAGGCCACTGGGAGATTGGCTGGTGTCCAGAGGGGTGGGTGAGCCACAGAGAGGCCACTTGGAGACAGGCTGGTGTCCAGAGGGGTGGGTGAGCCATAGAGAGGCCACTGGGAGACCGGCTGGTGTCCAGAGGGGTGGGGGAGCCATAGAGAGGCCACTGGGAGACCGGCTGGTATCCAGAGGGGTGGGCGAGCCACCAAGAGGCCACTGGGAGGCCGGCTGGTATCCAGAGGGGAGGGTGAGCCACTGGGATGCCCACCCTGAGATGGCAGAAACTGAAAGGCACGGACAGATGGGAACCCTGGCACAGTAAGGAAGGTTTTTAAATGTGTTTTTGTCAGGGACAGCAAAGTCCCCTTCAGGCCCATGTGCAGCCATGGGCAAGGCACCGCCCAGTACAACCTGCAGCTCCGTTGGCCCTGCCAGGCAGGGCTTCTTGGTTTTAAGGACCAATGAGCTTAAGAATCCAAGAATCCAATGGATCTTTTTCTAGTTGACCAAATGTTGTCATTAAAGTATAGTTGATTTGTATTTCAAGACAACCAGAAAAGGTTAGCAGTTACTTTAAAAGATTAGAAACTGGCCAGGTGCCATGGCTCACACCTGTAATCCCAGCACTTTGGGAGACTGAGGTGGGCGGATCACATGAGGTCAGGAGTTCGTGAACAACCTGGACAACATGGTGAAACTGCATCTCTACTAAAAACAGAAAATTAGCCGGATGTGGTGGCGTGTGCCTGTAATCCCAGCTACTCGGGATGCCAAGGCAGGAGAATCACTTGAACCCAGGAGGCGGAGGTTGCAGTGAGCCGAGATTACACCATTGCACTCCATCCTGGGTGACAGAGCAAGAGTCTGTCTCGAAAAAAAAAAAGACTAGAAACGGAAAGCCTATGCATTCTGGGATCATTTCGATAGCTCGTTCCTGGAGAAGTTTCTCTGAGCACCAGAAGCCACAAGGAGCAGGCCCAGCATTCCCTCCCGAGCAGGCCCAGCGTTCCCTCCCGAGCAGGAGCCGTCGTCTGTGTTGCTTCCCTGCAAGTACCATTCGCCACTGATGACCATTCTTCTGTTCCTCTGGGAGAGTAAGAGGGAGAGGATGTAGTCTGAGAGGTTTATCTTACTTGTTAAAAAAAAAATGACCAGAAACGGAAAATATCATCACCCCAACGGCCTCTTCAGCCTTGCTTCTGTGGACACAGAAGACAATGGTTTGCTAGGGTTAAACTTGAGTAATTTCGCTCACTTGCTTTTTGCCAGAGAATAGCACTTTCTTAATTAAGAGATGAACCCCCTAGGCCTGGCTGCCAAGGTTTTTATTTTTCATCCAAGTTCATCACCGAGTGCCTGGTTGACAAGCGCCCTGGAGGCAGGAGGCCAGAGGTCTGATCTCCACGCAGGTGCAGCCACGGCGTGGGCGGGCTGACGGGTGGGGTGAGCTGAGGTCCTTCCCTCCTGGGGTTCCAGGAGGAAACACGTAGCCCTGCCCAGAGTGATGGGAGCAGGGCCTTTACTAAGGTGCTGCAGTCGGGTGTGGGGGGTCAGGAGGGGCCCCGGGAACTCAGGTTCTGAAGGGGTGGGGGCCGTTGTCCTCTCTGAACTGACCGGCCAGTGGAGGGGCTCCTGGCGGGCCATGTGAGGAGGGGGCTGCTGCACCATGGCCAGGGAATGGCCACAGCCTGCCCGAGCCCCCTCCGGCCCCCTGTCATCTGTCACAGCCGGAGTCTCTGCTGCCACGGCTCTGGCATTTGGACCGGGTCCACAGCATCTACAGGCCCTCGGATGCTGGACAGTGTGGAATAGCTGGAACAGCTGTGCCCCACGCTGGGGAACGGAGGGCCTGGTGAGACAGCCCCCTGCTCTCCACGGGCCTCACACACCTGGCCTGGCTCTGGCCAGCTGGATCCCACGGGCGGAAGGCCTGGCCAGGTCCTGCCTCTGGGGCCCCCTCAGCCCAGGCTGATGTCTCAGGGTGACCCAGTTCCTCTTCTCGAGTCCCGAGTCCCGAATCCAGCACGCCCCATGGAGTGGCTGCCCACAGGCCCCAGTCACGTCGCCCCTCTGGCTAGAGCCGCTTGCAGCCTGAGTGAGCCAGGCCGAGGGCCAGTGGCCTGCCCGCCTCCCCACCACAAGCACAGGCAGGGGAAGGAAGGGCTCCCAGTACCCCCTGGGGCATGTGAGCAGGAGCCCCCTGGCTCTCCCAGGCCCAGTGCCCTCCAGCTAAGCCTTTGCTTCCAGTAGGAACTGAGCTGGGGGACGAGCCCCTCTCCGCCACCACACCCTGGAGGCGTCGAGGGTCCATCACTGGCCCCTCCAAGGTCAGACTCGGGCCTTTCCCCACAGATGGGAGGGCTTCACTGTAGCTCCTCACTGGGCTTCCCACGGTCAGCTGCTCAGAGCCTGGCCCTGGGGGTGGGGCTCGGAACTCCCCACGACAACAGTGTGAGAGGCCGAGGGTGAGCTTGTTTCGTGACATGAAGACCACAGTGAGGATTTGGCAGGAAACACGGTGCGGCCACACAGTGGAACGTGGACCTCTACGGTGACTCTGTGAGTGAAGGCAGAAGGAGGGAATGAATGAAGTGAGCTTCAGGGGGACGCCAAGCCGCTGCCAAGCCCGGAATCTTCCACGGGCACAAAGCCCAGGGAACACAAACCACGTCTGCCCAGAAAATGCCCCGTGTCCTTGGGAGGAGAGGTCCACTGCCGCCAGCTCTGAACCCAGACACGCTGAGGGAAATATTGACAGACCTCTATACCTCTTGAATCTTAACAACTTGCGGAGGCTGAAAGATCTCTTCAAAGTGAATATTTCAGGTGAAAAGACAAGTGAGGCAGCGGGCAAGGAAATATTTGTGACATTAAACACAAAAGATTCGCATCTGGAATGCATAAGCCCGTCACGTCCCTAAGCAAAGACCAATGGCTCAAAGGAAAGTGAGGCAGGCATCCAGCGTCCAGTGATCATCCAGAGATGCTGGGCTGGCCGGGGAGCAGGGCACACAGGGGAGGCGACAGTGGGCGGCAGGGGAAGGAGTATGGAGGCCGAGATCATCCAGAGATGCTGGGCTGGCCGGGGAGCAGGGCACGCAGGGGAGGCAACAGTGCGTGGCAGGGGCAGGAGTATGGAGGCCGAGGGTGTTGGGATGGGATGCCTGGTCCTGTCAGAAGCATGAGGGTGCACAGCCCGGAGAGGCAACGGCACAATCTGTCCAAATGATCCATGTCCTGCTGACATGGCTATGAACCCAGACATTCCAGTTTAGGAACATTTGTGGACACACACATTCCACCGTTTGCTGTGGCTGTGACCACTCGGGCATTACCCTGGGGACACAGCTGTGAGCAAAACAGACAAAATCCTCAACCTCACGGGGCTGACCATGGACAGAGCTTACATCAAAAGGTGCACGGGAAGCAACAAAAGTCAAACCTTGTCAATAGTGCAGCACTACTGATGCGCACACACATAGGAAAATACATCATGATCCGCATGTGGGGGCTGAAATGAAAGAGTTCCTTCTATTCTGACACACATCTCTAAATCACATTATTACCTTGAAAAGCCAGCATATATATGTGTTAAACTAAGGTTATATTTATATGCACACAACCTTAAACATATGCAAATGTGTCAGAAAAAAAGAGAAAACCTCATTGTTAAGGGTGATTGCTCTGAAAAGAGAGCAGAGCAGACGGGCCCTGTGAGTTCTGCCCTGTACTTCAGCATCGCTTTGGTTTCTGTAGTGAGCACATGGCCCCCCACAGCCCTTAGCCTTCTCCCCAACAGCTGGGCATTGATTCCCAATCTGAACAGAGGGTCTCAGCCGTGCTGTGGGTTCTAGCACCAGTCGCCAGGCCTCTCCTTTCCCCTTCCTTCTCTTTCTCCCCATTTCTCCTCCCTCTCCCTCTTCCCCTGTTCTCTCTCCCCAGCCCTCCCTTCCTCCCTGTCTCATTTCGTGGGTGCCTCCCAGGGCCAGGCCCTATGTCTCACGATAGGACCCTGAGACAAATAGGCCCAGGTCAGTGCAGGAGACAGGCAGGGACCTTACCACTGGCAATGGGGTCTGCCTGGGGCAGGGGCAGCCTTCACCTCAGCCTCTAGGACAAGGTGCTCCAAGGAGGACAAAACGGGACCTAAGTCAGGTGGGATGGCAAGGCCCCAACACTCCTTCTGACCTCAGCGCTGAGTGCTGGGAGGTGCAGGTGCTGGGCTGTAGGCCTGGGGGCTGGTCTCCAGCACGTCTTTCAGTAGCCTTGCTTTTTAACTTAACTACCTTGAGTCGTCATTTAATTAACAGACGGTAATCGGTTATGGTGGGAATTGGTTTTAGCCCGAACAATCTAACTTTGAGCAGAGAGTGCTATTTTGTGTTGGTCAGAATGTAATCCCCTTAGACTGTGGCTGTGATTAATGGAAGACGGTGAGGGAGAGGCTGGATGAGCCCCTAGGGAGGATCGGGCAGTAGTGAGGCTGCTGCAGTTTCAAGATATCCTAGCTAAGCATGCCAGTGTTTCGTGGAGTTTCCGCGACACCGTGGGCTTCAGAAACCACACTTTGTTCTAGCATTTTCCACATCTGTGAATGCCCTTATCAGGGCCTATTGTGACTCCTGGATCAGATGATTTCATGCCAGGGAGCAGTAGCAGAAGGAGGTTAGTGCACCTCCAGCTAAAGACTGGCCTTGCAGAGCCTCGGTGTGAGCTAAGCAGCCACTGTGGCTGGGGTGACTGGGTGGTCACTTGGTCTGGGTGGGCAGCTCCTACCCAGCCGCTCCTTTGGCCTGCAGAGCTCAGGCTGGCCAGCTCTTCAGGACAGTGGTGTGTGCCAGCAGGGCAATGTAGGATGAGCCCCTTTCTGGAAGTCTGTCCTTCTGCCCTCCCGGCAGACTGAGCTGGAGGCCTGCAGTGCCCAGGGCCAGCTATGGTCAGCAGGAGGAACTGCTCCAGCTGCATCTCAGCATCCTCCCTGCCCAGTGAGGCAAGGGCCACTCCCCGGCCTGAAAAGATCTGACATGGACCAGGCTGAGTCACGGGAGGTCCTGAGCTGTGGGGCCGTGTCCAGGGAGGCTGTGGTCAGCTCTGTTCTCCAGTGGCCTGAGCTTTGGACCTAATGCCCTGGGGCCAGGCTGTGCTGAGCAGGTCTGGCTTTGGTTCCTGTGCTCCATCCTAAGATCTAAGCATGGTGGGGAGTTCTGGAGAAGCAGGACCTAACCTTGCTGGGATGACCCAGTCTCCAGGGCTCAGTTTCAGGCTGCCCTCCTAGGAAGACTTCTCACTGGACTGCCAGCCGGGGGCTAGGGGCGCAGTCCGTGATCTACACTCCCCCACTGGGTGCCACGGTGCCGGCTGTGGCTCTGGTCCAGGGCTCCAGTAGCCTGTCTGGGTGGCAATAAGTCCTGCTGCTCTGGGACACACTCTCTCCGAGGCTTTGGCTGGAAACTGGAGATTGCAGCAGGTGCAGCTGACCGGGCAGAGGCAGCAGGCTCCCCACATACCCACGTGCAGGTCTCCAGGGTCCCGCCACCTGCCCCCAGGGGCTCTGAAAGCTTTTGGGAAAGATCCAGGGAGCTAAGCTGCCTGTCAGGGCTTTGAAGGAGTTGGTGCCATTTGCTAGTTCTCATTTTCAAAGCCAGCAAGGCTCCGACAGCCATGGGCAGGTCAGGTTTCATCCTAAGTGGAACTAGCTGGGCAGCCTGGTGCGATAAGAATGAGGTGCTGGTGGATGCTGAGCTGAGCCAGATCTGGTTTCTCATCCAGAGATAGAAGCCCATTGTTGGCCGCTCTCCCACGGTGTTTCCCAGGGAGAGCAGAGGCCTCCGGCGGGGAAGCAACACCCAGACCCAGGCCCAGTGAGCCGAGGGGGCTTCAGAAAGATGAGCCAAGTGGGGCAGGCTTGGTTTGATTCAGGGCTGGGAATGGGGGATACAGTGACCTTTGATGGCTTCTAGAAACAGAGCCAGGAGGCCGTGCCAAGGATAGAAGGCGCCGCCGTGCACCAAAGCTGTTCGTGCCTTCACTGCAGGGGCCAGAGACCAGTCAGGGCTGTCCACGGGGCAGTCACACGAGGAGGCCAAAGGCGTCCTCACTCCCTCCTCCTGCCTCCCCAACTGCACAGCCAGGCACAGGCCTGGACAAGGGTCTCAGCAAATGCTCGATAAGGGGCAGATTTTTCAAAATGAATGATTCCATTTGCAAGTGGACAGTTTAGTGACATTAAATGCACTCAGTGTTGTGCAGCCGTCACCACTATCGGTGCCTAAAACCCTTTCCATATTTCCTAACAAATGCTCTGCCCCTGTTAAACATGAACTCCCCAGTCCCCATCCCCCCAGCCCCCTGCCAACAACCCTTCTACTTTCTGTCTCTATGAATCTGACTTCTCCAGGCACCTCATGTAAGTGGCATCTTACAGTGTGTGTCTTTTTATGACTGGCCCATTTCACTTGGCATCATGTCTTCAAGGTTCACCCACGTTGTGACCTGTGTCCAAATTTCTTCTTTTGTGGCTGATGTCCTATTGCATGGATGCACCAGGTTTTGTTTTTCCGTGCACCCAGTGACATGTGGGTTGTCTCCACCGTTTGATGATTTCCAACAGTGCTATGAACAAGGGGGTGCAAATATCTCTTGCCAACGCTGTTTCCAATCCTTTGGGCTGTAGACCCAAAAGTAGAATTCCTGGGTCGTGTGGTAATTCCGATCAATTGAACAATGTGTCTCTCAGAGGTATTCAATGGAAGAATTTGTCCCTGGATGTTTTTACTAAAACTTACTAAAGCCAAAAGCCAAAACATCATATTAGTTAACAGAAAATTGCTCTGACATATGCGGAATAACCGGGAATAGAAAGCATTCTTTCCAAAGCGATCACACCAGGTAAATTCAGCCACATATGAGTCTAACTCTTCACCGTGAACACCTCTCATGCCCTTGAATTGTGTTTCACATCTGTTCCAACGGACTGGATGTTTTGAGCATGCACACCGAGAGATAACATGAAACAGCAGATTTTTCCAAAAAAGACTCCTTTTGAAGCGAGATCCATGATGATTGACAATTGTAGCAAACGCACTTCCAGGAATAGCCGTGTCTGCGTTGGCGTCTTACCATCCACCATAGGGGCTGGTGATGTGACGAACATCCAGGAGCCATAGACAGCAGATTACACGGCTCCAAGAAGTCAGCGGCTGGCGGATCTGAGGCACTGACCATCCCAGGCTGCAGGCTATCTTGACATAAATGTTTCTCCCCTGGGAGAAGTGGAATGAAAATCTTCTAAAAAATAACACCACTAAAAATAGGAAGTTTGAATCTGACCCACAGTGTTGATCACACTTGAGGAATCTGACCCCCAGGACGCCCAGGGACAAGTTGTTCGATTGATCCGGTAACTCTGTTTAACCTTTGGAGACAATACCAAACTTGACAGCGGCTGCACCGTTTGGCACTCCCACCAGCAGCGCACCCAGGTTCCAGCTCCTCCACACCCTTGAGACTCTTGCTTCCTGAGGTTTTGACTCCAACCATCCCGGTGGATGAAGCGGAATCTCATTACAGTTTTCATTCCCATTTCCCTGCTGACCGATGATGTTGAGTGCTTTCCCTGTGCTCATGGGCCGTGTGAGCGTCTCCTTTGGAGACTGTCTATTGAAGTCCTTTGAAGTGGCATGTTATTTGACTCGAATGTTCTGACTCACCTGGAACCACTGCAGACACCACCCACCCCAGCCCCCACAGTGGCCAGCAGTGTCGCCAACCCTCAGGGCCACTGTTGGGAACTTGGCTGGGGTCCAGCGGGGTGAAGGGAGAGAGTGCCCCCGGCTGTTCTGATCCACCCCCAGCACCTTTCCCGGCAGCCCCCCTACCCGAGGTCCTGAGCTGCTCGGTGACTCCCAGCAGCGTCGAGAACACAAGGCCCGAGCTTTCTCACGGTTTGAGTTACAAACCCGGGCGGGGTTAGTGATGGGATTAACTAAATGGATCAGAAATTACCCCTCTCTGTTTCTCCTTTCTTACCTTTCTTTCTGGCAAGCACCTACTCTTCAGAACCATCAAGGTCTCCCCTCCTCCCCTCCTGGGACCGGGTGCTCTCAAAACTACTGAACACCAATTAATTTGTCTCATTTACATGAAAAAGTGCAGAAGATGTCTTTTTACATAATTAACTATATTTTGCAAGTCATTAAAATTCTGCAGCCCTGCCCACAATAGCACCCTATTCACCGCCAGAGATAAGTGCTGGGGGTGGGGGGTGGAGGGGGTGAGCATAGGGGCCCACAAAGGAGCAGGCCTCACCAATGCATATTCATGAGAAGTGGCTGCCAGCTCGCTGGGCCCGTTCCCACTGCTGGGGCAGGGAGGGCCAGGAGGGCTGGGTGGGCTGCCCTGAAGACCACACCCTCCCGAGAGTGGGAGGGTCTTGCTCTGGGGCCACCCGTCTCTGCCCAGGCCCTGCCTTTGGCACCATCCCTGTGTCAGTGCAGAGGACCGGGGGGGCTCCGGGCTGAGGAGGGGCCACCTGCCTCTCTCCTGCCTCCCATCCACCTCTCTCCCTTGCCACAGACCAGCCCAAAAGAGCTGCTTGTGGGTGATCCCCCTTCCCAAAGGAGTGGCCTTGTCCCAAAGGGACAGCTCCCTGTCCGGCGGGGTCTCACGCGTGCACTGTTGGGGACGGTCTGCTGGATGGAGTTGGAGGCCACGACCCCTCCTGCATGGATCCCACTTGCCCTGCACCTGGCAGTGCCAGCACCATCTCTGCAGAGCATGTCAGGTGAGGTGGGGGCTTCAAGCAGGACCCCACCCTTGCAGCCAAGCTTCCCTGTCTCCTCCTGTGGGATGAAGCAACATCTGCCATCCTTGGGGCAGCTTCGCCATCACTAAGAAGTGTGTGTCCCTGCAGCAGTGGGCACCCTTGCTACCCGACGCGCAGGCGCCCTCCTCCAGGCTCACAGGAGCATAAGCTAAGCCAGCAAGGAGGCGGTGAGTGGCTCCCAGGACACAGCAAGCGAGGACACGGGCTTGGCATCTGCCCCTCAGGCCAAGCCTTCCACAGCCTCGCTGCTCATGTGCTGACGGCCCACTCTCTGAGTCAGGTGCTCAATCTCCTTTCAACAGATTGACTGTGAGCCCTGAGCAGGGCTGGCAGACTGGGCCCCAGGGCTCCCTCTGTCTTCAGGGAACCAGGAGGGAGGCCTGGGTCGAAGCCTGCCTACCGCACAGGCTCCTCTGAGCTTCTCAGTGCTCCCCCATCTCTAGGAAAGGGTGTCTGTCCTCAGGCACAAAAGCCATGAGGCCGGGGCTCATTCCTCCCCAGCTCCCACTGCCAGTCACCCCTTGGGAGTTACCCACCCCTGCAGCATCTTCTCTCTCAGGGGCTCCTCCTGCTCCACATGGGGGCCTGGCAGGCTACCCCTTCTCTGTGCCCAGCCTGGGCCCACAGTGTGCTCAGACAGCAGGCATGGACCTGGCCTCGGGGTCTCTCGGGAAGGGCTGCTCCTGGCTGGGGTCCTAGCCCAGCTTCCAGGAAGGGTCTCTCTGGGGTGGTTCTGAGCCTGAGCCAGATCTGAGTAGACGGACTCAAGGACTTTCATGGGGCAGAAGAAGCCAATGACTGCCCAGGGAAAGCAGGAGCGCTGCCAAGCCAGTGAGGTCTGCAGGGTGATGGACGTGGAGGGGCTGGGAGTGGGAGAGGGGCCACACCTTCTCTGCGGGTGCTCTCTTCCTGGGGGAAAGCCTGCAGCAGGATGAGAACAAAGGAAGAAAGAGCTTCTTAAACAGGAAACCCTGGAAGAGCCAGTCCTTGAAGATGGACCCCGCATGGCTAACTGGGCCTAATTTCAAAACAGAGCCAAGAGACCATCTGCTGACTAAAGGCCACACACATACTGTGCGCTCCCAGAAAACCCCACACTCACAGCACTCTGGGGCTTCCATAGCTGCCTGTTCCTGTCCACCACTCCTGGGAAATCCATCTGGACCCAACCATGGGCTGTCGCCTGTGCCAACCAATCAGAGCTCAGCAAGTTTGTATCCCGCATTTTCATAGTGGACCAGAGTGGGAACCTGGGTGGGAACTTTATAAATGACGTCCCCTCTCTTTCTTCTCTCAGAACACACTTTTGTTTCATGCCAAAGGCTACGTCTCCCTGGTTTGCAGACTGCTCAATGGAATAAAGTCTTTCTTTTTCTGAAAGAAAAACCTTTTCAGGGGATTTGCCTACAACGCCCACCATGAAGCAGTGTCGGAACACGAGCCCTGCTCACCTCAGAGACCTGGAAGAAAAACAGGTGCTCTGCAGCATTGATTGCAGCTCCCTTACCGAGACTCGGTCTCCATGTTGGCAGGCCTGTTCTAGAACATTCCAAGTCAAGTCAGGATGGTGCCCATGTGATTCAAAAGGCCAGTTCCTGTCTTAGCTTTGCTGGGGGGAGCACATGAACATAAATAACAGAGATAGAAATACAAATATAAATTCCAGGCACTGGCACTGTCTAAGGGGCAAACCGGGCCTCAAAGCCCCCCATGCAGGATCATTTGCAAGCACACGGTCGTGTGTGCACGTGGCCTCTGCGTGATTCTAAGTGACCCTCTGCACAGGCTGTGTCCAATTTTAATTTAAGGAGCAAAAGGAACATAAACAAGAGTCCAAGGAGTGCAGCCCGTGGCCTGCTCTTCAGTGTCCTCCGCTTGACAGGCTGTGGTCCCAGAACCAGGCTACACACACTTCCTGTTTGGTCTGGAATCCTGTGGATGGGCCCTGCTGGTCTGAGGTCCAGAAACGGTCCCCAGAGCTGCCCCGTCCAGGCCTTCTGGGCATTTCCTGCAGGGGCTGCACCCAGCTTCCTTGTCCCTTCCTTGGCCGCATGTCTTGGCACCTGTGACCTCCTGGCCACACCTCTGCCCTTGGCCTCCTCCGGGCTCCTCAGCCTGCCTGGATGCTGATGAGGGCCTTGGCAAGGCATGGTGCTACAGGGGGCACAGCGTGGAGCTCCCTCGACCTCATCAGCTGGGGACCCAGACATGCCTTCCAGACCTGTCCAGGCAGCCTCCTCCTCAGGCCCTTCGTGTCTCCCCTGCCTCCCACTCCAGCACCCCTGAAAACACCCAGGTCAGGGCCCACCTCAGGCTGGCCCACTGGGCAGTGCCCTCCCAGGGCACCGTGAGCCTTTTCCTCCCCATGACCCTCTCTCCAGGGGGACAGCAGAAAGCCCATCCTCTCCCTCCAGGGGGTGCTGCTGACTCTGTGGTCCCCTGAATGAGACCATCACTGTCACTGCTGAAGCCACGTCACAGTGGCCAGGCCCACCCAGGCCTCCCACCAGACAGGCTCGGCTCTGGGCCACTCATCTCCTGGACCAGCGCTAGGATGCACACCCCTCCAAAAATAAGAAGGAGGGCAGTGGGTTCCGAACTCAGGTTTAGAAAAAACACCAAGACAGTGTGGTCCCTTTGCTGAGCTCCCCGCCGGCCAAGTGTGTTCAAAGGGTGTGCCTCCATCCCAGCCTAAAGCCAGCTCATGCGCGTCACCAGCCTGCAGACAGCTCTCCCCAAGGCAGGATGTGGGTGGCTTCCAGCTGGGAGACAAGGGTCCCACAGGGCGGCCCTTGCAGACATGGGGGCTCTGCCTCGAATGCCTGGTCAGTCTCCACCTAGAAGACAGACATTCCCTGTAATTTCTGAAGTGGGAGTTCTTTCACTTCAGCCTCAAAAAGTGTTTCTGAGTGGAGGGCTCTATCTTTATCCATAGCTACCATCTCAGGCAGCAGTAATAAAATGGTAGAGTAAGTGAGTGTGTGTGTGTGTGTGTGTGTGTGTGTGAGAGAGAGAGAGAGAGAGAAAGAGAGGAGAGAGAGAGAGAGAGAAGTGGGGCGGGTGGCAAAGCAAATTAAATGCTGATTGCCACTCAACAGGGACGAGTTAACTCTGGGCCCTG
Organism: Homo sapiens; assembly: GCF_000001405.40. Lineage (NCBI taxonomy): Eukaryota > Metazoa > Chordata > Mammalia > Primates > Hominidae > Homo > Homo sapiens. Next base: position 240,300,265 of record NC_000002.12, read on the forward strand.
GCCTGTGACAGCACCCTTGTCATTCTCATGCTCCCCAGTCTCCCTCTGACTCCTGCAATCGTGCACCTGGTGGCTGTGTGTGAGCTGCCTCATAAACTGTGAAAGCAGGCTCCCAGACCCCAAAACCATGACCCCCAGGAGGCAGGTGTTGGCTGAGTCTCCAGAGCCAGCACAGAGCCCAACACCAGCTGCATTCCTGGGCAATTGTCTGGATGGGAGTGAGCGGCCCTTTCCTGCTGCACGGTGGGTCCTCAGGCATCAGAACAGCACCCTGCCTGGCCAGGGAGCCTTTGACTGACAGGCCAGGCGGGAGTCTGGGCCTCGGGATCAGGGGAAGGGAGATAGACAAAAACGATGCCCCAGACACTGGTGGGGGTGCCGAGGGCACCGGGAAAGGCAGAGCATGCCTGTGACGTGAGCCAGAGCCTTCTGAGGAAGGGCTGGGGGCCCCTCCCAGCCATCCGGAGCTCAGGCTGAGTTTGTGGTCCAGCACAAGATGTTCTCACTTGGGCCTGTCCCAGGCCACAGCAGGAGAACGGGAGACCAGTCTGGCTGGAAACACTGAATCCAGTCTCAGACCAGAATGGACACTTCAGGGCCACTTTCTGAAGCACACAGCCTCGCAGCCATGGCTTTTGGTCTTGTGGCCATTTCCCGACTCTCTGGGAGCCGATCTCAGTTGCTTGCCCTGACTTTTCCAGCTCAGGGTCCTATCCACTTCATGAACAAGGAGTATGCCTGGGCCTGGAACTCACAGCTCCCTGGGGCCTCATTCGAAGGACAGTCGACAGATGGAGAAACAGCCCCCAGGGCCTGGCACAGGGGACTGACCCAGCGCCAGCGTGTGCCTGAGCCAGCTCGTGCCAGCTCATGAGAGCCCACTGTCCTCTTCCCATCTCTGCATCATCAGCTTGAAGTCAGCCATGCCAGGAGTGTTTACACCATGGGAATCAGCAAACACTAGAAATAGGGGACTTTGTTTTTTCTTTGAGAGTCCGTTGTTCAACATTTACCAGCACACACAAGGGTTGATGAGTACGTTCCCCAGCCTGGGACAAAACCCGTCCTTTCCCACTGCCCTTCTCTTTTTGTTGGTAATTCATATGTCCACCCAATACTCACTTCATGCCACCTGCTCTGTGCCAGGCACTGGGGTGGGTGCTGGAAAGGCAAAGGTAGTTGGACACAGGCTCTGCCCTCCAGGAACCCAGGGGCTGGGAGGACCTGATGACGGCTGAGCGTTAACAGTTCCGACAGGAGGGAGTGCAGGACACCCGCTAGGGGAGGGAGAGAAGCGGCTCCGGGTACAGAGCACAGCCCCTACCAAGGACAAGAAGTTTCGGAGGCCACAGAGCTTCAAAGGACCACGTATGGCTCTGCATGCCAGGGAGGAGGGTAAGCTGGGGGCAGGAATGAGGAAATCAGAGACACCAGCAGGGACAGGATCGTGGCCAGCCCGTGTGCCTGCTGTGAGTGTTCACTGTGTCCTGGGGGCAATGGGGGCTAGGGCCAGGCCAGGGGGAGGAACCTGCTGGGGCCCACCATTTGGGAATAAAAACGGTCTTCTCATATTTTAGTGAAACCAGGTCAAATATTTTATCACAATTAGTTGATTCAAAAGGGAGCCCCTGGTCACCACTGACTCTTCCTTCGTTAGCTGTTTTCTAAGGTTGTCAAAGCCAGAGACTACGAGAAGGAGATGGAGACCCTCGGTAAGTCAGATGGTGCACAGCAGAGTAGGGGAGGCCAACCTGAGCCCTAAACCTGCAGAAGAGATCTGCCAACACAGAGTGGCTCTCACTCTCCATACTCCAAGGCCAGGCATCAAGTGTGCACCACAAGCAGAGAGCAAGACGTTCACAGGTTGCCTTTCCATCTGTGGCTGAAAATCCTCAGTCCAGGGTTTCTGATGCCCTTGATTTTGTAAGCTGTCCTGCCATCGCATTAGGTATTCAGGTGCCCAGCCTGATGCTCTTGGCAATGACCAATTGCTTCCACCACCCTTGTTCCAGGAGAGTACAGCATCCCGTGGATCAGATCCACCATCCTTGTTCCAGGAGAATGAAGCATCCCGTGGACCAGGTCCACTGTCCTTGTTCCAGGAGACTGCAGCATCCCGTGGACCAGGTCCACCATCCATGTTGCAGAAGAGTGCAGCATCCCATGAACCAGGTCCACTATTCTTGTTGCAGGAGAGTACAGCATCGCATGGACAAGGTCCACCAGCCTTGTTCCAAGAGAGGGCAGCATCCCATGGACCAGGCCTACTGTGCTTGTTGCAGGAGATGTAGATGTTACCCAGAGCCGTGCTGGGAGTCACTCATATTGGTTCAAGGGTGTAGGACAGATGTTGACCCCCAGAAAGGGAGAGAAACACCTGAGCAGCATCCTATGGACTAGGTCCACTGCTCTTGTTCCAACAGAGGGCAGCATCCTGTGGACCAGGCTCACTGTCCTTGTTCCAGGAGACTGCAGCATCCCGTGGACCAGGTCCACCATCCATGTTGCAGAAGAGTGCAGCATCCCATGAACCAGGTCCACTATTCTTGTTGCAGGAGAGTACAGCATCGCATGGACAAGGTCCACCAGCCTTGTTCCAAGAGAGGGCAGCATCCCATGGACCAGGCCTACTGTGCTTGTTGCAGGAGATGTAGATGTTACCCAGAGCCGTGCTGGGAGTCACTCATATTGGTTCAAGGGTGTGGGACAGATGTTGACCCCCAGAAAGGGAGAGAAACACCTGAGCAGCATCCTATGGACTAGGTCCACTGCTCTTGTTCCAACAGAGGGCAGCATCCTGTGGACCAGGCTCACTGTCCTTGTTGCAGAAGAGGGCAGCATCCCATGGACCAGGTCCAGATGAGGCCAGACTTTGTCCTTCTATAAGAGGTGCCAGCCCACTTGCCTAAGGCTCAGTGCTATCCCCTTATTGCCTTCTCTAGCCCAGGTCTGACTATTGGGTCTTCCATTCACCCTCTCTACTCCTAAGCAACAAGAGTGAGCCACAGTCCAGCTGAAGATACAGAGATGAGCAGCCCAGACCTTAGCCCCTAGTCACCCCAACTCTCCTTCAAAAGCTGGTGCATAGGGCTTAAGTGTGTGAGTTTGGATTGACTCAGCCAACATTCACTCCCTTCCCTCTCCCACTGTGGGTGGGATAGACTCTTTCCTGTCCCATTGGTTTTGGGTTTGGTCATATGACATCTTTTGGCCAGCGGAACATTCTCAGACTGCACCTGAGCCAAGGACTTCTGTGCACTTCCACATTTTACCAGGGCTCCTGTCCATCTGGGATGTTATAAGGAAAGCATTCCTCATGAGTTGTTAGCTCTTCAGCTTGGTCCCCAGAACAAACACACATGGAACAGATTTGATTCTTATCCTTCATGAGAAGCCACATGCACCCAACTTGCAGATAGTCAGAGCCTCCAGCACAGCCTGGATCATCAGAATGCTGATCAGCCTGCAGACCCACGAGTGGGGGAGCAAACGCCTATTTTTGCACACCCCACAGTTGGGAGGCAGTTAGTATCCAGCACTACTGTGGCAGTGCTGATCAGTGATTTTTAGAAAGGAATCAGAATCCATATTGCCAAGTACACGGGCACTGAGGTTAGCTCTTCCCAGGGGGTGAAGCCCAAGTAGGAGATTACACAGTTCCTGAATGACCCCTGAATTGCTCAGGAAATGATATGGCACTGGGGTTTTGTATCTGAAACTCTTCAGCCTGACCTCATCTTGCCCTTGTGACCTTCCTATCAGATAGCCTGGAGGGCTGACCTAACGCGTGTCCCCCTGCCTCCAGCTTTCTCCAGCTCCCTCCAGCCTCAGCGCCCACTACAGACTCTGCCACTTGCTCTCTTCTCTCTGAGGCCTCAGCTCAGCTCTGACCTGGTGTCATCCTGGGGCCAAGCCATTGAGGAGTTTCAAAATGAGGGAGTCCTTTCTCCTCAGCTTTCCATTAGATGCCTGATAAAAGCTAAGAGTTCACAGGGCCCACGTGGTGGGGCGCAGGCAGAGTGCACCCTGCAAGTGGCTCAGGGCTGGTGTCAGCACCCTTCCTGGATCTTCGCCGACCCAGAGCCACCACGAGCTCTTATCTAGAGAATCCTTTATGAGGTTCTGTGAGGCCACCAAGGTCTTTGAGCAGTCGCTTCTTGTTTCTTCTGTCAACTGCCAAACACATTTGTCACGAAAGGACACTGGGGGAAAGGAATGTAGCCTAGGTCCCGTCCCCTTGTCAAAGCCGCCACAGAAGCCACCACTGGGCGTGCTCAGAGGCTGTGACCAACGCTGCCAGCTCCAGCCACCGTCCTCCAGGCCACACGAAGAAGGCCCGGGGCTCTCCAGAGGCTGAGGGCGTCAATGTCCACCCCGACCAGCCCTCAGAGACACCACGGGGCGAGAGGGGGTGTCCTGCCCCCACAAGCCGAGTGAGGAGGCGTCACGGAGATCACGGCTGCCAGAGTGGCTTAGATGCTGCCCAGAGCCATGCTGGGAGTCACTCGCCCTGGTTCAAGGGTGTAGGACAGATGTTGACCCCCAAACAGCAAGAGAAACGCCTGAGTTAATTGAGTGACCTGTGCAGGGGAAGGCCTGGACTCCAAGATCCAGGGGCCAAAGGAGACGTCGGCGCAGCCAGTTGTAAGAGAAATAATTCAGTGGGGTTATAACGGGGAGATCTGAAGTGAAGGGGGAGCCCCCGAGGCCATGGCAGTGTCCCAGCAAACACTCCAGCCACCTCACCTCCTCCAGCCACGTGGGCCTGCTCCGTCCCCTGGTGCGCCCTCCTCGCCAGCTCCCAGCCTGGGACAGCCCCTTGATGGGGAGGAGAGCATGTGGCAGATGAATGGGGGCTCAGGATGAACCCCCGGGGGGCTATTTTAAACATGGAAAGAAACCATTCCTATGCCTGATAAGGACCTGCGGAGGGAGATGTGGGACTTTACCGAGACCCCATCCAGAGCTGGAGAGCTGAGTCCAGAGAGCAGGGAGGAGAGGGGCTGTGGGGAAAGAGCAGAGCTGCTCCCCTCTGCATGAGGCCCCAGATTCGCAAGTCCCAGGTGATCCACACCCCAGGTCATCTGCTCTGTTAGAGTTGTGCAGAGGAAGGAATAGCTCTGAAACCTTTCAAACCAGCAAAGCCCCCGCGAGGTAAAGAAAAAAAAAAACCTATAAATACACACACACGCACACACACATACACCCTTACACACCTAGCTCCACGTGGCTCTATACACATTACCTACATGATCTACGAGTCGTCTAAAAGAGTGCTTGTCCTCGGGAGGCGGAGCAAGCCGAGGTCGCGCCACTGCACTCCAGCCTGAGCGTCAGAGCGAGACTCCGTCTCAAAAAAAAAAAAGGAATGGTTCTCAAAGTGTGGTCCACAGACTCCTGGAGTTTCCTGAGACTCTGTCATGGGTTTCCCAAGGTCAGAACTGTTTTCAGGGTAATACAAAGGCAAATGTCACCACGTTTGCACTGAGATACAAAAGCAGCTGTCACTCAAACTGCTGGTGCCTCAGCAGGAATCAGGACAGCGGCACCCAGAAACGCAGTAGTCATGGCGGTGGTCACCGCCACATATCTGCAGGAAAGAAAATGCAAATTTTACTTAAAATGTCCTTGATAAAACCATCCAAATTATTAACTTTTTAAAAATCGCAATCCTTTGTTTGTTTGTTTGTTTGTTTGTTTGTTTGTTTTTGAGAGGGAGTCTGGCTCTGTCACCCAGCCCGGTGGTGCAATTGGCTCACTGCAACCTCCATCTCCTGGGTTCAAGCAATTCTCCTGCCTCAGCCTCCTGAGTAGCTGAGATTACAGGTGCCCACCATCAGGCCTGGCTAATTTTTGTATTTTTAGTAGAGATGGGGTTTCACCATGTTGGCCAGGCTGGTCTCGAACTCCTGACCTCAAGTGGTCCGCCCACCTCAGCCTCCCAAAAAGTGCTGGGATTACAGGCATGTGCCACCGCACCCCGCCTAAAAATCCAAATTCTTAAGTATACATCTCTTTAATATTCTGCATGACAAAATGGGAAGTGCAGGTAAAGCACTTTTGCGGTCTACTGACGCCAACTGGAAAAAGCACATGTTAGGATCATTTCAGTTGCCCGCTGCACTGGCCGCCTTTTTCGTGGAACACCATTTTAATTTGAAAAAAAAAAAAAAAGACTAATGGACAAATTATGGCTAATTGGACTTGGGTATTTTGCAGACATTTTTCTCAAGAATGAATGAAATGAATCTTTGGCTTCAAAAAAAGCAACCGATAATATCTGTTGCCAATGATAAAATTCAAGCTTGCAAGCAAAAACTAGAATTTTGGAAAATTTGCATAATGAGCTTGATAACATCCCCACACTTAAAGGCTTTTCTGGTGAGACTGACGGTGTTACTAATAAAGGCGATTTTTGATATACTAAGATGTATCAATAATTCAGGAGAGCCACATACATCCGTGAACAAGGGTGTTCGAAATGACTAAAGAGTGTTTTTTATAAAATCGCTCACGGGTGAAAACAAATGCCATGTGCAAGATAGACCAGGAGGTGTTAACAGAACAAAGACAAGTTCTTTCTTTGATATGGTTTCAGATCCTACATTACAACCAATCTTCAAGAAACTACTGTTTGTCAAGTTTTAGTGTGGTGTCAAAGAATAATATCCACAGCTATCTAAAAATGTGATTTAGGCCAGGCGCGGTGGTTGAAGCCTGTAATCCCAGCACTTTGGGAGGCTGAGGTGGGTGGATCATGAGGTCAGGAGATCGAGACCACCCTGGCTAACATGGCGAAACCCCGTCTCTACTAAAAAAAAAAAAAAAAAAAATACAAAAAAATTAGCTGGGCGTGGTGGCAGGTGCCTGTAGTCCCAGCTACTCGGGAGGCTGAGGCAGGAGAATGGTGTGAATCCGGGAGGCGGAGCTTGCAGTGAGCCGAGATCACGCCACTGCACTCCAGCCTGGGTGACAGAGCAAGACTCCATCTCAAAAAAAAAAAAAGTGATTTAAATACTCCTCTCTTTTCCAGCTATCTGTCTGTATGAGGCCAGATTTTCTTCATATACTTCAGCTGAGACAGGATATACCAGCAGATTGAATGCAGAAACAGATAGGAAAATCCAGCTGTCTTCTATCAAGCCAAACACTAAAGAGATTTGGCAAAATGTTTAAAAAAAAAAAAGCGCCACTTCTGTCCATTTTGGGGGGGGGGTTCAGAAAATAGAATTATGTTTTTCATCAAAAGTTAAGATATCTGTGCTGACATGTAATGGGTTTGTAATGGTTAATTTTTGGTGAATTAACAAATGAATATTTAAAATTGTTCTCTAATTTTTAATGTCAATTTGATAGCTATAACCCATATACACAAACACGGCCCTATGCGAATCTGGAGATCAACTGAGAAGTTTTTGAGAACTGCTGATCTAAAACCATGTGTCACTGCTTTCCAAGCCAGCAGATAGAACTCAGCCCGTCTGCTGATCAGAAAGTCACCCCCACTCCAGAACACACCCCACCATCGTCTTACCCCCATCACTGTGGAGCCCGCGGCTTGTAAGTTTCAGTGTTCATCCTATTAATTAAGACCCTTCGAAAGCAAAAGGATATTTTCTTTTTCATTTGCAAAGAAACTCATCATCACTGTAGAAAATTTAGAAAATATAGAGAACTAATAGAAAAAATCTACCACCCAGAGACAACCATTTTGACATTTTCCTTCCACCTTGTATTCAGGTGGTTTTGGTTTGCTGTTGGACTGTTCTCTCTGATGCAAGCCGCTGGGAGGGTGAATGCAATGCCTCAGTCATCACAGGATGACCTTGGGGTGCCTGGTGCCTCGGGACCGCACACCCCATGCCCCATGCTCTGTCTCCTCTTCCACCGTTTACCTTTCTCTCTGGGGGTTCCTGAGCTGGGCTAATTTGCAGAAGGACTCTGGAGAGCACGGCCAAGGTGCTCCTGAATCTGGCCCTGGCCCCGGCACCTCCAAGGCCTGCACATCTTCTCCGCCTCTCCCTTGCTCCAGGGGAGGAGCCATGGCCTCCCAGCCACACCGAGTCCCGTAAGCTCGGGCCCACCCTCCCTGCGCCCACCTCAGGGGCTCTCGGTGACCTATGGGGGCACACAGGGTGTGAGGGACAGTATAGGGGTGCAGCTGTTTCCGAGGGCTGCTGTACCAACCTGCCACAAACCCGGAGGCAGATAGGAACAGACTTATTCTTGCACAGCCTGGAGGCCGGAGTCTGAGATCAGGCATTGCCTGGTCCTCCTGGGGCTCTGAGGGGAGCCTGTTCCGTGCCTCTCTCCCATTTCTGTTGGCCTTGGCAGCCTGTGGCGATCCGTGGCCAGTACACATCACTCCAGTCTCAGCCTTCCCCGCACAGGGCCTTCTCCTCCATGTGTCTCCGTGTGTATCTCTGTGTGTGTCTCTGTGTGTGTGTTTCTGTGTCTCTGTGTGTCTCTGTGTATGTCTCTGTGTGTGGGTCTCTGTGTGTATGTGTCTATGTATGTGTGTCTGTGTGTCTCTGTGTGTGTGTGTCTCTGTGTGTGTCTATATATGTGTGTCTGTGTGTGTCTCTGTGTGTGTGTCTGTGTGTGTCTCTGTGTGTGTCTCTGTGTGTATGTGTCTATATATGTGTGTCTGTGTGTGTGTCTCTGTGTGTGTCTATGATGTGTGTCTGTGTGTGTTTCTGTGTGTGTCTTTGTGTGTGCCTGTGTGTGTGTGTCTATGATGTGTGTCTATGTGCATGTATGTGATATGTCTATGTGTGTGTGTCTGTGCGTCTGTATGTGTATCTATGATATGAATCTGTGTATGTCTGTGTGTGTTTATGATGTGTGTCTGTGTGTCTCTGTGTGTGCCTGTGTGTCTATATGTGTCTGCATGTCTGTGTGTATCTCTGATGTATATTTATGTGTGTGTTTGTGTATGTCTGTGTGTATGTCTGCATGTGTTTCTGTGTGTGTCTCTGTGTGTGTCTGTGTCTATAATGTGTGTCTATGTGTGTCTTTGTGTATGTGCCTATGTGTGTCTGTGTGTGTCTTTGTGTGTGTGTCTCTGTGTGTATGTCTGTGTGTGTGTGTCTGTGTGTGTCTCTGCATGTGTGCCTGTGTGTGTCTATAATGTGTGTCTGTGTGTATCTCTGTGTGTGTGTCTCTGTGTGTGTGTCTATGATGGGTGTGTGTACCTCTGTGTGTCTCTGTGTGTATGTCTATGATGGGTGTGTGTATCTCTGTGTGTGTGTCTCTGTGTGTGTGTCTATGATGGGTGTGTTTGTCTCTGTGTGTGTCTATGATGGGTGTCTGTGTGTATCTCTGTGTGCACGTCTATGATGGGTGTCTGTGTGTGTCTCTGTGTGTGTGTTTCTGTGTGTGTCTCTGTGTGTGTCTGTGATGGGTGTCTGTGTGTATCTCTGTGTGTGTGTATCTTTGTGTGTCTATGATGGGTGTGTGTATCTCTGTGTGTGTGTCTCTGTGTGTCTATGATGGGTGTCTGTGTGTGTCTCTGTGTGTGTGTCTATGATGGGTGTCTCTGTGTGTCTCTGTGTGTGTGTCTCTGTATGTGTGTCTATGATGGGTGTCTGTGTGTGTCTATGTGTGTCTGTGTGTCTTTGATCTTTCTTATAAGGACACACTCATTGGATTCAGACCCTCCTAATCCAATATGACCTCATCTTAACTAACTACATCTGCCGAGACCCTATTTCCAAATAAAGTCCCATTCTGAGGTTCTGGGTAGCCACAAATTTGGGGGAAACCTATTCCACAAGAAAGAACTGTTTCCTCATCCTCCCAAGCTGCCTGCTTTGTTTCCAAACCTCAGATTTGCTGGCAGCATCAGGAGTGAGCCTCTCTCTCCCCACCTCCCCTACCTCCCAGGGCCCCTCCTGTCCCCCCTCCTGTCCCCAAGCACAGAGTAGGGACTTCTCTGCTGGGTGGCCCTGGAGTCCAGGCCGGCATGGGGGACTTCTTCTGACCACACTTACTCTCCAGGGTCAGGGTCCAGAGCCTCGGGCCTTAGGAAGGGCGTCTGGGGTCACGGCTCTGGGCCCCGGGTCTCAGAGACCTCTCGTCGGGGGTGGCCATGAAGCAGGCCTGGACCCTCTGAATCTCTGGCTGGGTGAAAGTCAGCCCTCCGGACCCACATCTGCCCAGAGGTAGGCTTCCATTTTGGCCAGTAGAGGCGGGAGGGGGAGAGGGAAGGAATTGGAGGCCTGATTGTGCCACCTTCTCCCATCATGCAGTAATAGGTTGGATACTGTGGTCTCTGTTGACCTGGGACGCCCATTTCTCCCTTGGCCACCACCCATGCAAGGAGGGGATGAGATCTGTGCTTTGAAGCCCCAACTGTCGGGATCTCATCCACCCTCCTTTAGTTGATGGGAGAGTTCTAGATTTGTTGTTACTCTTTGCCTGAAGGTAGAGAACTCAGCACTTTTGGGCGGCGTAGGGTCCCTAAATACACCTGGGGTGGCCCATCTGGTGCTCTCCTGGGAACCGGATTTGCCCTGCTGGCTTCTCACACAGTCCACACCAAAGCTGCTCTGCCGGCTTCTCACACGGTCCACACCAAAGCTGCTCTCCTCGGCCCTGCTGAGGCTGCACCTGCAACTGTGGGGTCTACATGGCCATGGACGGCACAAAGAGGCCCTTTCCAAGCCCCCAGTCTCCTTCTCAATGTGGTGGAGACTCCAGACTTCTGAGGTTCCCCGACACCTGCTCAGGCCATGGGGTCTCTGTAATTCCCGAAACCACTTGCAAATGGCTTTCTAATTCTGACTATTATGGTTGGGTCAGAGTCGTTTTGTCTTCTTGATATCCGCCCCTGGCTTGTCAAAGCCGCCTCCCCCAGAAGCCCCATTTCAGAGCCAGTGCTCCTTCATCCTCTGCTTTCTTTGAGGAGTGGCCTATCCTGTCTCAGATTTTAGGCAGTTGCAGGCGCTGAGCGATACCTTCCGAGGAGACACATGACTGGCAAGAGTGACAAGGGGTCTATAAATTCTCTTGTCACAAGAGCCAGAAAAAAAAAACCCTTTAATCCAAAGAGGTATGTGTATGATAATTAACATTTTTAAAACAAAAGAATATCACAGACGCTGACAGGAGTGACAGACAAGGGGAGCGCAGCCCTGTCTCCTCTCAGCTCCTCACACACTGGGGCCATCGCAGGCCCCTCCCCAACACTGTGCAAGAAATCAATTTTACATGAATTACAGGGAGATACAGAAGGAAAGGCTATAAATACTTTAGAAAACAATATAGGGGAATATGTTCATGCTTTAGAAATAACAAAGACTTGGCGGGGCGCGGTGGCTCACGCCTGTAATCCCAGCACTTTGGGAGGCCGAGGCGGGTGGATCACAAGGTCGGGAGATCGAGACAAACCTGGCTAACACAGTGAAACCCCATCTCTACTAAAACTACAAAAAATTAGCCGGGTTTGGTGGCGGGTGCCTGTACTCCCAGCTACTCAGGAGGCTGAGGCAGGAGAATCGCTTGAACCAGGGAGGCGCAGATTGCAGTGAGCCGAGATCCTGCCACTCCACTCCAGCCTGGCGACAGAGTGAGACACCGTCTCAAAAAAGAAAAAAAAGAAAGGACCGGTTCTCCATTTCTAGCAATGGTCATCTTTCTTTTTTGTTTTCTTTCTTTCTTTTTTTTTTCAGTAGACTAATAATTCTGCTAGAAACAACTAGGAAATCTGGACCCTATACAGAAAATTAATTGTGTGAAGGTGTTGGCGAGAACTGCCAGTCAATGAGGATTTGCCAGACTGAGAGCCCAGAGAAAGGGACATTTGGAAAGGCAGTTCTCCATTCTCCTCAAGACACAGAGGCCGAGTCTGAGAGTCTAAGCAGAGTTTCCAGCCATCTCACAGGACTAGCGGGGGAAAAATGGGTGTTCATCTTCTCAAAGAGGACTTAGGGGCAGGAGATTCAGTAAGCAATCCAGCATTTCAGGTGGGGCCCTCTGGAAGTGTGAGTACAACAGAAAGAACTAGATCAGCCCGTTTGGAGATGAAAGCTCACCTTCCAATCAGCTCAATCCCAGACTGGATTAGGATGATCTTTCCGAAGCAAACCCTCGTGCTTATCCAAGCAAAAGTAAATCCTAGCTGTAAGAAACTAAAGCCACCCAGAACTTCAATTTAACTCAGTCATTATTATTTTTACTTTTATTTTTTAAATTTTTTATTTCCATAGGGTTTTGGGAAGCAGGTGGTATTTGGCTACATGAGTAAGTTCTTTAGTGGTAATTTGTGAGATTTTGGTGCACCCATTACCCGAGAAGTATACACTGAACCCAATTTGTAGCCTTTTATCCCTCACCCCTCTCCCACCCTTTCCCCTGAGTCCCCAAAGTCCATTGTATCATTCTTATTTATTTACTTATTTATTTATTTATTTAAGATGGAGTCCCACTCTGTCACCCAGGCTGGAGTGCAGCAGCGCAGTCTCGGCTCACTGCAACCTTCACCTCCCAGGTTCAAGTGATTCTCCTGCCTCAGCCTCCTGAGTAGCTAGGACTACAGGTGCCCGCCACCACGCCCGCTAATTTTTGTGTATTTAGTAGAGATGGGGTTTCACCATGTTGGCCAGGCTGGTCTCGAACTCCTGACCTCAGGTGATCCACCCGCCTCAGCCTCCCAAAGTGCTGGGATTATAGGCATGAGCCTCCACGCCCGGCCCATTGTATCATTCTTATGAGTTTGCATTCTCATAGCTTAGCTCCAACCTGTGAGTGAGAAATACAATGTTTGGTTCTCCATTCCTGAGTTACTTCACTTAGAATAATAGTCTCCGGTTCCTTCCAAGTTGTTGCAATTGCCATTAATTCATTCCTTTTTATGGCTAAGTAGTATTCCATCCTATACAGATGTAGCACAATTTCTTTCTCCACTCATTGATGGATGGGCATTTGGGCTGGTTCCATATTTTTGCAATTGCAAATTGTGCTTCTATAAACATGTATGTGCAGGTATCTTTATCGCATACTGACTTCTTTTCCTCTGAGTAGGTACCCAGTAGTGGCACTGCTGGATCAAATAGTACTTCTGCTTTTAGCTCTTTAAGGAATCTCCGTACAGTTTTCTATAGTGGTTATACTAGTTTACGCTCCTACCAGCAGTGTAGAAGTGTTCCCTTTTCACCGCATCCATGCCAACATCTATGATTTTTTGATTTTTCAAATATGGTTATTCTTGCAGGAGTAAGGTGGTATCGAACTGTGGTTTTGATTTGCATTGTCCTGATCATTAGTGATGTTCAGCATTTTTTTCATGTGTTTGCTGGCCATTTGTATATCTTCTTTTGAGAATTGTCTATTTATGACTTTAGCCCACTTTTTGATGGGATTGTTTGTTTTTTTCTTGCTAATTTGAACTTAACTCAGTAATTTTTAAAACATAGCTATGGGCAATTAAAAGTTGCCAGTCATATCAAAAGATAAGATCACTCAACAGTAAACAATGGGAAAATATAAATATTCCAACAGAACCAAAGACAGTCTAGATACGAGATATATCAAATACAAATTTAAAATAACTATGATTAATATAATCGAGAAAAGAGATGGCAAGATGGAGAACTTTATCAGAAAACTGGAATTTTTTTTAAATCAAATAGGAATTCTAGAACTGAAATACCCAGTAATGAAATTAAGAAATCAATGGCTGGATTTAACAGCTGATTAGACATAGCAGAAGAGAAGATTCCTGAACTGGAAGAGAGGGCAATTTAAAAAATCTGTCTAAAGTGAGAAAATTTTTCAAAGATGGAAAGTACATTTTAAAAGTATGAGAGGGGGCCAGGCGCGGTGGCTCACGCCTGTAATCCCAGCACTTTAGGAGGCAGAGGCAAGGGGATCACAAGGTCAGGAGATCGAGACCATCCTGGCTAACACGGTGAAACCCCATCTCTACTAAAAAAATACAAAAAATTAGCCAGGCATGGTGGTGGGCACCAGTAGTCCCAGCCACTCAGGAGGCCAAGGCAGGAGGATTGCTTGAACCCTGGAGTTGGAGGTTGCAGTGAGCCGAGATCGCACCACTGCACTCCAGCCTGGCGATAGAGTGAGACTCTGTCTCAAAAAATAAATAAATAAATAAATAAATAAAAAATAAAAGTATGAGAGAAATATAGGGCATGGGGGCCATGGGAAGGGTCTCATCCACGTGAATTCACAGCACCCACGGGAGTTGGGAGAGAGCCATGAACCCAGTGTTTGAGAGGAATGGCCAAGAATTTTCCAAAATGAGGAAATGATTTAAATGACAGAAACATGACGCCCTCCAAAGCCAGAGCATGAATAAGACAAAGGAAAGCACACCTAGGCACACACCACAGCAAAACTGCTGTAAACAAAAGGCCAAATGAAGTCTTAAAATCTGCCAGAAAATATACAGAGAGTACTCACGAAGGAACAACAATAGGGCTGATAGGTGGCTTCTCAAGATAACCAGTGGAAGCCAGAAGACAGTGACACCCTTTTTTCAGTGCATTAAAGAGACAAAACAAAAACTGCCCACCTAGAATCCACAAAGCAAAAACATCCTTCAAAAATGAAATTGAAAAAAGACCTTTCAGACAAAAACTGATGGATTTCAACACTCACAGGCAGACTAAAGGAAATTCTAAAGAGTACTTTTCAGGCAGAAAGGAAATGATCCCAGAGAAGGCCGAGAATGCATAAAGGAATAAGTTGCAATGGGAAGGAAAAAAAACAGATAAGTCTAAATGCATATCACCTGTATGAAACAAAAATAGTAATGTCATGTGACGTATATAAAGATACGTAAAGAAGATAGACGTCAAAACAATAGCAAATAAGCTAACATGCGAATAAGTTGAATCAAACTTTAAAGCACCCTGCATTTGCAAAGAAGAAAAAACACCAACTTATATTACATTTTTATATCAAGAATTAATTTTTTCATTTCAAAGGTAACCACTGGGGGAAAAAATAGCAAAAGGAAGAAGTATAACTAGTAAATTAAAAAGGGAAAAATGAGGACAAGGAGTTAATCCAAGAGATACAAGAAAGAAAAAGGAATTCAAATTTGTATGCATCTGATAAAATTGTCTTAAATACATATGTATTTCTATATAAACTTATACACATATACATATATAAAAATAAATAGGCATACATATGTGTACACACATTGCATATTGCATTAACATATTATACATACATTTGTGTGTATATTTATAAATTAACAAAATAAAAGAAAAATCATATGATTATCTCAATAAATGAAGAAAAGTATTTGTCAAAATTCAGCATCTATCCATTTCAGCAGTATAGAAATGACAATAAATAAGTTTATCAAGGTTGCAGAATACAACATTAATATAGAAACTCAACTGGACACAACCAACGAACAACCCAAAATGAATTAAGAAAACAATTCCACTTGTAATAGTATCAAAAATAATAAAATATTTTGTAATAAAGTTAACCAAAGAAGTACAACATTTATACACAAAAACTACAAAACATTATTGTAAGAAATTAAGGAATATCTAAATAATGGAAAGACTTCCCATGTTCATGGATTGGAACATTTATATTGTTAAAATGGCAGTACTCCTCAAATTGATGTACAGATTCAACTCAATCTCTATCAAAATCCTAGCTAGATTTTTTTTTGCAAAAATTAACAAGCTGATTCTACAATTCATATGGACATGCAAGGGACCAATAATAGCTAAAACAATTTTGAAAAAGAACAAATTTGGAGGACTCACACTTCTCAATTTCAATATATAGCTGAAGTTATATAGCTGCAATATTTCAAAGCTATACTAATGAAGGCATAATGATAGACATACAGATCAATGGGATATAACTGAAAGTTCAGAAATAAACCCTTAAATTTATGGTCAGTTGATTTTCGACAAAGATACCAAGACAATGTAATTGGGAAATAATTGTCTTCTCAACAAATTTGTGCAGGACAACTGGACATCCATATGCAAAAGAATGAAGTTGGACCCCTACCTCACATTATATACAAAAGTTAACTCAAAGTGGAACATAGACCTAAATGTAAGAGCCAAAACTACAACAATCCTAAAAGAAAGCATAGGGATAAATTTTTATGACATTAGGTTAGGAAATGGATTCTTAGATATGACATGAAAAGTACAGACCACAAAGGAAAAAAATAGGTACACTGGACTTCATCAAAATGGAAACCTGTGTGAGGCACAGGATATCATCAAAAAACTGAAGAGACCAACAGAGTGGGAGAAAATACTTCCAAATTATATATACCTGATGAAGGACTTGTATCCAGAATATGTAAAGAACTCTTACGATTAAATAATCCAAAGACAAAATATCCAACTACAAAAATGAGTAAAAATTTGAATAGACATCAATCTAAAGAAGATTTACACATGGCCAATAACCATATATGAAAATATATTCAAAATCATTATTCATCAGGCAAACCCCAATGAGACACCACCTCACACCTGCCAAGATAGCTATAACTTTTAAAACAAAAGCAGAAAGAAACAAACAAAAACACCGACAATAATGAACACTGATAATGATCTGGGGAAATTGGGTGCCACATACATTGCTGGTGGGACTGGAGAATTGGTCAGCCTCTTTGGAAAAGTTTGGCAATTCCTCAAAAGGTTAAACATGGAGTTAGCATACTACCCAGTGATTTCATTCCTAAGTATCTACCCATGAGAAATGAACATATATGTTCACACAATATTTGTACACAATTCTCATGGCAGCATTATTCGTAATATCCAAAATATAGAAACAACCGAAATATCCATCAGCTGACCAATGGGTAAACAAAGTGTAGTCTAGCCACATAGAGGTATATTATTCAGCCATAAAGGGATGGAAGCTCTAATACAGGTTCCAACATGGACAGACCTAGAAAACTTTATGCCAAGTGTAAGAAACCAGACATAAAAGACCACATATTGCATGACTGCATTTATGTGAAGTGTCCAGAACAGGCAATCCATGGAGACAGAGTAGCCTAGCGGCTGCCGGAGTTGGAGGGAGGAAGAAATGAGGAGTGATTGCTGATGGGTGGAAGGTTTCTTTTGCGGGTAATGAAGTTTTCTAAAATTACATGGTAGTGGTGGCTGCACACCTCTGTGCCTATGCTGAACACCAGTGCGTTGTATGCTTCAACACAGTGAATTTTATGGAATACAAATTGTATTTCAATGTAGCTATTATTAAGTAGAAGAATGTTGTTAAAGTTTTTTTAACACGCTTAGGCCGGGCGCGGTGGCTCACACCTGTAATCCCAGCACTTTGGGAGGCCGAGGCGGGTGGATCACGAGGTCAGGAGATCAAGACCTCCCTGGCTAACACGGTGAAACCCCGTCTCTACTAAAAATACAAAAAAATTAGCTGGGCGTGGTGGCGGGCGCCTGCAGTCCCAGCTACTCGGGAGGCTGAGGCAGGAGAATGGCGTGAACCCGGGAGGCGGAGCTTGCAGTGAGCCGAGATTGCGCCACTGCACTCCAGCCTGGGTGACAGAGCGATACTCCATCTCAAAAAAAAAAAGTTTTTTTAACTCACTTAAATATTCTAGCATTTTCCTCATTTGTCAAATGGTATTATATTAGTCCATTCTAGCATTGCTATAAAGAAATACCTGAGACTGGGTAATTTATAAAGAAAAGCAGTTTAGTTGGCTCACAGTTCTGCAGGCTGTACAGGAAGCATGGTGGCTTCTTCTCGGGGGTGCCTCAGGGAACTTTTATTCATGGTGGAAGGTAAAGAGGGAGCAGGCATCTCGCACGGCAGGAGCAAGGGGCTGAGAGGGGGTGATACACACTTTTAAAACAAGCAGATCTCATGAGAACTCATTCACCCTATGGTACCAATGGAGGATGGTGCTAAAGCATTCGTGAGAACTCTTCCACCAAGACCCAGTCACCTCTCGCCAGGCCCCACCTCCAACACTGGGGATTAAAATTCAACATGAGGTTTGATGGGGACGCAGATCCAAACCGTGTCACGTGTATTACTTGAATTATGAATATCACTGATTATTGTAAGGAACAAATGTGATCATGTATCAAATATGTTTGAAAACTTAAAAAACTGCTATAGAATTGCCTTTATGCAAACCTGTAACATAGGAACATCGAAAATGTATTTCAGACACTGGACAGGCTGCAGTGCAGGGAAGACGGATCCAAACACTTCCTAGTTGTTTCAATAAGCAGGGAAAAAACAGAAAAACCAAGAATGGAGTTTGGAGAGGCAAAGACACCGAGAATGCACTTGACTGACTACTGGGGAGTGGGGAACTTGGTGGAGAGAGAAACTCGGGGAAGTACTGAGCACTGACCGAGTACTGGGGAGTGGGGCACTTGGTGGAGAGAGAAACTTGGGGAAGTACTGAGCACTGACCGAGTACTGGGCAGTGGGGCACTTGGTGGAGAGAGAAACTCGGGGAAGTACTGAGCACTGACCGAGTACTGGGGAGTGGGGCACTTGGTGGAGAGAGAAACTCGGGGAAGTACTGAGCACTGACCGAGTACTGGGCAGTGGGGCACTTCGTGGAGAGAGAAACTCAGGGAAGTACTGAGCACTGATTCTGCATGTGTGGGGCTTGATTCCTGAAAAAGAACCACCAGAAAGCAGCAGGCTGAACAATCACCAGAGCTCACAGAGGGTTGGGAATAGTTTCCATGCCTACCAGTCAGAATCAAGAGACTTCATGGGACAATGGGAAGAGTCCTCAGTTCGTGATGCTGTGTGGCAGGTACCATGAAGAGGGTGAGGCAGGAGGAGGGGGTGAAGCTGGAGGAGGGGGCGAGGCTGGAGGAGGGGTGAGGCTGGAGGAGGGGGTGAGACTGGAAGAGGGAATGAGGCTGGAGGAGGGGTGAGGCTGGAGGAGGGTGAGTCTGGAGGAAGGGAAGGTTATGGAAACACAGTGGCCCAATCTAGCCAGGTCGTAGGTGGTTTTCAAGCTTTCATTCATCCATCCAGATCTTCATCCATCCATCCACTCATTGACCATGGTTCTGCTTGACAGCAGGACTAGGATAAGGCAAGTGAGATGCCCCGAAAGTTAAAGCGTTCACTCCCAGGTTTGTGCAAGTGCAGGCTCAGCCCGGGAAGCAAGTGCCTCCCTGAGTTCTGCACCCCAGGCACCCCGCCTGCCTTACCCTAGGCCCTGCCCTGGTTCTCCCCAACCAGATCGTGAGCTCGAGAACAAGGGCTAGATCTGGGTCATCTCCATGTCCCCAGCACAAAGCCACATACATAATAGGCATTCAGTGAACATTTGCTGAATCAAACAAACCCACATCCATCATCCCAGATCCTTGCACAGTTAGTATCCAAGGACTGCTTGTTAAAGGAATTGACGTGGGTCCTGTCCCCTGAGGTTATCTGGAAACAGGGAGCTCTGTTCTGGATGCCTTTCCCAGCCTCTCATCTCATCTGAACCTCCTTATAATGTTTCTAGCAGCACAGCCCAACCCTGGACTGTGTCTTCCTGGTTAATGGAGGCCCAGCTGTCCGTAGGTTTGTGCTGACTTTGTAACGACAAATCGAAGAGTTAGTGGTGGCCCAGGGAGGGGCAGCCAGAAGCTGTGTACCAGGTTTCTGGAGCATTCAGCCAGCTCAGAGGGCTCTGGAACAAATTGCAGGATGCTGCTAAACCTGCTTGTTCCAGGCAGCTCTGGCACGCGTGCCCCCACCACATGGAGTGTGCTGTCCTCTAGCTCCTCACTGCAGAACGTCCTGAACCAGATCAAGGACTCTCTAATGTGACCTGGAGTGGTGTCTCCCTACAGGCCTGAGAAGGGCCCAGACTCCGTCCTGGGAGAGCCTCGCCTCTGCCTCCTCCCAGCGTCCGGAACACCTGGCGTCTCAGCTGTGGGAGGGGAGGACTGGCTTGGTGGCTCCACTGTGGCAGGGGCCCGTGGGCTGAAGAGGCAGACCTGGGACTTGGGGGCCGATGTACCACCCGGGCTGCCCTTGCCCTCATCTAGGCTGAGTCAGCGTCTGAGGGCCCCAGCGGGAGGGCAGGAAACGTTTCCGTGGGTGGGAGCCGTGGGAAAGTTCTCCATGAAGCGAGCAAGCTGGAGCGTGCTGGGAAGGACGTGGGTGGGAGCAGCAGGGATGGAGGCAAAGCAGTGAAGCAGTGGCCGCAGGGGTCTGCCGGGTCATCCTGGTGCTGAACACACCTTCCGGGAAGCCTTGCTGACTCAGAGCGAGGGCGTTAACAAGCCCTTTCTCTAGCTCCACAAAGCCCCTGCTGACATGCAAAGACTTGGTTACTTCTCTATAAAGCATTTTCATTGTCTCTGGACCGTCTGGACTCTTGGGGACATGCACTTCCCCTCCCTCGCTGCTGTCACACAGTCAGGTGCCCCATCAGAGCCAGCAGTCCGGCCTCCAAGGGGGTTGGAGCCGCTGGCACCCAGCCGGGCTGGTCAGCCTCAGCTTCGCAAACCACTCTGTGGTCTGGCACATCACTGTAGCCCTCCATCCAAGACCCCTGTCCAAGACTAGGCACAGAAGTCCAAGGAGAGCATGCTGGTGCCTGCCCCTACCCCAGCACTGCCACCCCCAGGGGCCTGCAGTCCTGTGACACAGAAGATGCCACAGCGTTCCACACGGTGGGATCCTTTCTGTGGGGACACAGTCTGCCTTGTCCCACGTCGGTCCATGGAACACAGAAGGGTGACCACTCTGCACTGTCAGAAGCTGCCCAACATGTGGGCGCTGCCAGGAAGCACTTCGCTAGTCCCTCCACTGGGCCATTTCCCAATGAGATCTTTCACTTGGCAAATTTAGTGTTTTGAATCAGTGTTCGTGCCGGGAATGAGGGGTGGGATGGAGGCTGCCAGTTTATCCCAGAAATTCCACATCTAACAATATTTCCAGCAGACAGGCTCCCATATGTTAAAGAAAGCGTGTCCAAAAATGTTTATTACAGCATTGTCAGTCATTGTGAAAAAATAGAAACAGCCCAAATGCCCATCAAGAAGGAATGGTTAAATGGGAAACCTCCAAACATATTGCTAAGTGAAAAAGCAAGTTGTAAGCCAGTTCTCACCAGGTGATTCTGTGTATTAAAAATGCCACAAATATATACGTCTACTTGTCTAGCGACACACACGCCTGCACGGGTCATGGCCAAAAGGACACCCCCGGTGGTGACGCGGTCGCCTCTGAGAGGTGGATGGGATGGACCCAGAAGAGGTGGAGGAAGGCTGTCACTTCAACGGCAGGTTTTTCTCTACTTAAATTTTCGCCAGGAGGATGTACATGTGCCTTACTTGTACACACATTTATATATATATATATATATATATATATATATATATATATATATATATATATATATGCAGAGAGAAAGGGGGGTATACACAGATGCAGAGAGAGGTCACCTCTGACCCAAGCCTGCAGTCACCAACCAGAGACCCAGCTGCTCCATTCCCATTGCCACCATGAAGCAGGGATGCCTCCTCCTTGCTTCTTAGAAATCAGTTTTTAAAAAATCAGGCTGGATGCAGTGGCTCATGCCTGTAATCCCAGCACTTTGGGAGGCTGAGGCGGGCAGATCCCCTGATGTCTGGAGTTCGAGACCAGCCTGGCCAACATAGTGAAACCCCGTCTCTACTAAAAATACAAAAATTAGCTGAGTGTGGTGGCAGGCACCTGTAATCCCAGCTACTCAGGAGGCTGAGGCAGGAGAATCACTTGAACACAGGAGGCAGAGGTTGCAGTGAGCTGAGATTGCACCACTGCACTGCAGCCTGGGGAACAAGAGCAAGACTTTGTCTCAAAATAAAATAATAAAATAATAAAATAAAATAAAATAAAATAAAATAAAAATAAGTCAGTGTCAGGAAAGCACCAGAGGCAGCAAACATTGGTCCAGGACCATCCAGGGCTGTATGTGTGCAGGTCTGTAATGCTTGGAGCATCAGACAGCAGCAGAGAGATCCCCCTCGGTGAAGAGCCTTCCCTGGAGGCTGCAATAACTCACTGCATGTGAGGCCTGCATCTATGTGTTCCAGACACCCAGCGGTTTGCAAAGCTCGGTTTTATGGCCTGGGTATCACCAGTGTCAAAAGAAGGGCAAAGGGACCTCAGCCCGGACCCCTGCCTGTGACAGGTGAGAGGGAGCACCCAGGACACCACGGGTTTTGAAGCATCCTTGAAAACCTCTTAGGTGGTCGGGTCCTGTCTTCAGAGTTCCCGGGGCGCTGTCCTCAGCCAGGACCTTGGGAAGTCCTGGTGTTTGGTCAGTTTGTTCATCAAATGGCCACGCAGTACAAGTCCTTGATGGAGAGTCAGAGCAAGCGTGTGCTTTGCAGGCTCTCCTGAGCAGCCGTGACTTCCAGCTAATGATGGCGCAATGGGCATCTGCGCTTGGCTGCTCTCCACCTCGGGCCCCAGCTGGGAGGACGGTGGAAGGGTTGTTCATCCACACAGACTGGGAGGAGACCTTCACAGACTCGAGATCTCAGTCAGCTGTGGAAGGAGGAGGCTGGGCCCGCGATGGCTCAGGGGAAACGTGGCGGCAGAGTCTGACCCCTCAGCAGGACACCGGGGAAGCTCAGACATGGCAAGGTGGCCAAGCAGGCTGGAGGCAGGAGGGAGCCGAGGGCCCGGAGCGCGAGGATGGACGGACAGCCCAGCTCCCTGTGCAGCAGCGCCCGACGCCCCCACAAAGATCCACGTGCTCAGAGTGAAGAAAGAGAAGTTACAGTCTAACATTCTGGGCTGAGCCACGTTGCCCGTCAAGGATGGGGAAAATAAAGGCGTGCCAGGACTGCCCAGGTGCCTTCCAAAACGTTACACATGCACCTGCTGCGGTGAAACAAGAGGACTCCGGGAGACGAAATGACGGGGCATCCAATAAGCCCCAAGTCGGCCCGCCCCTCCCTACCGGAGGGCAGTGGAGGCCCCGCCGGGAGTCCAGGCTCCGCCACCGCCATCAGACCCGACGTGCCGAGGAGGGACTTGGGCTGGAAGGGGCGGCTGAGAGCGCTGGGCTGCAGGGGCATCTGGAAGAGCGCTGCGGCCTGGGAGAGAGCAAACCGTGCCCGGCACAAGGAGAAACACAGAGTGGACGTTCCAGGCAAAACAGAAAGCTGTGCACTTCCCGGTTCTTCTGGGACTAATAAGGACTGAATCCCCAGAAATAACCGTTTAATTTATTTCCAAATTTAGAAATACATAAACATACTAATTAAAAGGACTTAGTTTTGGTCACAGAACAGCACGTAACCATTTTCTGCCTTGAAGAAGTGAGAGTGAATCCGGAAAGGAATGAGGAGGTGGAGGAAAAGGAGTCTGGGAGAACCACTGTCAGCGAGAGCCAGTCACTGCCCAAAGCGAAGGCAGCAGAAATAACGCAGACGTGCCTCTTAGAGGACTGACATTCACGGAAATCTTTGCTCATTTTTAGCGTTTCAGTAAAAACCTGGGAGGAAGAAACCAGGCTGCAAAGGCTGACAGAGGAAAGGTTGATATGATCACTCTGCAAGGAGGGGAAGGGGCCGGGATGGGACAAGGTTGGCTGAATCCTCCCCTGCCGCTGTGCCTGGGCGGTGATCCCGGCTTGGGTGTTTCTGTGCGGGAGGCCTGTGGGGATGCTTTGGAGAATGGCCTTTGCGAGGGAATTCGGGAAGCAGAGGGCAGAGGAGACGCTCACCTGCAATGCCGTTGCAGCCCCAGCCTCGGCCGACCCTGGGAGCTGGGAAGCTGGAATTGCCCTCAGAGGGGTCTCCAACTGGGGCAAGGGGCCAGGCCTTCAGACCACCGCATAGATTAGCCATTGGCTGGAGCGTTCCCAGGCGGAGGCATACACTCGGGAAGGGCAAAAGGCGTCCCAAGACAGCCTGGCTGTGAGCCATCAGCAGCGACTCCCAGCCCCTCGGCCCTTCGGGGCCCCAGGCCGGGCACCACACCATCCATCACAGTCCCCACATCCCTCAAACAGCAGTGGGGCCCGGGTGCCAGCAGCTCCTCCATGCCCTGGCGGGTCTCTTTACCCGGGAAACTCACAGCAGAGGGTTCAGTGGGACCAGCTGCAGATTCCCACTCCAGATCCCTCCACCCTTGGACAGCAGCTCCGTGAGAGAGGCGGCTCCCGGGGGGAATTAGAGGCTGCCCTCGTCATGCCGTTCATGCACTGACACTCCCACCGTGCCAGGACATGCCCCATGCTCTCTCCTTTCCGCCTTCTGCCTCCTCCAGGCCCTGCCAGTGTGGGGCTTTCTCCCCGGCCTGCTGGCCTCTTAGCTCAGAAGCCAGATGTGACCTGGTGGCAGCTACCCATGAAGTTGAATGAGACCTGTGCTGTGTCTCCCACGGAAGCACGACCCCTCCAGAGCCAGGACTTTACAATCTAAAAAGCTCAGAGTCGTGGGGAGAAGATATACCCGTCACCAAACCAATGCTGTGGATGGGGATAAGAGGAGCCTCTCCTACCTCCACCCCTTGGCTCCATGGGTCGCCCACGGGGCACAGCATTGCTCGAGGCGCTGGTTCAGAGTGCTCTCTGCGTCCAGGCGGGCTGCCAGAAACCTTCAGTGAGCTGGTCTGCGACACTCAGGCCCTCCACCGGCACATGGGACAGCAGCACCCACGCTGCTGCAGCCTGGTAGAGATGTATCTGGGAGAAGCGTTCACCAGCTGATGGGTGTTAGCGGGGATGCGTGACTCTCCTGCACTGTTCTATGGGGGATGGAGCCGAGGAATGACCTTCTCTAGGGAAAGGCTCCTTCTGGCCCAGGAACAGAGGTCCCCTTGGGGCTCTGCTGGCCCCTTTGCGGATGTCAGCACGTTGTGTCTTAAGGCGCTCATGTCTGCTGTCCACCTGCTTCGCGTGGCAGGTGTGTCTTAATCAAGTTTGAAAGGTCTGTAGATGCTATCTTCAGGTCTAGACTAAGCTGCTCTTCAGACGGCTCTCAGTTGACATATCGGTCCCTCCCTGGTTGGCATTAGCCTGTCATCAGGCACGCCTCCCTCCCATCGAGCCTGACCCCCAATCCCATCGTCACAAGGGCGGGCTCCCTGACTCTGGATGGGGGCTGAATCACCTGCTTCCCCGCTCCCTCCCCAGCACTCCGGCAGCATCCTGACTCTGACAGTGACACTGCCTTTGTCATGACCCCTCAAAGGCAGCCATGCCCTGGGTCCCCTCTGGTGAGAATAAATTGCAACCCCGGCCCAGCTTCACTGTGCACGCAGGCAGGTGACCCAGCCACGCTCTGCACCCACGTGCTCTGTGAGGAAGCTCACCAAGGATCCAAACCCTGGAATTTGAGAGGCAGGGCTTGCATGGATGAGGATGCACAGAGATCACGGGTTCCATGGCTGTCTGCCCATCTCTTTCCACACCCAGACCGGCTCCAACTGACAGAGCTCAGTGGATTCAGCAAGGCCCTCTCTGCACCTGAGTGGCTGAACTTCCTCAGGTGGGAGGAAATGAACCGCTCTTCATTTCCAAAAACACTGCACGGCATGGCCAGCGTGCACTGAGAGTGGTGTCCACCCACAACAGTCCTTGGCACAAGGCCACCTTGGCACCTGGCCAATTCGCCAGCCCTGACCACGTGGCCCCTGTGAAGTCAGGGGGTGCCCCGCCACTGTCCTGCCTCTCTGGTTTCAGAGACAGCAGTCCTGGTACTTTCTAAAGTAGTTCAGGTGTCCACACCTCCAGAGGCAGCTGATTTCCCTGGAAATCTTTGCTTATTTTTAGAGAGTTTCAGTAAAACCCAGGGTGAAGAAAGACACTGACAAGGCCCACAGTGAATGGCCGTCTGGCCTCTCCAGGGTCCTCTGTCATTCTGCATGCAGAGCTCCTGGCCCCAGGTCAAGAGATGAAGCCCCTTCAGGTCCACTGATGGGAGCTGTGAGAGGCCACTGCAGCCAAAGTGAAGACAACGTACAGAAGAGAATCAGCCTCTCGGGGGATTCTGGAGCAAGGGGAGCCTGTTGCATCCTCACATCTTCCCTTTTTGATGTCTCTCTTAAAAATATAACATTTCTGCTTTTAATGCATAAGATGAAAGCAAAGGTTTGGGTATACATTAAACACTTTTAAAGCCAGCAATGTGATTCAGAACAGTAAGGGAGCAGGGAGAAGGCTGGTACTTAACAGCATCATTAGCTAGGAATGTGGCTGAAGGGGAAGGAAACACTAATTGGCTTCCTGGGAGCCTCGTCCCTGAGAACAGCCCCTGTGCCATGGAAGTTTCTATCCACGTGACCGAGTAAAGGCAGAGAAAACCACGCTGGGGCATTTTTCAATTTTGCCTTGTTATTTCAAAGTAATGGCAGCCTGGGCAACATGGTGACACCTCATCCTTATGAATTTTTGGTTTTAATTTTCAAAAAATTAGCCAGGCATGGTGGTGTGCCCCTGGAGTGCCAGATGCTCAGGAAGCTGAGGCAGGAGGATTGCTTGAGCCTGGGAGGATGAGGCTGCAGTGAGCTATGTGCACAGTGCCACTGTGCTCGAGCTGCACTCCAGCCTGGGTGACAGAGCAAGACCCTGTCTCTAAATAAATAAATAAGCAAATATGTACATGCATGAAAGTAATGGCTATTGCCTTTTTATCATTTGGAAAGATCTCATATTCTTTCACAAAGAAAAACAGAAAATTTAAATAAGCCAAAAGGACAATATTTGCCCTCCAGCAAATCTACTTATCCATTAACTGTCCTTGTCAGCACCCTGACCTGGGATCATGGATGACACTGTCTGAAGGAGGATCAGCGCTGAAATGCTGCCCAGCGCTCAGCCCCATTTCAGGTGCTGCCAGACTGGCCTTTGGTGGAGCCCCCGCCGTGGGAACCAAGCATGTGTAGTAATCACTCCCCGCAGCACTGGCAAAGTTCTTCAGCCAGGCTGACATTAAAGTACGCAATTCTAACCTAAACGATCACTTTTCTCATTTTAACACGTTCTTACTGCATTACAACATCTTCCCCAGTCTTCAGAAAAGTGTTGACATTTTACTCCGCATGTCTGTATCAGTCCCGCAGGTCTGCTGTAACAAATTACCACGAACTGTGTGGCTTCTGCCACATTGTAAAGGCGGGAAGTTCAAAATCAAGGCATCAGTAGGGCCACGCTCCCTCCAAAGGCTCGAGAGAAGACTCTTTCCTTTCGTCTTTCAGCTTCTGGTGAATCTGGCATTTCTGGGCTTGACTTGTGGCTGTGCTGTGCTGTGAATATTGCTGTCCCTCCAGAATTCCTAGGTTGGAACCTCATCCCCATTGTGTTGGTATTAAGAGGTGGGGCCCTTGGGAGGAGATTGGTTCCACCCTCATGAATGGGATTAGTGCCCTTATTAAAAAGGCCTCGCAGAGCTTCTACCTCCTCCAGCACGTGAGGACTCCACTCCCTGAGCCAGGACTGTGACACCCTCTTTAGGACTCTGCAGTTCCTGGCATCTTTAAGCTTCTGGGCGCCACTGGACCCCACGCTCACTCGCTCACACACCCCTCGCCACTCTGCTCGCCTTTGGCAGGCCTGGGATCCAGGCCAGTAGCACGAGCTGAGCACAGCCTTCCAGGCTGAGTGGGCCCAGCGGGCCTGAGCAAAACTCAGGCAAAGGCACCACTGGCCACAGAGGTTTCCAGCTGGTGAAGCGACACCCCAAGGATCCCATAACAATAGGATTTAGGGCCTACCCCAAAATCCAGTTGCAAACTTACATCTGCAAAACCTTAACTTACATCTGCAAATACCCTATTTCTAAATAAGTTCACATTCGCAGGTCCTGGGGATTAGGACTTCAACATATCTTTTTGGGGGACACCATTCAACCCATGACCCTGGGTGTCTGAGCAAACATCCCTGCACAAAGAACATTGCAGACAGCTGGAGCCTTTCCCTCGTGGATGCAGAGGCACCCCGTCTGTCCAAAGCTGCTTTCACAGGAGAAATCCTGTTAAAGGCCTCATTCCCTCTTGCAATCCCTCAGTATTACTCGTCCTGGAACATCTGAACCTCTGCTCATGACATCTTACGTTTTGGCTAATTAGGTTTTCTGGTTATACAGCAGTAATCAGCAGACACAATGAAACCTTCAGGAAGTGACGTAAAAGGCACAGGGACCGGGGTTGGAAGACGGCTCCAGCCATTTTCTCTGTGATTTCTCTTGCCTGAAGCGGTTGTTTTTGGCAGTTTGGTGCATGGGGACCCTCGCCTAGCCCTGTAAGGGAAAGAGTCCAGCTCCCTCCTCATCCCCCTTGGAATCACTAAACCAAATGCATTGAGCTTCCCCAAGAGTCTTGCAACACCAAAAGCGTGTGCTTGTGGCCTGTGAATTCCTTTTTATTCCTAACCACCCAACTCCTCCTTATTCGCAGAATGGATCTTCCTGCCTTCCCCAAGCTTCACTCGCCCTGACGCTTCCTCTTTGGCAACTTATGCGGCATAAAACTCGCAGAGGAGACAGGCACCTGGGCCTCACACCTGCGCCACTAACCATGTCAGAGTGGGCAGTAGCCCCACTCACCTGTCAAGCTGCTCTTGGTCGGGGAGGGTCATCCCGGCAGCCCCTGAATGGAAGGGCTTGTCTGCTCCTCTCCCTTCCTTGTACAGGCATCTGAGGGTGCACCCACATCGACCACACCCACCCTCAACAACCTCCATCAATTTTTAGGGAAGGCAAAATTTGTGTTCCCGGTTGTCCTTTGCCACAGGCTCCAACGTGGCTCAGGCTCTTCCTAATCCCGTCTTCCTTTCAAATGTTGATATTTTGGCCATCAGACATTTTATTTTGCATTTGGTCTTTTGAAATATTGCAGTAAGATACTATTTATCATGAATCTCTAGTTTTTTGATGCCCCTTTAACTTTGTGCCCGAGCCCCTCACTCTAGATATTATCTTAAACCATAAACTTTTTATGGCTTAAAAAACAATGTCTGGGACAGCAAGGACAATCCCACTCTAGGGTGCTGTTGAGCATGGGGAGGAGGAGGCTGGTATAGGGAATGAGCATTTATTATAGCTTGATGTGCTTAGTGAGCCCTCAGTCGTGGGCTAGCCCCTGGGGACAGGGAGATGTGACAAGTCCCGGCCCCAAAGGGTCCGGAGCAGGTGAGGGGGTGGATGCAAAGATGAAAGGCAGCT
Source organism: Homo sapiens (assembly GCF_000001405.40). NCBI lineage: Eukaryota > Metazoa > Chordata > Mammalia > Primates > Hominidae > Homo > Homo sapiens. The sequence continues at coordinate 240,329,391 of NC_000002.12, forward strand.
ACGGAAGTGTGCACTGGAGGCAGCCAGGCCAGGAGAGGACAAAGGGTCCCTTCTGCTGGAGGGAACGTCCCCTAGGGCACACGGGTGTGGGCAGCTTAGGCTGGGGCTTCTCAGGGCAGGGGCCGCAGAGGGTGGAGGAGGGGCTGGCAGCTGGGGCAGCAGCCCCTGGCCCTGGAGCCAACACATGCAGGCCTCTTCCCAACCCTGTGTTCACCGACCTCACAGGAGATTCCAGTGGGGATAGCAGGATAGATCGTGGAGACTGGAGTACACTAAAATTCCCGCAGCTGCTGCTGTTGCTGTTTCAGGGGCCTGGTTTACAGCACGGCACGGGCAGCAGGCCCAGCCTTGGGCATGGGTAGTACCCTGAGAGCCTGGGGCAGGGACCAATATGGGCTTTAAAGAAGTCAGGGATTCTTGAGGAGGACTTAGTGATGGTTCTCCCAGACCAGCACCAGGGAGGCCAGATGGGGTCAGCATCAAGAGCCCGGCAAAGTCATGGGAGCGTGAACCTAGGCAGGGGAACACTGACAGTGGCCAAGGCCAGGTGGCACCTGCCAGGCAGCCCCCAATATGGCCCCGTGTCTGTCTTCACAGCAACCTGAGAGAAGCATGTCATCCTCGCCTGCAGCTCACAGCTGAGGAGCTGAGATGCGGGAGGGTCAGCAGCCTGCCCAGGGGAGCACACTCAAATATGGCACAGGTGGTCAGCAAGCCATCCAGGGAAAGCTTCTAAAAGCTCTCAGAGAGGATAAAGAGGCCACTCAACAAGAACAAAAACCGGAGTGGCATCAAATGGCTCAGCAGCAACCCTGGACCCAAGAAGACACTGGAATAACACCTGCCAGGTGTGAGTGATTTTCCTGCAGAAAATCGTTTTGAACCTAGAATTCTAACCCAGCCAAACAACAGACATCTCACATGTAGCATCAATAATCCATTCCCCCAAATCAGCCATTCTGCATGAAAATGCTACCTGGGAACCTACTTTCTATTATTTTAAAAGGAATAATTATACTGTATTATATATCAATCTTACTGCCCCCCCTACTTTTCCAAAATGAGATAAAACATGATGGAACCTCTGTATATTAGTAACGAATCATGTTTGAGTATAAAATATAGACAGCCCATCCTAGTCATGAACAATCAGCCTGGCTGTGCACGCATGGCTGCTGTATGGACTGGGATGCTTCTGAACCAGCTGTCTCCAAGTCCCACACCCTTTGCTAATGTGCTGGCATTCTACCTGTTGTATGTGGAATGTAATTCAATCGTTTTACTTAAAATTGCAAATTGCATTTTGAGAATAGTGATGTAACTTTTTCCTGTACACACAAACATCCACTGAAAAACTGATATATTTCAAGACATAAGTTCTACCAACTTGTGATTAAAATCCAAGAGATAGTCACCAGGAAAGCATTAGCCAGGGAGATATCTAGGGGGCATGCCCTACATAGCTAGCAATCAATCAATCAATCAATGAGTAAGGGAAAGTAAATAAAGAATGAAGACATGTTCAGATACACAAAGTCTCAGAGTGTGTTCTTCCCAGGTACTGTTTGAATAAGAAATCATGTGATGATGTAAATATATTAATACATAATTTTTATATTATATCAAAATACAAATATGTAAAAGTTATGCTATATATAAAGCAGCATTTATATAAATTACATCAATAAAGGAAGAACACATTGTTATGTGATTTCTTATTCATCTTTTCTTCTTTCTTTATTGATATAATTTATAGAATGCTATAAAATTCTCTATTTTAAAGTGTGCAGTTCAGTAGCTATTTATGAGATTGTACAATCGTCACCACTAACTCCAGAACATTTTCATCACCCTAAAACAAAATTCCACATCAACAGGTGCTCCCCATGCCTCCTCCCCACCCATCCCCTGACAAACACTAACCTATTTTCTGTCTCTATAGATTTGCCTATGCTGGATATTTCAAATAAATGGAATCATAAAATCTGTGGCCCTTTGTGTCTGGCTTCTTTGACTTAGCATAATTTTTTGGGGGGCTCGTCCGTGTTGTAGCATGATTCAGTGCTTCATTCCTTTCTCTGTTCATCTGCTGGTGGACATTTGGGTTGTTTTCCCTTCGTGGCTCTTAAGAGTAATGCTACTAGAAACATTTGCGTACAAGCTTTTATGTGGACATATGTCTTCAGTTCTCTCTGGTATATTCCTAAGAAAGAAATTGCTGGGTTATATGGTAGTTCCATGTCTGAGGTTTTTAGGAACTACCAGACTGTTTTCCAAAGTGGCTGCACCGTGTTGCATTCCCAGCAGCAATGGATGAGGGTTCCCATTTCTCCACATCTTTGCACCAACAGTTGTTTTCCTTCTTCAATTATAGCCTGCCATTAATTTGCATTTCCCTAATGACTAATGACATTGAACATCTTTTCATGTGCTTATTGGCCATTCATATGTCTTCCTTGGAGAAATGTCTATTCAAATCCTTTGTCCAGTCTTTAATCGGCTTCTGTGTCTTTTTCTTATAGAATTATGAGAGTTCTTTCAATATTCTGGAGACTAGGTCCTTAAGAGACATATGATTGCAAATATTTTCTCTTACTATAGGTTGTCTTTTCACTTTTTCAATAGTGTCCTTTAGCATACAGAAGTTTTTAATCATAATGAAGCCTAATTTACGTATTTTTCCTTGATCGCTTGTGCTAAGGATGTGTTCTTGAAAAATGAAGTAAAGTCCAACAGAACAAGAAAATATGTGGGACACAACCCAGGAGAGAAAAGATGAAGACACCAAGGGCACAGATGTGCAGCCATCTGGCAAGCAGCTCCCCAGACGGAAGCAAGACGACACAGGCTCCAGAAGCATCGTGACGGAAGCAAGAAGACACAGGTTCCAGAAGCATCGTGACGGAAGCAAGAAGACACAGGTTCCGGAAGCATTGTAGAGAAGGAGGGTTAGACGTCAGGCACCCTTGAGATTCTTAAAGAACTCACTGAGTGATAAAGACAGACAATGTGAGAAATAAAAGGCAATTAAAAGTCCTAGGAAAACAAATAGCTAGACCATAGAGGAAATGATATCATGAGTCTGGAATAGATAATGTAATGTAATAAAGTTTCAATTAAAGAATATAAATGACTTTTTTGGTCTCACAATAAATATTTACATAGTCACAATAAGATAAACACTCCTGGTTTTAACATTTTAGGTTTTAAACTTTTGGGTGGAGAAGACTTAGTTATAATTTCAGAGCAGAATGCAAATGTCATCCACCTTGATGAGTGAAAGTAAGATGTCATTCGGCAGAGGCTGGGAGAAAGAAAGGTGGAAAGCGGTGAAGAGTGGGGCAGGGGAGCAAAGATCTTCATCCTACAAAGCGGGAACTCTAGAAATAAGGGTGAGGCTGGGTGCAATGGCTCACGCCTGTAATCCCAACACTTTGGGAGGCCGAGGCAGGTGGATTGCTTGAAGTCAGGAGTTCAAGACCAGCCTGGTCAACATGGTGAAACCCCATCTCTACTAAAAATACAAAAAAAAAATTAGCCAGGCGTGGTGGCGCATGCTTGTAGTCCCAGCTATTCAGGAGGCTGAGGCAGGAGAATCGCTTGAACCCAGGAGGCGGAGGTTACTGTGAGCCAAGACTGCACCACTGCACAGCAAGACTCTGTCTCAAAAAAGAAAAGAAAGAAAGAAGAAAGAGACAGAGAGAAAGGAAGGAAGGAAAGAAGGGAGGAGTGAACAGAGGTTAGTGATGATTCTGGAGGGAAGATAGTCAATAAAAGAACTAAGCTCTGTGACACCATGATCAGAGGGTGTGAGGAATCCAAATTCTCTGCAGCCATCACAGGAAGACCTCAGAGCATGGCAACAGTAATGTAAACTTACCATCCCAATTCCAGACACAGTGCGCAGAAATCCGGAGGTCATCACCGGACAAACAAGAACCAAAAGAAGGAGTTCAAATAGCAAAAAGCAATCATCCCAGAGGGCAAGGCAAAGGTGAGGGACTTGGGGCCAAAAGATGGTTCTACTTATCCACTAATATAGCTTAACTATATGAATATATTGATTTCAGATGAAAGTACATACATTTTGACAACACTAGGACGTTAATAGAAAAAATGGACAAACCGAACAAAAAACTCACAATAAAGGAAATGCAAATGGTTATTAAACATGTGTGTTAATCTATTTAAATTAATGGAATACAAACAGGAGAGTAAATAGCATGCTTTGCCTATCAAAATTGCCAAGACTGCTAGAAATGATACTTAGTGCTGGTGAGCACGGGGTGAGACATGAACCAACAAATATCCAAGGAGAGAGTAAATCCATGCAGTGTTTCCAGAAAGCATGTTGGCCTGGGCACCCTAGACTTGGGGCCACCTCCAGGAAACACCTTTGGGGAGTGCCATGGTGTTTTGGGACAAGCAGACTGATGTGTGGGTAAAGGGAGGGCTGGCCATCGAGGGGGCCCAAGGTGGGAAAGAACTCAGACCCCACTCCCCTGAGGGTCCACTCTTGGTCAGTCATTGCTATTGGGTGAGATAAATATTTACTCTCATTTTTAAGCCAAGAAGATTTTAGGTAATTTGTTATACAGCTATACACACACACACATACACACACACGTATTTTATGTTTAGATCCATTAACATACGAATCTGTATACTGCATCTGAACACTTGCAGTCTTCCATCTGTTGCATTTCTTGTACCTACTGAAACTTCAGTGGCTCCGTCTTTAGCCAGTGGAAGCCACTTTGGGTCAGCGCCTGAATCCTTTGGACGCAATCCCAGTTGACTTTGACAACTTCCTTGCCGTATTGTATGACTAGGCGTTCCAGGCTCAATGATACATTTCTGGACTCAGATTCAAAATCAGTAACTTCTCTAAAGATCACTAGTTTTGTTTTGTGGGAAATAATATTTCAAAACCACAGTGAGAGCTGCTAGGCTGGCCACACATTGAATCTAGACTTCTTCACTGAACAGAGCTAAGGGGTGTGTGTGTGTGTGTGTGTGTGTGTGTGTGTACATGTGTACTACAGATAAAGGAACTCAAGTTAATAAGTTATATTTCCCATTTACATTCTGGACCACAGGGGTTTTTACTTAACCTCATTAATATCGCCATTACCTTTCTTCTACATGGTGAGCCCTGGCTCCTGGGGATGTAGGGAACGATAGAAGAGCCTGCATTTATTCACCTGCTTTCTTCCTCATTACACACACATGCCAGTCGCCTAATAACAATACTAATGCTGCCACCACCAACCATGATTAACAAAACCAGTTAGAAATGCGTGCATATGCTCTCCCCACTCACCATCCATTTTTAATCCTTTAATCTGCGCTGGCAGAGTAAATACCACTGCAGCTCATGCCCATTCCCCTTCACTCTTATTAGTTTGGGTTCCACAAGTAAGTGTACATTTAATACTCACTTCCAGTTTTCATTGCAATGTCTTTCTGAAATTGTGATTTTTATTTTCTAAAGCCTATTTTCTAAAAGATTTCTTAGAAAGGACTCAGGAGAAAAATGTTCCATGAGTTCTTGCATGTCCGTGTCGATAAAAGTTAGTCTGTGTTTTAGGATTAAGTCATTATTGTTAGATGAAAGATGTTTGGCTTATGTTTTCTTTTCTTAAGAACATAAGCTTAAATATGTTACTCCATTTTTTCTGGCATAAAGAGTTGCTGTCTGATGATAAACTAATTTTATTTCTTCCATGGTCTACATTGTCCTTTTGCTCAGTCATTTGGCAAAGCATTATTTTCTTTTTCTTTCATATAGAGTAATTTCAGAAGACAATGCCTTTGGTTCATTATTCTAGGTCACAATCTCAGGAGTATGGTGTGCTCTTTCAATAAGTAGTTTCAAAACTTTTTTCTTCTGTTTCAGGAGCCTTTTCCTGAAGTGTAGTTTTCAGTATCGTTACGAGTCTTTGCTTAGGTTGTTGCTTTGTTGTCCTTTTAATTCAGAGATACTCATTATCAGTCTACTGGGTCATCTTTACCAACCGGCATTGTCAGTTTCTCACAAATCTTTTTCATCTCTTTTTCTGCTTTTTAAATTTTTAAAGCTTTTTTCTTTCAACTTTTTGTTGTTTTCTGAGGCATTCTTTGTTGAGTTTGTTTACTCTTGTGTTTTTTTAGTTTAGTCTTCATTTCAGAAATGATTGTTTTCTTTAATTCTAATATTCTCTTGAATTCTGTCACTTCATTTCTGTGTGTTTTCATTAGGATTTATGTTGTTCTTTTATGTTTTGTATCATTCTCTCTTTTTTTTTTTTTGAGATGGAATCTCGCTTTGTCGTCCATGCTGGAGTGCAGTGGCGCAATCTCGGCTCACTGCAAGCTCTGCCTCCTGGGTTCACGCCATTCTCCTGCCTCAGCCTCCCGAGTAGCTGGGACTACAGGCACCCGCCACCATGTCCGGCTAATTTTTTGTAGTTTTTTTAGTAGAGATGGGGTTTCACCGTGTTGGCCAGGATGGTCTCGATCTCCTGACCTCGTGATCCGCCCGCCTTAGCCTCCCAAAGTGCTGGGATTACAGACGTGAGCCACCACGCCCAGCCTATGTTTTGTATCATTCTCTTCATGTCTTTTAACTCATTTTTAAGTAGCAGGCTACAATTCTCAGCTGTCTATGGGGATGTTTGTCTGTTGCGTCTTGATTGTCTATAGGGATATTATTCTCCTTTGCATCACAATTCCTTTCTGCTACTGTTTTCTTGTAGTGTTCAAGGTGTGATGCTTACTTGATGAGATTCCCAGGCTCTGCTTCCCTCTCCTCTTCAGCTCTGACGCTTCCAGGCTACTCAAGTTAATTCCACTCTTGGCAGTCTTTTCTCAGGATGGGATCTGCCCTGGCCAGTTGTTTCCGAGAGTTTCTGCAGGCAAGACCTCTCTAGCTTCTTCCTCCCTCATCTTGGACCCTTTGCATGACCCAATATCAGAGTAGGCAAAATCTCACCCAATCTCAGCTGCTGCTCTTAAATTAACCCACGCTTTTTAATGAATGTTTGTTTGTTGGCTACCTGGGGATTCTCCTATTCTTGAGTTTTTCAGATGTGGCCTTGCTTCCTGCCATCTCTTCTCCCACAAACTCCAGCATCGGCTACATCTTGGGGCTGTTGCTGGTTTGTCCTCACTGTTTCATACTTTAGGATCTGAAGTGATGTCTTGTCACCCGCGGTTCTGTGTATAATATCCACAGAGTTTGCTTTTGCAATCTAGTTTCTCTGTGTTTTATGTCAGCAGTGTGTTTCTATTATTATTATTTTAATGCCTGCATAGTGTAGACAGTATCCTGGAATTTAGCTTTGTTGTTCTGTTGAGTAACTGAGGTGATCATTTGTAATGGTCAAACTGCCCATGCACAATTGCATGATCCCTGTGTGCTCCAGATATGGGAATCCAAGAAAAATTCTCAGACCTCATGTAACCACAATTCAGGAAAACCTTTGAAAAAGATGCTCAAGGATTTCCAGTTAAGTACAAAGAAAGAACATGTGTGGTTATTTCTGATCGCACTTAAAAATCACACAAAAATGGCAGTAAGGGGATCATTAGCCAAAGGAGCAAAGCCAGAAGGATGAAGGGAATGAGAGCAGAGGCTCCAGCAGACAGGAGACCAAAGGATGGAGACCAAAAATAGATTCCCTCCAGAGATCAGGGAAACCTGAGAACAAGGTTTGCAGGTTTGCAGGCAGGGCTGGGAAAAAGAGAGGCAGAGAGTCAAGAAGAAATGAACCACTTTGTGCCTCAGTGCATCAGTAAGGTCCAGGAATCAAAGGTCTCTGGGACCTCTGCAGGGGGCGTGGATGGAGCCAAACCCAGCAGGGCTGGTTCGAGTGGGGGTAGGTATGGCCGAGAAGCAGTGAGGAGACTAGATCTCCTCCACCAAACCCCATGTCCCCCAACACCACACCCCATGTGCCCCCACCACCCCAGCACATGACCAAGGAACACCACACCCCATGACCCACCCCCACACCACACCCCATGTCCCCCTCACACCATACCCCATGTCCCCCCGACACCACACCCCGTGTCCCCCCCGACACCACACCCCGTGTCCCCCCCACACCACACCCCATGTCCCCCCACCATCCCAGCACATGACCAGGGAACACCCTGGAGAACATCCAGAGAACATCTGGAGATGCTGGGCCAGAGGAAGTCATCAAGTTCCTATGTAAAGACCCTGCACCCATCCTGGTTGTTTTAGTCTGTTTTCGCGCTGCTGATAAAGACATACCCGAGACTGGGTAATTTGTAAAGAAAAAGAGGTTTAATGGACTCACAGTTCCATGTGGCTGGGAAGGCCTCACAATCATGATGAAAGACAAAAAGTGCATCTTACATGGTGGCAGACAAAAGAGAAGGAGAGCCAAGAAAAGCGGAAACCCCATATAAAGTCATCAGACCTGGTGAGACTTATTCACTACCATGAGAACAGTATGATTTAATCATCTCCCACTGGGTCCCTCCCACAGCACGTGGGAATTATGGGAGCTACAATTCCAGAGGAGATTTGGGTGGGGACACAGCCAAACCATGTCACCAAGGTTAAGGTGTCATACTGTAAACAGAGATATTTGGTAAAAGACTATATACATATAGGTTTATAGACCTATATAGATTGTATATAAATGTAAAATAAATTTAATATCTCTATATAAGTATTAAATCATTTGTATAGAATTTATATATAAATTAGGGTGTGTGTGTGTCTGTGTGTGTAGGGTGTATATGTGTGGGGGGTGTGTATTAAATGGCAAGGTGTCTGGCTTCCGCCCACTACCTGAACCTCATTTTTTCATCTGTAAAATGGCGTTGTTGGCAGAAACCAACTCACAGGCTCACTGCAGGACTGAGTGAGTCAGTGTGGGAAAAGGGCTGGCATCTTCTGGGCGCTCAGTAAGGGGAGGCTGTCAGGTCAGGGTCCAGGCAGAGGTGCCATGGGGCCCCCAGGAAGAGCAGGGCACCTGCTCACCTGCTCAGGGTCACCCACAGCTCACTGGGTGAAGTTACTCCTGGGAACCACATTAGCTGACTGAGTTCATCAAAAGAACAGTTTTCTGGGATAATTTGGTTTGGAGCTGAGGCAGGAAAGAGGCCCGGCCTGCTGCTGTGTGGGGTCCACCCTGGAGGAAGCAATGGGAGCAGCTGCTATCCCCATGGTGGGGCAGGGGCTGTCAGGACCAGGGCTTAGAGCAGAGCAGTCAGGGGATGGTATAATTTGGATGTTTGTCCCCTCCAAAACTCATGTTGAAATGTAATCCCAATCATTGGGGATCACACTGGTTTGAATCATGGGGGTAGATTCCTCCTGAATGGCTTGGACCATCCCCATGGTGATGAGGGAGTGCTCACTGAGTTCTCCTGAGAGCTGGTCATTTAAAGGTGTGGCATCACCTCCTCTCGCCCCCAAACTCTCTTGCTCACTCCTGCATTTGCCATGTGACGTCCCTCTTCCCTCTTCGCCTTCTGCCATGATTGGAAGCTTCCTGAGGCCTCCCTAGAAACCAAGCAGATGGCAGCACCTTGCTCCCTGTGAAGCCTGCAGAGCTGTGAGCCAATCAAATCTCTTTGCTTTATAAATTACACAGTCTCAGGTGTTTTTTATAGCAGCACAAGAATGGCCTAATACAGAGGAGACATAGGAGACCTGGAAGAGGCTGATCCTGTGTTGGGGCAAGTGAGTGGCCTGGCTACACAACACGTGTGGATGGCAGGCTGCAGTGGATTGAACAGAGACCCACCCCAAAATATATGGCCAGGTCTTAACTCCTTAAACCTGTGCGTGTGACCGTATTTGGAGTAAGAGTCTTTGCAGATATAATTATGATCAGGATCTCAAGATGAGATCACCCTGGATTTAGGATGGGACCCAAATCCAATGACTGAGGTCCTTATGAGAGAAAGGAGAGGAGATTTGACGGTCTGACACACACAGGGGAAAAGGCCATGTGAAGAGGAGGCTGAGGTTGGAGTGATGCGGCCACAAGCCCAGGAAGCCAGGGGCCACCAGACACTGGAGGAGGCAGGAAGGATCCTCCTTTGGAGGGTACAAGATTTCTCCACCTTTGAGGCTGAAATATTGGCGAGGCTTCCTTGGGTTAGGGCCCATTTTAGCCCAAGGAAGGAGGGGTAAACCTCCAAGGCGGATTCCACAGATGCGCAATGGGGTCGCTAGCTGAGCAGCTCCTGAGGGGGATGCATCAAACCTGTTCGTGCCTTCAGCCCCTCTGCCTCTTCTCACAGGTCGCCTTGGCCCAGGTAGAGGCAGCTGTCTTGGTCAGAGTGTGTGTCCGTGCACCCATGAACACCCTCCTGGTCTCCCCTGTGTGCAGGAGGAGCCTCCATCCATTCAGCAATGACTGGCTGCCTCAAGAGCCAGAGTCTGGCAGTGAACAGGGAAGGGCCTGGTCACTGGCACCCACGCTCCTGGTCCGGGGTCTTCAGGTTGGGAGTGGCTACCTTCCAACACAGCTGGGAGACTTTGACACTGGCTGCCCAGCCCCTTGCTTCTTCCCTTTGGCCACGCAGCTTCCCATTCCAGAAGCAGGGCCACAGCCAGCTTCCAGAGCCAGGATTCTGTAGAGTACCCATTTCCCAGGCAGCATCTGCCCACCAGGGTCCTGAGTCTGGTGAGAGGGGCCTCCTGGTCAGCCTTCCCCACTCAGAAGCCAGGGATGTTGCCACGAGATGCCCTTTCCTGGGCGGGTGCCAGCCCCGCCGAGTGGGGGAGGGTGCTGCACAGAGCGGGGCCTGGGATGAATGGGGCTCTGTGTGGGGCAGCCCTGCGGCGGCAGCAGGGCCCGGCCCCCTCCCCACTCCATGCCTCAAAGGCAAGCGTGGCCTTCCAGTGTCTGCCCGGGATGGAGGAGGCCTTTCCCATGGCCAGTGGCGGGATAAGAGAGCGCTACATCTGCCGCTTCCTGCCCGAGGCCTCCAGCAACAGGCGCGGTGGGGCTGGGACATGGGTGCTGGCTCTGGAGGCCCAGAGGAGCCGCTCATGCCCATGGCTGGGTCCGGCTGTCAGGACAGGCCTGTCTTGGTGGCATACAGCCTGGAACCAGGAGGGAGGAGGCTGTCTGCCCCTACAGCAAGGGCCAAACCCACAGGGCTGGGTCCCCACTGCATGCACTACCCACTTCCACGAGCCCGGGGTGCCGCAGGGAAGGATACCCCAGGAGGCAGGGCCAGGGGTCCTCATCTACCTCTAGGCAGGAGACAAGGGGACGCCGGGCGCTGTGGGCGCCAGAGTGCAGCTGGTGAGGGGCAGGCAGGCCCGAGGGAGGCCAGTCCTGCATGTGGGGTTTCTCGAATCCCTTGAAGCTGGCTTTGCTCCCCGGAAGGGGACAGGCCAGCCTCACCGAGCCCTGGCATTGTCCAAGTCCTCCTGTGTGCCCAGCATGAATCCCTCCTAGAATCCAGAGAGGCTCCTGCTATCCCAGGTGACAGAAACAGAGGCCTGGGGCAGGGCAGGAGCCGCAGGAGCCAGGGCCCCACCCTGCGGAGTCGCTCTTGGGTCTACCCACCTGCCTGGGACATGCTGCCACCCTTCTTGTTAACCTGCTGTGATTTCTGATTATTAAAACAACTCTGAACATGGTTTAAAATTCCCTGCTGTTCTCATGGAGCTTCCCCAATCCCCTTATCAAAGCACAAGCCTCCAGGAGTCTCAATTCCCGGTGTCCCAGTCCCTGTCTGGTTCTCGGGGAGGACTGGCCAGAAGCCACAGTTGGGAGAGACCCGGGAAGCAGTAAGGAAGTTCTACCCCTGCACTTCTCATCCCAGCGTCAGGCTGTGGACCACCCAGACACAGGGCTTCTGACCCCAGAGGCGGGTTTGCCGGGGGAGCCTCTGCTCCACACCCCCTCGGGCAGGTAGCCTTCCAGGAGCCACTTGGGGTTTGCCTGCCAGCCCTGGCTGTTCTCTCTGGCTGGGTTCTGACCCTGGGCCCCGCCCAGGCCCTCAGAGCTTCCATCTGCTCTCACGTCTGTGTGAGGCCAAGCCCTGGCTAAGCCCCTGTTTCCTCTAGGATCCTAAAGCATCCACTTCACTGAGGGACTCCCAGAGCACTCGGAGAATGTGGAGACCCGGAGCAGAGTCCTGCACCAAGAAGGCAGCTCCTGTCTGTAGACTGTGCAGCCAAAGCCTCTGGCATCTCGGGAAGAGGGACAGGGCGTGTTTTTTCCCCTTTGGTGAAGGGTGCTTGGGAGGAAGCACCCAGGGAGTAGGTGCCGCCTTACAAAACCCTTTAGCTAAGTCATGTTTGCAATTTTATTTTCTTTCTTCTGAGGGTCCTCAAATTTAGCTTGAGACCTCTCAAAATCCAGATCCCAGGAAGATCACTTGAGCCCAGGAGTTCAAAACCAGCCTGGGTAACATAACAAGACTTCATCTCTAAAAATTAATTAATTAACTACAGCAAGTTTTAGAAGCCAGATCCACCCCTGCCTTTCACAGCCTTCAAGGGATTGCTCCCTTAAGACCTCCCAGATCACCAGGACGAAAGAAGAATATTACCCAGGACTCTGAGTGTTGCAGGAAACTGCAAACACACCTGCAACTCACGGAAGCACACGAGAAATATTGACCCTGTAGCTGAAAATTCCAAAAGGACGTTAAGCTTCAGGCATGGGTTGTACAGGGCTCTTTCTTGACTTCTCAGACATTCTTTCTGCTCTGTTCCTGACTTTGTAACAGCTTCATCTTTGGGTTGGCTTCCTGGGGACTTGAGACCAGCCCTCAGGTCTTGACCCCATCCCATCCAAAGCTGCACTGTCCAATAGGGTGGTCTTTGGCTTCCTGTGACTCTTGGGCACTTGAAATGTGTGTCGTCCACACTGAGAAGAGCTGGAAGCTAAATGCACAACTGATTTAGAAGACAGCGTAAAAAAAAAAACAGCGTACGCCGGGCGCGGTGGCTCATGCTTGTAGTCCCAGTACTTTGGGAGGCCGAGGCTGGTGGATCACCTGAGGTCAGGAGTTCAAGACCAGCATGGCCTACACAGTGAAACCCCATCTCTACTAAAAATACAAAAATTAGCCAGGCGTGGTGGTGCATGCCTGTAATCCCAGCTACTTGGGAGGCTGAGAAGGGGGACAGGAGAATCACTTGAACCCAGGAGGTGGAGGTTGCAGTGAGCTGAGATTGCACCATTGCACTCCAGCCTGGGCAACAAGAGCAAAATTCCATCTCAAAAAAAAAAAAAAGTGTAAAGCTTTTTAGTAGTAATTTTTTAATTGATGACACGTTGAAATCATAATATTTTGGGTATATTCAGTTAAATAAAATATTAAAATTAATATTATTTTTACTTGTTTTAATATGACTACTTGAAAATTATACATATGGCTTCCATTATGTTTCTATTGGGCAGCACTGGTCTAAGTCAAGAGAAGGAGGGTTCCTCTCCTCCAATCATAAACTCGGGCCATGCACTGAAAAGTCCAACCTCAACCACTTAGACTGTGGCTGAGGGAATTATGTGATGTGATTGGTTTAGGCCTTTGTTGCCCATCCCTGATCCAATCACTGTGTCAAGGACTAAAAGAGTATGCGGAGTGGCCTTCACCAATCAGAGCACACATCTGGAATGGGAGGTGGGTTGTCCCTGCCCACCTTCCATGATATATAAGATGAGGCAAAGTGTAGAACCCTGAAATGGACTGGGAGGTGTGGTAGATTCAAGGTACCTGCAAATTCTCTGACACTCTTCTTCTTGAGAGTTGGGTCTCAATGCCCTGCCATTGAGTCTGAGCTGGCCTTCATGACCCATCTGATCAACAGAATGAAGCAGAAGAGATGACCTGGGACTCCCCAGCCTAGGCCATGAGAAGTCTTGCAGCTTCCACCCAGGACACCAAGAACACCCATGCTTGGAGCCCACCAACTTGGCCAAGAAACCCAGGGGAGTCCGGCCATCCAGGTAATCCCCTGAGGCACCACACATGGGACTGGAACCGTCTTGCCCACACAGCCCACCTGGGCTTTCAGATGGCTCCTGGCCTAGCTGCTGCCTGATCACAACCGAATGAGAAGATCCCCAAGACAGAACTTCTGAGCTGAGTCTGAGTCACTCACAGAACCCCCAGAGACAATAAATTGTTGCTTTAAGCAACTGAATATTATAGAAGTTGGGACCAGAAGTGGGATGCAGCCATAAGAGCCATGGGGAATGGGCTTTGAACCAGGTGGCAGATGGAAGTTGAGAGAACCTTGGGGAAGACTTCCAGAGGAAGCTGGGGGGACAAGGAGGAAATTGTGATTACAGGCTAGAAAAACCAAGGATCTTGTTATGCAGAAAAGTTTGGCAACACTGACCCCTGTAGTAACGTAGAAAACAGAAAATAAACTTAATGAATTACTTGATTTGATTGAGGACATTTCCAGGAAGAGTGTTGAATAGTCCAACTAGCTTCTTTTAGCTACATAGTGTAAGATAGAGAAGAGCTAAAATCAAAATATTTCATTTACAATAAATTCAGAAAAAAATTCTAAATAACAGAATTTGCTGGATTTAGAATTAAGTTTCTTCTTCATTCCCATGCCCTTCAGATGGCAAATGCTCTCAAAATAAAAAATATAATCTTCAGAGTAAAGAATATCTAATGGGTATGGCTATAAGACCCTGTATTGAGACTTCAGAAGATGTAAGGGTGCGACTCATAGGCTCTCTCAGTAGTTCTAAGAATCTCAGGGCATGTGAAACAGCTACCTGATGCTCAGCCCAGGAGAGAGAGGCCTGTGTTGGAGAGAACCGTGAGGATAGTTTTTGCCTGATGATGTGAATCCCAAAAATATTCACAGGAAGTCCTCCTAGGAAGTACAAAGAGATTTACTCTCCAGAAGCTATGTCCATTTAAGGATACAGTAGGCCTCCTGGTCCACAGAGGAATACGTACCAAGACCTCCAATGGATGCCTGAAACCATGGCTAGTGTAGAACCCAGTTCCTGTGGATCAGAACATGACTCTGCTCAAGTCTTTCACCCACAAATTCAATGCCTTTTCCATCTTAACTAAGCACGTATCACACACTGTGGCTGTACCTGTATCATGCAGTGTGAGGTGTGAAAACAAAACTGTACAAATTTCTTTTTTCTGCTTCACAATATCCCAGATAAGAGATGCTTTTACTGTAGATCTTAGCAACCTTAGCCTACAATATTTTTTTCTTTTCTTATTACGTTGAGAACTTCCGTCTTCTCCCTTAAAGGAAGCACTTTATGGCTTCTCTTTGGCATGTCAGAATTGCCAGCATCACCACCATGCTGCTTTGGGGCCATTATTAAGTCAAATAAGAGTTACTGGAACCCAAGTACTGGGATGCCACGAGAATCCATCTGAAAACCTAGAAGGCTGCTGAGTGACCAATGTTCAGGGAGCATATACAGCGTGGATCCTCTAGACAAGGGAGTGATTCACATCCCAGGCAGGATGGGGTGGGATGGCTAGAGATTCCACCACACTACCCAGAATGACCTGTGTTAAAACAGGAAGCATTTATTTCCAGAGTTTTCCATTTACTATTTTCAGACCGTGATGAACTATGGGTAAGAGAAAGTAGGCTGCTCCACTGTGAAAGTGGGATGACTTAGAGGGTTGGACCAGGAACCCAGCAGGTGGAGCTGAGCACCACAGAATCATTCCTGGGGAACAGCAGGACATGGCCGTAATCAAAGACTCTGGATTTCAGAATTGCTATGGACCAGTGACTGCTATGGGCCTCCCACTTCTCTCTTGTTGGCCAGGGTAATTGATCACAGTTTTCCCTTGCCTGTGTCACCGGTGCATGTCAGGTGCATGAGTCTTCAGACTGAGGGGATCATACTCAAAAAACTACCCCTGAAGGTGATGGCATACCCAAATAGCCTCGTCTGCACCTGGACTTGATTTCTGTGACAAGATCCTGGACCTGAGAGTCTTTCTGAGCCTACTCTGGCTTGGGAGGCTGCCCGATTTAAGGACCTCAAGCCTAAGCCTGATGCCATAATGGGATGAGACTTTGGGCATCTTGGCAGGAAGGGTGAATGGTACTTCATGTGGTAGGAATGTAAATAATTTGTGCCGGGGTGGACTGTGGCAGTTTAAGGATAACCAGGAACACTTCAAGACTCCTCCTATCAAGAGACAGGGGCTTAGACCTGTCCCCTTGAATCCAGACTGGCCTTCAGGGATTATTTGACCACCCACAGTTCTACTTTCTGCCTTCTGATTCTAGGGACCTCAGATAAGTGGAATCACGCAGTGTCTGTCTTTTGGGGACTGGCTGTGTCAGAATTGGGGTGTGGGCAGGGCTGGTTCCTCCTGGGGGCTGTGGGGAAGATCTGTCTCTGCCTCTGACAGCTTTGCAGCACCCATTAGCGCTCCTCGCCTTGTGACGCCTCCTCTGGGCTCTGACTCCTCATCACGCAGCCGCTTCCCGTGTGTCTCCATGTCCCCTTTTCCACTTACACAGTCACCAGTCATTGGATCCAGGGCCCACCCTACACTCAGGGTGATCTCATCTTAAGATCCTTGCCTTATTATGTCTACAAAGACCCTGTTTCCAGGTAAGGTCCCATTCTAAGGTGCCATGTGGACATGAATTTGGGGTATACCTCACCTTGCTGTAAGCACCCACCACGCCCCACCCTTCCTTCTTCTATCGACCCTCCCATGTGGGAAGATTGGCACCATCCACCCCACTTTACAGATGGAGAAGTCAGGGGCAGGGAGGTGGGGGGGACCTGGCCGGGTCACTCCACAAGCAAGTGACTGAGGCAGGCACAGAGCCCCGGCAGCCAGGCCATGCAGTTCCAGCACTTCCCGGCCTCACGGCCGTTGGCTGGGCTCTGCTGGTGACCCCGAGTGCCGTTTCATGCTGGGCCCAACAGCCTGTGCCACAGCTGGACACCCCTCGGAGTCCAGGCCCTTGGCCACCACTCGAGTCCAGAGCAGGGCTGGGTGGCCCCTGCTTCTGGACACAGGAAAACGGACTCAGATTCAGACAGCCCTGGGTCATCTCTGACCCTCTTCTTCACCGCCACCTCCTCCCTCCTGTCTTCCTCCTCTCTGGGCACTCACGAGCTCAAGGAGTATGTGTGGTATACACATGAGATGTGCACACACACATCACACTGCACAGACCCCACAGGCCCCACACACATGCTGCATACACGCCGTGCAACCCACAGTCCTGAACATGCCCCCACACACAGGTCCCAGGTAACCCCCCACAGCCCTGCACATACAGGCTCCCCACACACACAGACCCCACACACACCCTGCACACACACACCCTGCACACACAGGCTCCCACACACACCCTGCACACACAGACCCCACACACAGACCCCACACACACCCTGCACACACACACCCTGCACACACACACCCTGCACACACACACCCTGCACACACAGGCTCCCACACACACCCTGCACACACAGACCCCACACACGGCCTGCACACACTCGCCCTGCACACACAGACCCCACACACACCCTGCACACACTCGCCCTGCACACACACACACAGACCCTGCACACACAGGCCCCGTACATGCCCTGCTTGCACACCCTCTCTGCAGCTCCCACAGCACCCCCGCATCCACAGTTTCCCACCCTGGCCTTGACGGGGAGGCTCCCAGCAGAGGGTGTCCATAGGGGCTGTAGGTAATGGACCCACCTTCTCTCCCGCATTACCTGGGGCTGCCCAAATCTGAGTTCACTTCCCTGCATCCAGAACCAGAGCCCCCGCCGCCAGCCCTACCGGGGATTCAGGTGAGTGGCCAAGAGCCTGGCTGGACTTCACGGGGTATCCAGCCGCGGCACAGGCAGTCAGGCCCGCCATGAAGTGGCACTTGGGGCAACCCGCAGAGCCCAGCCAAAGAAAGCACGTGTTTCGGTGAGAAGCGAGTGTGGTTGTTCTGCAGGGAAAGAAACCCTCCCGGGCGTGCAGAGCAGATGAGCTCACTGAACAATTCGGGGGTGATTTCAGCGCTAAACTAACCTGGGCTCTCTCCCACCCTCAGTGCCCCCCATCAGTCAGGAAAACAGGGCAGACAGACGCCCAAAGGGCTGGAAAGGGGAGACCCCCGCCCCTCGGAGAAAGACTTTGCACAACCAGGAGCCAAAGGGACCAGCCCGGCCCAGGCAGTCACTCTCAGGTCATGCTCTGCGGACGAGGACCCTCAGAGGGCATGGGAAGCTCTGGAGGCCAGGAGCAGGGACACTCAGGAAATGAGGTCCGGCCCTGGGACCCCCAGTGGGTTCAGGTCCCAAGGAAGCTTCCTTCTGGTCTGCAGAGCAGCAAGGGTAGAGAGGCAGTGGAGCAGGGGACAAGTGCTTAGTGACCTCACCATCCCTAAGTCACCTGATGGGAACGGCCCCAGGAGGGGAACATGCTGAGCCACGGCTTCCCGGACCCCTCAGTTCTGCATCCCAGCCTTTCCCTCCAGACTCTAGCCAAGCTCACAGCTGTTCAAGGACATGAGGAAAAGGGGTGAACTTGCCTGAACCCCTAAAACCCACAAAGTCGTCAGGAGGCCCCAGCAGGCAGGATCTGCCAAGGCCCATAGGGCCTCCTGCTCTGGACACTTGACTGGGGCTCCTGGAGCAAGGACTTTTGTGTTCTCCTGTCTGTGTCTTCCTTCCCAGTGACCAGATGGTTGACAAGATGACTGAGGTGCCCAGGGGGACCTCGGGGAGGCCCCTCCTACTTCAGAGCAGCCGATGCTCAGCACCCACCTGGCCAGCGGCCACATCACTCAGCAGCCATGGACCAAGATTCCCCGCCCTCTCTGAGCCAGCTCAGTGGTCAGTGTGTGCCAAGGGCTGAATGCAGGATCTCCAGCCTGACCCTTCCATGCAGAGGGGCCTCCTCCTGCAGGGATTCTAGAACCTTCCCCTGTGGGCACAGCTTACGCCTGCCACCTGCCCTGGATGGAAGAGGCACCAGGGGCCCTGATAGCCTCCTTCTGGAGCCCGCAGCTCAGGACCCTCCAAGAAGGATCGAGGACCCTGAGGGCAGTGGAGGAGAGGGCTGGACGGATGACCCCAGAGCCTCACCACACACAGTCACTGGTCCAGCCATCATGGGACCCAGAGAGGTCACCGGGGATATCCTCATGTGTGGAGAATATGCAAACAGCAAGAGAAAAACATTTTCTCTCATAAGGGGGCCCTTCCCCCAACACCTGGGAGGCTGCACAGGGAGCAGACGGCTCCCAGCCAGGAGAGTAAGTCCCCGGCTTCCGGCCATGCTGTCTCAGCTGGCCAGCTGCACAGCCTTCAGAGGGTCACCTGACGGCCACAGCCTGGCTTTGCTCCCTTGTGAAACAGAAACCACAATGCCGGCATCACAGGTTTGCAGCCAGGGCTACAAAACAGAGTGTGACACCATGTTCACTCACAGCACCACTCAACAGCAAAAGGTGGACACCACCCAAGTGTCCCAAGTGGAAGAACGGATCGGGTAACTGTGCCATGTGCATACAGCGGCATATCACCCAGCCCTAAAAAAGGAAGGAAACACTGATGCACGCTACAACATGGATGAACCTTGAGGACATCACGCTCGGCGACGCAAACCAGTCCTCAAAGGACAGATACTGTGTGATTCCACTTATCTGAGGTCCCTAGAATTAGAAGGCAGAAAGAACGGTGGGTGCCAGGGCCGCGGGGAGGGAGTGGATGTTTAATGGGGACAGAGTCTCAAGTTTTGCAGGATGAAAAGGGTCCTGGAGCTGGACGCTGGTGAAGGCTGAAGAACGCTGTGAATGTACTGAACGCCATGGAACTGGATTCATAAAAAGGATTGAGATGATATATTTGATACTATGGATGTTTTACCATCATTAAAATATATGCACTTTCCGTGTGTGTGTGCGCGTGTGTGCGTGTGTGTGCGCGTGTGTGCGTGTGCGTTTGCACGTGTGTCCGTGCATGTGTGTGCGAGTGTGTGCGCACGTGTGTGTGTGTGTGTGAACTTTGCTGTGCACATGCAAATGTTGTACAGATGCAGCTGCTTCATTGAAAGGCCAGGACCCGTGGAAAGGGCAGTCAGGAAGTAACCTTGTGTCCCCGGGCCTCCTGCCCACACCTGCCCTCCAGGGTCTCTTCTCCTTCTGGACAACAGATCAGGCAAAGCCAGGGCCATTCAGGCAGCAGCGGTTTGCACAAAGTCTCCTTTCCAGATGTCTCAAAGTCTGTCCAGTAGAAATCAGACCTCCCTGGCGCCCAGGAGTGTTTCTCTTCCCCCCGCTGGAGCCTCATGTCCTCCCCTGGGACCCCGGCTCCCCTGCCATGGGGTGGCCCCTGGTGTCCTCCAACAGTGGCAGGCAGACCTCTTGGGTGGGTTTTTAAGATGGCCCCAGTCTGGTCACCTCTGGGATGTGTTCTTACCCAAGGGAAAACGCGAACATCTGTGTCCTGCCACTCAGAAGTGCCTTTGGCTCCTAGGAACAGATTCATGCCCCACCTGCCAGCTCAGGCAGGCAGAGATGCCGCAGACTGGGGAGCTACAAAGGCATGGACACGGCGAGAAGCTCTCTCGAAGGACTCCCGGTGAGCCCACCTGTCCCAGTGGGCAACAATTCTTCCAACACACATTTCTTCCTGCCTCTCCTCTAGCCTGCAGGCTGGAGGCGGGTGATGGTGAAAGGAGGGAAGCCGCCTCTGCCCCCAGCATGTCCTGCGGATACGGGGTCCCTTTTCTCCGAGGGGCTCAGTGTCCACCACACCACCAGCTCTGGGCTTTGGCATAACTTCAAACATCAAGGGTGGCCAGGATGGGGCAGGAGCCTGGAGTCCCAGAGGGCAGCGGTTTCGGGGCACCCTGGGGCCTGGGACAGTGCCTGCGTGCAGTGGCCCTGGCTCAGCACTGGCTTATGGGCAGTTTGAGGATCAGGAGTTCACATAGGACTAAGGTACCTTCACCAACCCCACAGCTACAGTCAGAACCATGGCTGGCAGAATCACAGCCACCATAACCCACAAGGATGTGCACATCTTTGTCCCCAGCCTGTGAATGCATGACCTCATGTGGCAAAAGGCACTTTTCGGACAGGTTAAGTTGAGGATCTTGGGACAGAAGGTTATCCTGGATTATCTGAGTGGGCCCAATGTCATCAAGGAGTCCTCCCGCGGGGAAGAGAGAGAGACAGGCTGTGAAGACAATGGACTCAGAGAGAGAGGGTGCTGGGAGAGGCGGCGCGGCTGACGTTGAAGATGGAGGAGGGGCCCTGAGCCAAGGAATGCAGGTGGCTCTAGAAGCTGGAAAAGGCCAGGACACAGATTCTCCCCTGAGAGGAGCCAGCCCTGCAGACACCTTCATGCCAGGAGTCCTGCCCCCGGAGCTGTAAGAGAGGACACTTGTGCTGTTTCAAGCCCCTCAGGCTGTGGCAATCTGTGGCAACGGCAATGGGGAATGCAGGCAGTGGTGCGGATTCGTGCAGGTCACCCAGAGGTGCAGCGGCACCCAGCAGAAGCCATGCAGACGACTGTCTGTGCAACCCTGCTGCAGAGGGAGCCACACAGTGCCCGGGTGACCGCATTGCACATGAGCACGCGCAAACAGGGCCAGCCAGCACCAGGTCCAGGCGCATGCTTCCACATCCGAGTGCCAGCGTCCTCACGCGTCCCCAGGGCTGACACATTTGTTTTGAATTACTCTGGTAAGAAGGTAGGGGCTGTGGCATATTAATAGCAGCTCCCAATTGAGCCCATTTTAGCTAACACTGGAAAAAATGAGCTGCAGTAGCACAGGGCAGGCTTGCAGTAATCGTCTGACAGGCGTAAACCCCATTTGCCCGTCTGCAGACAGGCCTTGTCATCGCAAGCCACCATTTAGAAGACGTTATGTCAAGCGCCTCTCATTGACGATCATGTGCAAATGGTTTGCATCTTGTTAAAATCCAATCCTGGTTTGGATTTCTTTCTGCAACGCCCTTGATGAAGACAAGCTACGTCTGTTTTGTGTCAGCTGCTGTCTCTCTCCTGAAATCCGCTCCTTCTGCACCGAGTAACATTTCCCCCCAGACGCTGGCCGCTCTTTTGTGGGTTGGGCGCGTGAGGATCCCTGACTGCGCTGGGGAGCCAGCAGTGGGAGCCCGCCCAGACGGGAACAGGGGGCCGCCCCCAAGCAGAAGGCCGTGATCAAAGGGGCACACGTCTTCCCTTTGGTCTTAGGTGGTGAATTGGCTCTTGGAAGCCCCTGCCACGGAGAAGCCTCTGTTCCTTTGAAGTGTCAAGATGAGACGGCGCCCGGAGGATTTGTGTCAAAACGTGATCTAAGGAGATGTCACTCCTCGTGTCTCCAGTCAACACGTGGCTTTGTGATGGTTAAATTCAGAAGAACCTTATCACAGATAGAAGGCCTGCTTGGGGGGATTAGTAATCAGGCACACTCGGCCCTTTCGAAAAGCCTCTTTCTTCACTGGGACTCTCTTCCCCTTTGCTTGTATAAGCCTTTAAGAAGGGTACGCAAACAGCTGGAAGGCTGGTTCCCAGGTGACCGGGGTGCATCAGGCGGCACCCTGAGAGATGACTATGGGTGGGGCCTCCTGAGGGCTAGCAGCAGAAGCACCGCCCTTACGATGAATGCTGGGCCCCATCGCATTGTGAAGTAGTGGGTCTGCTGGCAAGGGAGGCATGCGAGCAAGGCTGGGTACCCACATGGCTCCTGCAAAGAGGGGTCTCCAGATGGGGTGGGCGGTGGCTGGAGGTCCTCAGCCCATCTGTGTTGGCTGATGTGTGCTGCCCTATCCTTGGCTGCCTTCCCAACTCTCAGGACCGAAAGGCATCATTGCTTTGAAAACAAGTGGTCCGTGGCTGAGAGCCATCCGTGCGTATCTTCCCTTTGGGTCTGTGCCATCGTCCTGCTTAATGTTGCAAATGGATGGCACAGATATTTAACCAGGTCACTGCAATCCCTACATCCTCATTCAGTGAGCTTCCAACTCAGAAGGCATCCCTGCTTTCAGAAATAACACTGAGAACTGTAAATGTCTGTCGTTTAAACCAAACACATGTCCTTGCTTTATGAAAGCCTAAGTAATTTGTGACCATTTTCTTCTGTTATCTCCAACCCAGGGTTTTATTTTGTTTTTGTTTGTTTTCATTAGCTTATTAGTTCATTTTCATGCTGCTGATAAAGACGTACCTGAGACTGGGAAGAAAAAGAGGTTTAATTGGACTTACAGTTCCACATGGCTGGGGAGGCCTCAGAATCATGGTGGGAGGCGAAAGGCACGTCTTACATGGTGGCAGCAAGAGAAAATGAGGAAGAAGCAAAAGCGGAAATCCCTGATAAACCCATCAGATTTCATGAGACTTATTCACTACCACGAGACTAGCAGGAAAGACCAGCCCCCATGATGCAATTACCTGCCCCTGGGTCCCTCCCATGACACGTGGGAATTAAGGGAGTACAATTGAAGATGAGATTTGGGTGGGGACACAGCCAAACCATATCAATTAGTCAAAGGACCAGGACAGAGGTTTTCAACCAGTCACCACTATAACCCCGTGGGTCTCCATGAGAGCTGAAGGGACCCATAATATGGGTAACACATGCCCCCATGGTGCCTATAGGGTCTGGAGCCCTGGGCTCATACACACACATGCAGGAGCTCCTGCACACACCTGGAAGATGAAGAAGAGACTGAGGGCCAGGAGGGGCCCCTGCTTTGATTTGCCCAGTGTGAGGCTGTACCAGAACTGGCCTCCAGCTCTGGGTCTGGGGTGCACTGGCCTCATGAGGGGTGCCCTGGAGGCCCCAGCAAAGAGAGCGGTGCTTTCCCAAGCAGCCACAGACAGGACAGGGACTGAGAATCCCAGCATCCACTTCTGGGTGGCAGCCAGCACCCTGCCCAGGGTCCATCTGGCATCTGGCAGGCCTGATAAACACCAGTGTCCTCCCCACTCAGGTGGCCCCAGAACAGCAGATGCCTTGGAGCATGGGCCTCGGCCTCAGGCACACCCACTCCAAGGCCCCAGCTGGCAGACCACGAGCAGAGTGGCCTTAGGGAGCCACTTGGTGGTCACCGGCCCCAGGTTCTCCAAGTGTAGACAGGGGCTATGGATTCCCCACTCTCAGGGAGGTTCAGAGGTGATGTTCAGAGGACACGGTGCCAGGTCTGAATGGGACGCGCATCTGCACCGGGTCCGAATGGGACACTCATCTCTGGCGGATGTGAGCTGTCGGCGGTGATGCCCAGCATCCCTCCCTCCCTCCCGCATGCTGCTCAAACAGGGTTTCCACCTGCACCCTCCTTTAAGTGTGGGCTGGACCGCCGCCCAGAGGCTGAGGGGCTCCTGGGCAAGAAACTACATGCAAGGCAGAAGGGGCCGCTCTGGAGCAGAGCTGGCCTCCAGCGCTTGTCCTTCCAGCCGCATCCTGCAGATGTGCTGACTGAGACAGGTGCCTGTCCCAGGGATAGACCGGCCCAGGTGAAGTCTCTGAATGGTGCTGGGGGCAGATCTTGATGGCAGAGAGGAACACAGAGAGCAGAGATTCATCCCCTGCATGGCCCTGTCCTCCTCATTGCCCACAACTCCTCTAGGAACTACTATGGTTGTTTCCGTCTCAGATCAAAAGCCCAGCATTCATACCGGGGCTGCGTGACCTGAGATCTCCTCCTC
This sequence comes from Homo sapiens, assembly GCF_000001405.40. NCBI lineage: Eukaryota > Metazoa > Chordata > Mammalia > Primates > Hominidae > Homo > Homo sapiens. The sequence goes on from NC_000002.12 coordinate 240,354,035, forward strand.
TGCTGCACCGTGGTCAGTGGCAGCCCCCGAAGAGCAGCTTCCCTAGGGCTCCCGCCCGGCCTGAGTCTGCCCTGGCCCCACTGCACACCCTGGCCACTTGGGCCTCCGTCTGCCAGGTCAGCCCTGCCACACACTGCATGGTGCTGTGAGTACCCTGTACTTCCCAGAAGCCCCAAGCACTGTCTTCCTTCTTCCCAGGGTCCTGAGAGGCCTTGGCACAGGGCAGAGGACACGTGGGGACTCTCTTGGATCACTGAGCTCTGCAGATGGGAATCCCCACCCTGAGGCTTTTGAGAGTGGAGAGAACTACTGCAAACCCCAGGACAGCTGAGTTCAGGTGGGAGACGGGCTATAACTTGGCTGAGTCCAGATGGAAGAGGGGCTATGACTCGGCCGAGTCCAGGTGGGAGAGGGGCTATGACTCGGCCGAGTCCAGGTGGGAGAGGGGCTATGACTCGGCCGAGTCCAGGTGGGAGAGGGGCTATGACTCGGCCGAGTCCAGGTGGGAGAGGGCCTATGACTCGGCCGAGTCCAGATGCGAGAGGGGCTATGACTCGGCCGAGTCCAGGTGGGAGAGGGGCTATGACTCGGCCGAGTCCAGGTGCGAGAGGGGCTATGACTCGGCCGAGTCCAGGTGGGAGAGGGGCTATGACTCGGCCGAGTCCAGGTGGGAGAGGGGCTATGACTCGGCCGAGTCCAGGTGGGAGAGGGGCTATGACTCGGCCGAGTCCAGGTGGGAGAGGGGCTATGACTCGGCCGAGTCCAGGTGGGAGAGGGGCTATGACTCGGCCGAGTCCAGGTGGGAGAGGGGCTATGACTCGGCCGAGTCCAGGTGGGAGAGGGGCTATGACTCGGCCGAGTCCAGGTGGGAGAGGGGCTATGACTCGGCCGAGTCCAGGTGGGAGAGGGGCTATGACTCGGCCGAGTCCAGGTGGGAGAGGGGCTATGACTCGGCCGAGTCCAGGTGGGAGAGGGGCTATGACTCGGCTGAGTCCAGGTGGGAGAGGGGCTATGACTCGGCCGAGTCCAGGTGGGAGAGGGGCTATGACTTGGCCCCTCATGCCCCTGGCTGCACTTGCTAAGGATGAGTCCATCATCCAAGCCACCATGCTGGATTCAAAAGGCATTCAGAACTGGGAGACCAGAAATTTCCATGCTGATTCAGAGGTCAAAGGTGAGACAATCTGGAAGAGCTGAGAGGGAGCCAGCAGCTGGTCTGGCACTAGGTATTGAGAAGTGATGCCAAAAAATGTCCGTGGACCTACTTTTGAATTCAGTAAAACATGGCAGAACATTCCGAGGCTTCCCTTGCAAGGGTAGCAGGCTCACTTTGAGAGAGGGCAATACCTGACTGGGCAGACCCAATGGCCCTGTCCCTTCCTCAACCTCAGAGGCCAGCTGCAGGGAGGCCATGCCTGCCTGTGTCCCCAGGGCTGGGGCCACCTGCCCGGCCAAGATCCCGCTCACTCTTCTCTCCGGAGAGGGCAGGCATCACATCCAGGGAGGCCCTCCCAGCCCAGAGGGCCATGCACACTCCACAGGTCCCCAGAGCAGCTGCAACCTCGAGGCCTCGTGCTCCCCGCCAGCCCTGCGTCCCCGGGGCTCAGCTCACCCTCAAGCAGAACAGCAGTGGCATCGGAATAATGTCAAAGGCGCCAGTGCTTCCTTCCTACACACCTACTATGCACCTGTCAGATCCCCATGAGCTCTGCAGAGACAAGCCCAGGAATTTACACCTCATGGCTGTCAGGGCAAGCAATGCTGCTCCACAGCTTAGCCCCAGGGACACCACAGAAGCCAGGAGGCTGACGTGAGAGCCGGTGTAAGTCTGAACACCCAGGGACAGTGAGACCAGCAACGCCTGGCTGGGCAGGGTGGGGGGTGGGGGAGGCCTGAGACAAAGCTGCCGCCCCACACGAACAGGGACAGCAGGAGGCCCTGGGACAAGACTGCCCAGGCCCAGGGGGTGACTCCCCGCACCCAGCACATTTCTCTTAACAGGTTCCCAGCAGGACCCCCGGCTGCACCCCATCCGGGTACCCATTTCCGGCCGTGGCAGCCGACACCCTCCTACCCCAGGGGAAAGTACATGGTCTGGCCGCTCCAGCCCCACAGTGCAGAGCTGACCCAGGAGGCAGGACAGGCACCGGATCATCAAAGCGGTGGAGAAGGCCCTGGGGATGTGGACTGAGGGCAAGAACCAGCCAGAAATGCCTGGTGGGGAAAACACAGACGTTGAGCCCGTGGGCCTGGCGGGTGGGTTTACGAAGGCAGCAACGTGCCTGGTGCGGTGGGGCAGGTGGAGGAGTCCCGTGAAGGTGTGCGGTGAGGCAGAGGTGTGAGTCGGAGCAGGTGTGGGAAGGGTGTGAAGAGGGTACTAGAAGCAGAGGTGCCCCAATGCGGGGCCAGAGTCACAGGGACAGAGAAAAGTCAAAAGGATCAAATATTTCCAAAGCAAGTTAATGAGAAAATCTTCCGGTTAAAAGCAGGGATGAGCCCTCCTACAGCAAAGGGCACAGGGAGAGGCAGCCAGGTGGCACACACACCTCCTGGAGAAACTCGGGGACCTCCCAGGGTAAGACAGGAGTCTGGAGGGTCAGGACACATCACTGGCCTCTGAGTACCAGCGTGAGATTCATCACCTTGCCCCACCGAATTCCAAGAGCCAGCAAAAAAGCAAAGCAATGGTTCAGAGCATTGAGGGACATGAACTTTAGACCTGGCATTTCAAGTCCTCCAAGCTAGGCTCCAATATGGGAGTGGATGGCTTCCCAGACTCGGATGTCCCGATCTGTGTCCGAGAGGCACTGGAGATAAACAGGGTCGGCAGGAGGGGACGGGCGCTGCTGCGGTGGCAGGAGGAGAATGCATCAGGAAAGTGCTTAGGACAGCCGAGAGTGTGTGGGATAACCTGGGATGAAAGCCACAGGGGCTACCAGCACAGGGCTGCTGAGGAAAGAGGGGTGCTGCCTCTTCCCTTCATCGGGCACCCAGGGCAAGCCCCACACTTTAAGAGGATGCCGAGCTTCTCTGGTCATTTTTAAAATTAAATTGAAGCAACACAAGAAGTCTTCTGTCCCCTAACCCCAGGAACAGCGCGATCGAAGCCTTGGCAAGTGGCATGGGCGGGGAGGCCCCACGGGGAGCCTCGCCCGAGGGCACAGGGTTCCTCAGTGTGCCTCCCTGGGAAGGCAAGGGAACAACAGACATGGAAGGCGCCCACAGGGCACAGACTGTTGCCATGAAATCCCATGGTTAGGAATCCATTGCAAGCAAATCATCTAAGTGGGGAAGGGCAGGGGTCCCAGAGTGCCCTCGGCCCTCCGTTTGCACAGGGAGATGGGAGGACCTGCCAAGGGCAGCAGTGATGGGGAGGACACCCCAATGCATTGCTTGAGGGGAGGCCTGGCCTGAGGCCACCTGGACGCCTGTGCTGCCTCTGCGTGGCATCTGGGGACACCGAGCGGAGAAGGGCTGACCCCACACGTGGAGGCAGAGGGATGAGGCTCAGGCAATGGCCACTGCCTCCCTTGGATGTTTCTGTATTTTCTGTGTTTAAAGTCAGCAAGTATCACTTTTATAAACGAAAAAATGCCCTTCCTATGAAAGAAAGAAAGAAAGAAAGAGAGAGAGAAGGAAGGAAGGGAGGGAGGGAGGGAAAGAGAAAGAAAAAGAAAGAAAGAGGAAAGAGAGAGAGAAAGAAAGAAAGAAGAAAGAGAGAGAGAAAGACAGAAAGAAAAAGAAAGAAGAAAGAAAGAAAGAAAGAAAGAAAGAAAGAGAAGGAAAGAAAGAAAGAAGGAAAGAAAGAAAAATAAAATGTTTAAAATGGCTCTGAGGGTGTTCCTAGTCACTTTGGCAATGGCGTTAACAAGAGCTAGGACAGGCGCTGAATCATCAAAGCGATGGGGAAGGCCCTGGAGATGCTGGTGGGCAAGAACCAACCAGAAATGCCTAGTGGGGAAAATGCAGTCGTCAAGCCCGGGGGGCTTACCTGGGACAACCTGAGATTAAAGCCATATTCGAACACCATGCCAGCCTGGTGGCCGTAGCCTCTGCCCTCTGACCCCTGTCTCCTGGGTATTGTGGTGCTGCTCCCTCTCCCCTCTCCGAGTGGCCCCTCTCTGCCAGCTGTGTGCAGCTTCTCCAGCGCCCCAGGGGCCAGGCCCAGGCAGGGAACACACCTGCTGCTTCATGAAGCATGGAGGACATGGGGAACCAGCATGGGGCTGGACCCTGCAGGGGCTTCAAGGTCCTGAATTGCCAGCCAGCTCCCACAGGCTCACAAAGGGGCCGGCACTGATAAGCACCTAGGGGAGGAGCTGGCGGAGAGGTGGGCTGGGCCCCTCAGCAGGGCTGGCTTCACCCCCACAGAGCTCCCACGAGGATCCCTCGCCATCCCCTCCTCACCAGGCTCCAGCCCTGCCTAGACGGAGCCTCCCTGTCCCTCCCTAGTCCTGAACACCCTTACCCACTTCTTCAGCTCCGGATAACTCAGCAGCCAACGTCTCTAGGAAGCCCTTCTAAGCCTCCCAAGGAGGGCCGGGGTCATCTGGGGCTGGCGCAGGAGAACGGAGACGGGACTGGACCGGGTTTGGGCAGGGTGAGGAGGAGCTGGAGGAGAGGGCCACAGGTGGTCCTGGGGTCCTCTGGGGTGGTGGCTGGTTGGATCGATTTGAGCTGTGGGGACCTCACATTAGGCATTAGGGAAAGAGAAATGCGTGTGATCTGGGCAATGACCCCCGACCCCTCGGGAAGGTTCCAGGCAGCTGCTGCTCTCCTGAGACTCCACTGACGCAGCTCAGCCTCTTCACTCCCTACTCAGCTCACCCTCAGAAGCCTCCGCTGCCTGCTGGGCATGCAGACCCCTCCTCAGCCCCTCCGGGACCCTCCCCACACCACACCCTGAGTAGGATGGGGTCGTGAACGGCCCCAGCACCAGGAGCGACCCACACCCCTGCAGAGTCCAGCAGCCACTCGGCCGCCTCTTCCTGGTTCTCTTGGTGGTGCACCCAGTAGGAGGGTGAGAGGGTGGGGGTTTGGCTGACAGATTCATGAGCGACAAGGGGATCACCTGAAGTACACCCCACCCACTGCATGCCGCCCTCATGCCACCAGGCCCAGACAAGCCCAGGGACACTCCTGCTCCTCACCCTCAAGGGAGAGGCTCTCCCCCTGGCCCTGAGCAGGGGTGGCGCCCAGATCCTGGCACCCAAGAGTTCTTTGGTTCCCCCAATGGAGGGATGCTTCCTCAGGCAGGGCTGACGCCCTTGGATAGGGCTGACCCCTTAGGGTGGAGCTGAACCCCTAGGGCAGGGCTGAGCCTCCTTGAGCAGCGATGAACCCCTAGGGTAGGGCTGACTCCCTTGGATTGGTTGATGGGCCTCAGTGCCTGCTCTCCCCTCAAACCAACCCCCACCCATCTTTCTCTCATTACCAAATCCAAGGGTGGGGTGGGGCAGGGAGAGCCCTAGGCTCAAGACAGTGGGTCTCAGGGGACTGAGGATCAGAAACAGAGAAATTCACACCCACCAGCCACCTGCCCTCCCCTCCGGGCCTGGCACAAGGGACAGGGACGTGGGTCCCTGGCGGGACAAGGAGGTGTCCCCTGCCCTCCCCTCTGGGCCTGGCAGAGGGGACAGTGAGGTGGGTCCCTGATGGGACAAGGAGGTGTCCCTGCCCTCCCCTCTGGGCCTGGCAGAGGGGACAGGGACGTGGGTCCCTGGTGGGACAAGGAGGTGTCCACCTGCTCTCTCCTCTGGGCCTGGCACAGGGGAACAGGGATGTGGGCCCCTGATGCAACAAGGAGGAGTCCTGGAGTGGCCAGGGCCACACTCCCTGTTTGGGGGTCCTGCAGTGAAGTGGGTTCCAGGGCAGTGCTGCCCCTGCCTTTGACACACTCCAGGCTGTCCCAGGAGCCTGGGTGCCCTTGAGACCTGGTATGAAGGGTCCCATGGAGAGCCCTGGATCTGTCACACAGGACAAGCGGGAGCCCAATCAGAGGCTGGGAGCACCCCTCCAGGAGAAGGCTTGGGCAGGGGTCTTCGGCATCTGCTGAGGGCCCTGAGTGTTCACAGGCTTCTCAACCACACAAGGAGCAGAGGGATGGGGCTGCTCATTCTTTTACATTCTGATTAGAAAGCACGTAGTAGCCCACAGAGTGGCTGATGAAATGCTGGTTCCCCCTTAAACACGTATTGATTTCTGAAACTGTATGTGAGGTCCAGGGACCTAGGCCAAGGGTATCTAAAAGGGGCAGTGAACCACTTCATGCTACTTAGAGATGAATCCTCTCTAGATAGCATGAGGCAGCATCAGGAGGAGCTGGCATCCTCCACCACCCCACTTTGGACAGATTTTTCTAAGCCACCAGAACTTGAGACTAAAGACCTAGGCTCAAACCCTCAAAGGAAAGATCTCAATCTCTTTACAGTATCTCAGGGATGAGGAGAGGACCCAGCAGGCTCTCAGTCAAACCCCAGAGAGACATGCTTAAGAAACAGGGAAGGACAGAGGCAGACTGAGTCTCATCAAAGACACCACTTGACTGGGACTCAGCTCCATTCCCAGCTAGGTTTATATGATAATCCTCTCACCCTATTCCCCTCACAGGAAAACACAAAAGATGATGCCATCTAGAGTCTCTATAATTCCTTTATACAGAGAGTTTGGCATAAAGGAGGTAAAGAAGCAGGAAAATGCAAACAATGATCTAGAAGAAAAAGGTCAATAGAAGTAGACCCACAGATGATTGATTCCAAAGTTGGCAGTGGCAGAGACAAGCACTTCAAAATAAGTGTGACTCATATGTCAGAGAAATGAGAGGAAAAGATAGGCAAAGCTGAAAATAGAAAATTACAGCAGAACATTGGAATCTGTGAAAAGTCATCAAATAATACTGAAAAACATTATTTTTGGAATTAAGAACCTATTGGATGTATTTAATAGATGTTTGAACACAGCAGATCACAGAATTATTGCACTTGAATCAGATCAATTGAAAACATCCAAGATGAAACACAGAGAAAAGAAATCATTTTTAAAGAAAAGGAAACATAAAAGGAAAGCAGAACGCAGCAGAAGAGATGCATGGGACCCGGTAACAGGGCATCTGAAGGCGCCCTCCACGGTGGACCAGGCTGTTCTGCTACAAGACCGTGGTGAGACAAACGCAGGGCAGTTGTGTAAACACACAGGAACCTTTACATCAGTTTGACAGAATACTTTCATGTCTGTTCAGTCTGGGAATCGGACCTAATATACATGTAACTGGAACCTCGGAAAGAGAAGAGAGAGAAGGAGGGAGAAGCAACATTGAAAGAGGTGATGGCTGAGAATTTCTTAGAACTGATGAAGACCTCAGCAGGGATTCAGGAAGCTCAACAAACCCAAGGAGAATGGAGAAGGGTGGGAGCAGGAAGCAAATGGGCAGGGGAGCCTCTCGGCCTCTGGGCCCTGCGGGGTAGTTGTTCAGCAAGCAGCCACACTCAGGGCTTCTTCCTCCTGCCCGAGCCTCTGCCCACTTCTGAGAGGGGCATTCCAGGGGCTGGTGGGATCTGCTGATCTATGATTAGGATTCCAGCACTATCACCAAAAGGAGGATACCAGAAGGAAGAAGAGACAAACTTTTCCCACAGTTGAGGAAACCCCATTCCAGACATCAACCCACCCCCATAGTGACCTGGTTGTACAGAACTCCGCACGCTCGCAGAAACATCACTGACCCCAGAGGCAGCAGAGACTGAAGGACAATGGGCTTTGTTGGACAACCCAGATATCCCTGCACAGGCAGGGTGTACACAACTACACCAGCAGCCGAGAATGTCTGCAGGGCCCAGAGATGTGTGCAGGCCCAGTGGAGCAGGTGCCGGGAGGCTGAGGGTGGCGAAGATGGGGGGAGGAAGTCGACATCACCATGCATGGAGATGTGGGCCTCGCTGCTGCAAGGGTAGGGCGGGGAGGCCCACAGGCTTCGAAAGTGCTCCCTGTGGGAACTAGCACCCAAGAGACGGATGTGTGTGGGTGTTCACCTGTATGGGTGTCTGTGTGACTGTGTGTGTGTGTTCATCTGTGTGTGTGACTGTGTGTTTGTGTGTGCATTTGTGTGTTCATCTGTGTGTATGCTGTGTGATATCCTTGGGCCAATCAGGAAAATTAATCAGGCAAAGCTTACCTTTCTGAAATAATGCTATTCATTTACACACTTACACATTCATTTCCTTGTTTGTTGTATTGACTTCTCCATAAGGAAGTGAGCCCTAAGAGAACAGAGACCTTGGGCATCCTATTCATGGGGTGGCCCCACACCTGGAGGAGCGCCAGGTCATCTCTGCAATGGGCACACGTGTGTGGACACCCCCGGAGGGTCACACCTGTGTCCTGACATCCATCCACGTGGTCTGGGACCTGCCGCTCACGTTCCCCAGGGCCTTGTTGCACAGAGTAACTCGCCCTCGAGGAAGTGCCCTGTGGAGGACAGGAGGTGCTGGAGAGGTCCCTGTGGAGGACAGGAGGTGCTGGAGAGGCCCCTGTGAAGGACAGGAGGTGCTGGAGAGGCCAGTCCCTGTGGAGGACAGGAGGTGCTGGAGAGGCCAATCCCTGCAGAGAAGCGGGGGTTTCTGAGAGGTGGGTGCATTGGTGTCTGGATGACGGAAGACAGCTCCAGAGGGCCTCACACCAGGCAGGAGGGAGATTAGGAACCCAGGGAGTCCAGGAAGGAGCACCCACAGAGGCTGAGTGTCTGGGTGCTCTTCCTGGAATAAGGAAGGAGTCACACAATGCAGGCAGCTTTAACCCTGCCCCCTCCTGCTCTGCAATCCCCTTGGGTTCTCACCCCCACGCTACTGGGGGTTTCCGACCACCTGCCCAGCCCTGGGAAGCCGTGTTGTGCACAGAGAGGCCGGTCAGGACCCGAGGCTGTGTCCGCCCACATCCATGGGGCGAGGGAGTGTCGTGGGGCAGTGCCAGCTCCCTACCAAGGGTGGCTGTGCCTGTGATGCCAGAGCCAGCTGCCATGTGATGGCTCAGGCAGGTGAGAGCTGAGCCTGGTGGCTGGAGGCCGAGGTGAAAGCTGAGGGTCTCAGGAACGCACAGGCTGCTGGTCCCCAGGGCCAGGGGCTGCAGCACGAAGCAAGTCTGGGCTCCTCTGGCTCTGGTGGCAAAGTCACAGGAAACCCTGGACAGCCCAGCTGCGGGCGAGCAGGAGGGCGTTTGCCCCTCAACAGTCCAAACAAAATGTTTTCCCAAAAGCCAGCCAGGAGTGGAGGCTTGGAGGTTGGACTGCGTCTGGGAGTGGCACTGCTGCTGCTGCCAGCAACGGGGTCCCGCTAAGCCAGGCACACTCCTGCCTCTGGGTGTGGGGGTAGGAGAGGCAAAGAGCCCCTCAGTGGCCCTGCTCCCCACCCCCCACCTTCTCCCAGGCTGGGGCACGCATCACAGGTCAATGACACATCGGGATCAGGAATTAGAAGCAATTCGGGTGCAAAGGGACCCTGGCGTGTCTGGCCCCATCCTTGGCAGTTGAGACGGTCATGGTACGGAGGGGGCACCTTGACCAAGGTCACAGCGGACGCAGACCACAGAGCCTGGGAGCACGAGCTCCTGGCCCACACAGCGCTCCCACGGCACTGCCCCCTGAGTTTCTCTTTCTGTGTAAACTTGGGGCTTAGAAGTAATTGGAAATTGATTTTCTTTTACTTTGTGGTCCTTGGATTTAAAAGGATATAGTTTCAGGTTATAGCTGGATCTCCCCGGCCAGCCACATCTCCCCAAGGACAGCAGCTGCACCTCGGACCCATCCCCCGCCTGCCTGTCCCCGGCAAAGAGCTGGACGCCCAGCATGTCCTCACCAGCACAGTCATTTGAGTTCCCAAACCCCACGTCCCTCATGGATGCTTATCGTGGAAAATCTTCCTGGCTGGCTCCCACCGCTTTTAGAAAAGAAACCATAAATATTAGCTGGGAATTTGAGGTCCAGCCCCACCTCCTCCACACCAGCACATCAAATGTAATAATTCAGGCGGACGCCCAGCACCTGGCGGGCAGATGAGAAGGTTTCGGCTCACAGGAGCTCCCGCACCACTGATGCTGCTCCAGCAGTGTCCTGCTGCTAGACCGCCCTCCCCCATGTCAAAGCGAAACGTGCTCCTGAGCTTTCCACCGCGATGCTTCCTAACCCAGATCCTTCCACCTGGAATGCCCTTGCTCTCCATCCTCCACTGGCCCGGCTGAGATTCTGCCATGGAACGGGGGCATCACACCAACCACTGCAGGCTGGGCAACCCCTCCCTGCTCGGCTCATGGAACCCTCACAGTAGGTGAGGTGAGAATGCCCCAGGTGCAAAGGGGAAGTGGGCCCAGAGAGGCTGAGCGACTCTGCAAACCTTGCACAGCGTCAGGCGTATCCTTGCTCTGCTCTGTCAGCTTTCAGAGACCTTGCTGATAACCTCAGCCGGACTTGAGTCTCCACCCACAGCCGGCCCGGCCCAGGCTCAGAACCTCCAAGCCCCCAGGCACCCCAAGAATGCCATTCCCCTCAGCCGTGTGCAACATGCTCATGGAGGCCTGGCAGCTGCAGGGGCTGGGGGTACTGGGGCATCACTGTTCATGAATCCGGAAGACAGAGTAGGCATGAAGCTCCCGAGCCGGCCTGTGCCAGCCCCCACACCCCCCTTCAGCCACCCCTCTGGGCGCCTCCCGCTTGGCTGGCAAAGCAAAGCCAGGAGCCCTGCAGCAAGCTGGCCTGCGGTCGAAACAGAACCACCTCGCCGCTCTCTGGAGGCTCCTGGGCTCGCCAGCCTGGTGGTGGGTAATTGGGTAGGACTCGGCCGCCAGTGAGGCTGGAGGAGATGAAGCAGAAATCCCCAGCCCCCACACCCAGCCCCGCACTCCCGCGCTGCTGCCTTGGGGCGGAGGGCCAAATCTCACTACAAGCACACCACGGGCGTCCCTTCTTTGTAGGGGATCAAAGAGAACCCCAATCTACTCTCTGCACCTTCACCACCAAAAGTCAGCCAGAGGCGACTTGCCCTCACAGGCCCTTGCCAGGCCCTCCCCAGCCCTCACTACATTCTCCCAGGGAACTGGGAACACCTTATTTGGGAAAACGGGAAAAGAGGAGTCCAGCCCCCTGAAAATGGGCCCAGGCCACTTCCTAAGACCCATGGCCCATGGCCTTTGTCCCCAAGCAGGCCTGAGCCCCGGCACCTCTGCTTCCCCACATGGGAGACAGTGCGGCTCTGCCCACCTCGCCTCTGCCCACCTCCCCTGGTCAGGAGCCCCAACCTGAAGGGAAACTGCGTCCTGCCCTGCCCCCTCCTGCTGTGTGTACCCCACACAGCATCCTGGGGTGGGCCTGGCGGGCCCCTCCTCAGCTCCCAGACACTGCACACGGATGTCTGGGCCGGGCGGAAGCTCCGGAGTGGCTCTGAGGAAGGCCTGGGGGCAGCGGCGTCTCTGGGCTCCACCAGCAGGATCTGGGGCACCATCCACAGCCCAACTTTATGGCTGCAGGCCCGTGGCCCCGCCTGGCCCAAGCATAAAGGAGGCACTCTCGGCTGCGCTCCCGCCGCTCCGCCCTGTGGCTTGGACGCCTCGAGACTGCACAGTCTTGGGGCCCGCTTGCTCCCTCCTCAGTGCTGAGCCTCGCAGGGCGGGCTTGGGGGCTAGAGGGGCCCTCGCAGGGCCTTGACCAAGCTTGGGCGAGATGGCCCTTCCCCGTGGGCACCCACCCCTCTCCTGGAGCAAAGCTGAACGTGGCCTGGGGGCCAATGCTAAGCCCAGGTCTCTTGAGTGTTATTTGGAAACTGAACCTGGTTTTGGTCTCTTACAGGCTAATCTGAGCCCTAAAAAGCACAGAAACTTGGGGAGCCTCTCTCCTGTCATCCAAGACGCCACCTCCATGAGGCCCAGCGGCACTGACCACAGGCCCGAGGACACCCTGTCACCTCTGACCACAACTTGGAGCCCAGACACTCCCACCAGGAGGTGGCCCCCAGCCAGAGAGCTGCTCCCCGGGCTCCCTTCATGCTCCCTGACCCCCAGGACCTAGAGACCCTCCTGACCTCAGCCTCCCACCCTCGCCATACCCTGGGCCCCCACCACGGGCTGACAAGGAGGTACCAAACAGCAGCCAAGCCAGAAGATGGCCAGCCTGCCCTCCCCAGCACTACCCTCCCCGGCCAGGCAGCACGTGCCCAGCAAGCTGAGCCATGTGGTCCTGGCAGCATGACCAGGGGGCCTGTCTCCTTCCTGAACTCAGAGGCAGAGCCTGCAGCAGGAAGCAGAGGCTCCCAGAAACCTGACATTCCAGTGACAGCCGGGATCACCAGGGCAGGACGGCTCCCCAACCCAGGCTCGTCCTGGGGGAAGTCGGGGGTATCCAGCCAGCAGCCTCTGCCCTGTGGGGACAGGACATCTCTGGTGAGAGATTTTCCTCATCTTCCTGTAGGGTGTTTCTTCTCCTCCCCAAGGCCAAGGTGGGTTCTGGGGACCCCTGGGCTCTGCCAGTGCAGGCTGCAAACCTGAACGTCCTGGGCTTGGGGCTTGGAGCACGGAGGACAGAGTGCTGGTGTCAATGTCGGGCAGGGGAAGACCCTGGAGAGCCTGGGTTGGCCTTCAGGGACACCCCCACCCAGAGGCCGCAGGGATCATCTGGAAGGCTAGCTGACACTCCATGGAGAGGGACCAGGCAGTGACGGGAGCCCTGGCAGGACTGAAGGAGACTTTGTCGGCAGAGGGGCCTGGGGAGAGTGAAGACCACCACCCGTTTCCCACACACAGCCGTCCAGAGGGGCTGAGCCTTGAAGAGGGGGGAGCGGGGATGTCTTGAGGCCAGAAACCACCCCAGCATGCACGCACATGCACCTGCATACATGCACACGCACATGCACACATGAATGCACGCACAAATGCACACACGCACATGCACACGTGAATACACACACGTGAACGCACACACGAATATACACATGCACATGCACACAATGTGAATGCACACACGAATACACACATGCACATGCAAATGCACACACACGAATGCACACACGCACATGCACATGCAAATGCACACACACGAAGGCACACGCACATGCACACACGAATACACACATGTGAACGCACACGCGAATGCACACACGCACACATGCAAATGCACACACGCAAATGCACACACATGAAGGCACACAAGCACATGCAAATGCACACACACACGAATGCACATGCACATGCACACATAAATGCACACACAAGCACACTCCCCAGCAGTGGGGATGCTGCTCTCCCTGTGCTGCAAGGAGGGAAAGCGATGGGTGTTTTGCGGGACTGGAAGTGAAGCGTTAATGTTGGCTGGATGTTCAATCACCCAAAAGGCCCAAAAGCCTCAGCCCTGGCCCAGCTGCCATGCAAGGCCAAGAAGAGGGGACTCAGCTGAGCAGGGGTGAAGGGAGGGGTTGGGGGGCACATTTAACCCCAGCCCTAAGTCAGGGCTCCTCCATGAACCCAGAGAGTCCACACAGGAGGATGAAGACACCGTGCGCTGTGCCTCAGACGGGGCCATCTCCCAGGTTTCTCTACCTGGCCCAGGCATCCTTTTGGTCACAGCCCCTGACATCTGCTGTGGGGCACAATCAACCCTCAAGGGGGGCTCAGGGCTTCCCCTCCTGAGAGGGTTGGGGTGATGCAGCCCAGCAGAGAACCCATGGGAGGCTCCCACTGCTTTCCACTGCGGAGCCCCACACCGGCTTGGCTCCTCCCTCTCCACGGGCATCCGGCCTGGGTCCCGCGGACGCCTCTTCTTACGCAGGGAGGGGAGTCCCTTGCTGTTTCTGCAGCCAGAGGATCCTGCTGGGCACGGGTGCTGCACGAGGCTCCTTGCTAGAGTGGAGAGCCACCGCTGTGTCCCCATGCCTCCCTAGAAACATGGGTGTGGCCGCACCTGGAGGCCCAGCTGGAAGGGGCCCAGCTGGGCACAGCCCCTACAAGCTGCTCGGGGGCCTGAGTGGGACTGAGACTGTGTGGACCTCCGGCCACCAACTCCCAGAGCCACCCCTAGGCTGGACCTCAGGGGTTGGCTGTTACGGAGGTGTGATGGTCGAAATCAGGAGTTGTCCAACCTTTTGGCTTCCCTGGGCTTGGACCACATTAGAAGAAGAATTGTCTTGGGCCACACATAAAATACACTAACACTAACGATGGCTGACGAGCTAAAGCAAACAAAAAAAATCACGAAACAACTCATAATGTTTTAAGAAAGTTTATGAATTTGTGTTGGGTCGAATTCAAAACCACCCTGGGCCACATGGGGCCCACGGGCCTCGGGTTGGACAAGCTTGATCTAAATATGTGTGTTCCCCCAAAATGCACATGTTGACCTGTCCCCCAGTGCAGTAATATTCAGAGGTGAGGCCTTTAGGAGGTGATTAGGTTGTGAGAGTGGAGGCCCGTGAATGGGACTGGTGCCCTTAGAAAAGAGGCCGCCCCTTCCACAGAGGGAGCACCCAGCGAGAAGGCACTGTCTATGGAAAGCGGCCCTCACCAGACACAGTCTTCCAGCACCTTCATCTTGGACTTCGCGACTTCCAAACTGTGAGAGATACATTTCTCTTGTTTCTACACCACCAGGTCTATGGTAATTTTGTTATACCAAGACAAACAGCCAAGACAGGCAGAGCCTGGAGGGGTGGGGTGAGCTCAGGGGTGCCCAGGGCAGAGCCTGGGGACAGAGTAAGCTCAGGGGCACCCAGGGCAGAGCCTGGGGGCACGAGAGGACAGGCCTGTTTCCCCTGCAGCGAGCATTCTCTGTCCCCCACTGCATTGCACAACAGGCTGGGCACAGGCAACCCTGGCTGCTCTCTGGCTCCGTGCCTGGCAAGGCCCATCACCTTGTGCCCAGGGTCAGGCCACTCCACGGGCAGAGTCTGAGCTGCTCTCAGCATTGTCTTGGGGCCAACTCCTGGTGTCAGGTGTCTCCCGGACCTAGGCTGGAACGTGGGGCCACTCAGGCGTCTCTGACAGGTAGGATCCAGGCACAGGTGGCTCACGATTGATCGACCGTGTGGGGGTTAAATGTCTCCCTAATAAGCCCTCCCACACCTCCTTTCCAGCAGCTGCTAAATGCCCTCAGGGCACCTCATCTGCACAAATTAAAGTCTCCTGACCCTTGTCTGTGCAACCAAACTTCCTGAAGGCAGCTTCTGTCTCGTGTCTGCTCAGAACACCACAGCGGGTCCCACCGCCGTGATGCTAAGAGTCATCTGACCTGTCCCCACCTGCCCTTCCTGCTTCACCTGCCCCACCCACGCTTGCATCCCCCATTCACCTGGTCCTGAAGCTGGGAACCCACCTCCCTACACTCAGCCCAACAAAGAGCAGCCATCCCCAAGCCCTGAGTGACTATGGCCCCCCCACCCGCCCCCCCACCCACATCTGGTTCTGCAGAGAGCTGCATGCCTCCAGGTCAGGGCTGCCTGCTCCAAGGTCACCGGTACCCAGTCCAAGGTCGGGGGCATCCTATCTAAGGTCGGGGGACCACATGCCTGCAGGTCAGGGCTGCCTGCACCAAGGTCAGGGCTGCCTGTTTGAAGTTGGAACCAGACCTGATTTACCAACACTGTGCCCAGTCAGGGCCTGGACACAGCAGGTTTTAATATCTGTCCAAGGAATGAAGGCAGAAGTAAAGGAAGCCTTCTCCATTCTTTCAGCAGCCTTGGACGTACACTGGGCAGGGCGAGGGACACTGGGCATGCTTTTCTGAGCAGCAAGGACTGGAGTCCCCGACCAACAACCTCAGGGACCAGCCTCAGGGCATGGGAGGACTTGAGGGAGGAGGACCCTGGGAAAACCTTCCAGAGCCCTCTCTGCCAGAGAGAGGTGTGCCTTGCCCAAGATCACTTATCCTGGAGGGACACGAGCTGACACAGACACGGCCCAGGACAACCCTGGCAGCCTCTCGCCTCCTGGACTCCCTGAGTCTCCAGCTTTGCCGTGATGCCAGGGTCCCGGTCCAAGGCCAGCCTCCTCTCAGCCAGGCAGCCCACCCCAGCCCAGCCAGGACCAGCTGTGTCTGGGGGAGGAGGGTGGCCCTGCGGTGGGGGCTGTGGGGAAGGGGCAGATGTATGACAAGAGGGGCATTGTCCACACTCCTGACCAGACTTCCAGGAGCTCCAGGGGCGGGAGCAGCAAGGCAGGCTCTGAGCTGCAGGATCCAAAAATAGCCTGGGGTGCGGCCAGTGGCCAGGGTTGGGCAGCTGACTTCACGCCACAAGCATCCCGGGAAGGCTCAGCTGTCTGTGGCCGCACCTGCTGGGCCTCTACCCGGAATGCTGCCCTCAGCGGGATGGGCCTGTAACGGGCCCCTGGGCCACCCACATGCAGAAAGCCCAGCTCCTCCTGAGGCCCCAGAAGCACCCTCGGGTGCCTGGAGGCTGCTGTGTTTCTCGCCCTGACTTGTCCATGGACCCTGGGACAGCCACGGCCCTCACCAGGCCTGGGCCACTTTGCAAGCTGTGGGGGGTGCTGTCTCCCCATTGAGAGTCCCTGGAGATTTGCCCCACGGGTTGGGGAATGACAGCATGACCCCCACCTACACAAGGCAGAGACCCTTGTTCTCCTGGAGTCAGTGGCCCTGTGGGCCCCAACGCTGGGCTCGGGAGAGATTCGCCACATCCAATTGAAAAATGAAGTGGGTGAGCCAGGCACAGTGGCTCATGCCTATAATCCCAGCACTTTGAGAGGCCGAGGCGGGCAGGTCACTTGTGGTCAGAAGTTTGAGACCAGCCTGGCCAACACGGTGAAACCCCTTCTCTGCCAAAAACACAAAAATCAGCCGGGCGTGGTGGTGTGTGCCTGTAATCCCAGCTACTCAGGAGGCTGAGGCAGGAGAAGAGATTGAACCCGGGAGGCAGAGGTTGCCGAGATCGCACCACTGCACTCCAGCCTGGGCGACAGAGTGAGAGCCTGTCTCAAAAAAAGAAAAATGAAGTGGGTGACAACGTTTCATTTCATTCCTGATGCAATTCACGTTTCCTCCGCAAAGGCTTCAGGGCCACGTGGACCATCCACAGGACCCTGGGTATTCCCTGCAGCCCCCAAGCCCCGCCATGGCTGACAGAGGGTGAGGGGCTTGCCCTGGAAGGGTTGGAGCTGGGGACAAGCATCTTCTGGGACCCGGCATCAGAAACAGCTCTTAAGGGACAGACAGTAAATTCCTGCAGCTCAGCCAAATGCTGTGGGGGACATGACCAGAGGAAGGCGGTTCCACACCAGGGAGGGCCTCTGGGAGGCCATGGCCTTTCCAGGGACGAGAAGCAGGCAAGGAAGCCTTGTGTACCAGGGGAGGTGCTCCCGACAGGCTAGCAGCAGAGGCAAAGGCCCAGGGCAGCAGCGGTCAGCTTGGGGTCCGAGGACAGCTAGGACATTGGTGTGGCTGCCGCTGAGGGAACCAGACAGAGGATGGCCACACGTGGGGACCCTGAATCTTATTCTGATGTCAAGCCGGTCAGGGTGTGAGCAGAGACAGGCGCTCCCTTCCCTTGCTTGGGATCCAGCCTTCCCCTGGAAGGGGCCCTGCAGGCTGCCGAGGGGCAGGGAGGAGGCAGAGGCAGATACAGAGGCTGACGCAGAGGCATAGCACTGCTGGCCTTGAGTGGCGGGTGCCCCGGGGCTCTGGGATCCATCCTGTTGGGGATACAATGAAGCCACAGCAGGCCAATGAGTTGAAGGACAGGAGTCAGGAGAGCAGTGAGGGCGAGGTGGGCTCGGGTGTGGCGGGCCCTGGACAGCTGGCCACTGTTTCTGGGACTTTGGATGGTGGCGTGGAGCCTGGCATTTTGTCCTGATGATGCCCGCCGTGCCTGGGGCTGGCCGAGTCTTCCCCGCTGGCCTGGGCCCCCAAGCTAGGGCTGCCCTCTCTGCCAGTCTGAGCTGAGTTTCTAGGCTGAGTTGGTGGCTGCCTCTCTGGGTCTTCTGAGACTTCACCAGGTAGTCTCTGCAGAAGCTTCTGGAACTTGCTGCAGCCATGACTGCCCCAGAAATAAGAGAGGTGCCCTTCTCTGCCCTTCACCCACCCTTGAACACTGGCCCAGCACCAGCCTGAGAGGGTCCTGGGCAGGGCCAAGCTTGCAGGACCCCAGAGGAGCCCAGAAGTGGTCCTGGTGGGGGTGCTGGGGCGTGGGGGTCCCCTGGGCTGGCCACCAGAGGGTTTCCTCCAGACCGCTGTGTGCCTGGGCTGGGGGAGGGCCTGGGCTGGGAACAAGGAGGATCTGTGCTCTGGGCCTGGGCAGGAGCCAGTTTGGGGCCCTCCTTGGGCCTTTGAAGTCCCAGGCGCACCCACCCTGAGGCCTGGGTAGGGCAGAGGCCTGGTGAAGCCCCACAGAGGTTTCTTGCGGAGGAAATCTCAAGTCCCTGAGAGGGGCAGGTGGGAGAGGGATGTGGGAGGGATGGGAAGAGGGGGCAACGAGAGCAGGCTGTGGTGGGGGGAGGGGCGTGGCAGAGGGGCAGGGCATGGAGGGGGCAGGGCTGTAGACAGGAAAAGGAGCACGGAGGAGGACAGGGCTGTAGTTGAGGGGCAGGGGTGTGGAGGAGGGGAGGTCATGGAGGGCAAGATGTGGAGGGGGGCCAGGCCATGGAGGGAGCAGGGTGTGGAGACGGCAGGACTGTGGTAGGGGTGAAGGGGCATAGAGGAGGGCAGGCCTGTGGTTAGGGGCATGGGTGTGGAGGATGAGCACGGCAAGGAGGGAGCAGGGCTGTGGTGGGGGGAGGGGCATGGGGAAGGACAGGGCACGGAGGGCAGGGCCATGGAGGGTGGGAAGTGGTGGGTGGGCTGTGGAGGTCCCCCCAGGGCCACTCCTGTTGGGGCTGCTGTAAGGAAACCCCATGAACTGCGTGGCTTGTAAACATCAGGAGTTTATTTCTCACAGCCCAGAGGCTGGAGGCCGGAGATCAAGGTGCCAGCCTGGTCGGGGTCTGGGGAGGGCTGTCCTCTGAGTTGTGGATTTCCGACTTCTCATTCCGTCCTTAAAGCGGCAGAAGGAAGGGGAAGGAGCCCTCTGGCCTCTTCTTACAAGGTCACGGGACCCATTCATGACAGCAGCGCCTTTGTGACCGCATCACCGCCCAAAGCCCCACCTCCTAAAACCGTCATATTGGGGTTCGATTTCAACATAAGAATTCGGGAGCTGGGCGTGGTGGCTCACACCTGTCATCCCAGAGCTTTGGGAGGCTGAGGTGGGAGGATCGCTGGAGCCCAGGAGTTTGAGGCTGCAGTGAGCCATGATTATGCCACTGTACTCCAGCCTAGACGACAGAGGGAGACCCTGTCTAAAGAATTTTGGGGCAACACAAACATTCAGTCCATAATACTCCCCATG
The DNA here is from genome assembly GCF_000001405.40 of Homo sapiens. Classification (NCBI taxonomy): domain Eukaryota; kingdom Metazoa; phylum Chordata; class Mammalia; order Primates; family Hominidae; genus Homo; species Homo sapiens. The sequence continues at coordinate 240,373,396 of NC_000002.12, forward strand.
GACAGGCCACGCTTCTTGCCTCAGCTTGGATCTTCTAGGCCAATGCAGGTCCCAGCCCAGCAGCCTCAGCGGACCGAGTCTCGGGGGCCGGCAGGGGTCTGTACCTGCTTCCCCGGCCCCTTTACCGCCCACCACTCTGCTCAGGTCTCTGGACCTGTGGGCTTTCCAGGCTCCTTAGACCAAAGCCCACCAGCCCGAGCCCAGCATCTGCGCAGGTGCTGTGGGGACCAGGACATGGGTGCTGGGGTGCACGGCCTCTGTGATAATCCGGGACACAGCACTCGGACGGAGCCTGCACTGTTTCTTAAACACACACAAGGTGGCCTGGACACAGATGCTGGAGTGCGCGGCCTCTGTGACAATCCGGGACACAGCACTCAGAGGCTGCACCATTTCTTACACGCACGGGTGGTAGCCCCTTCGATGGACAGTACTCATTCTCAGACTCTGGCTGGGCCCCTGGGGTGCTGGAACCAAGATGAGGAATCAAAAACAAGGGTCTGGGAAGTAGCCCAGGCTGAGGCTCCTAGGAGGGAGGGCGAGAAGTACCCGAGTACTAGGGCTAGCTGGACGTGTTGACCCTGCTTGGCCTCCCCTCCCAAACCCTGGACCTCAGTGAGCCTGGGTACTGGGGCTAGCTGGACGTGCTGACCCTTCCTGGCCTCCCCTCCCAACCCCTGGACCCAGGTGGACTGGGGTACCAGGGCAAGCTGGGCATGCTGACCCTGCCTGGCCTTTCTGGTCTCATTGTGACTCAGGCCTGGGGGTTCCCGAGGCTCCCAGCTTAGAGGCGGACATGGCTGTGAGGCCCTCGCCCTTTCCCACTCAGCAGGGATGAGTTCAGGGATGGCCAGGCCCCAGTGATGTCACCAAGTTGAGCTTCTGAGCTTCTGGTGCCTGTGTGGGAGCTGCAGCCCTCAGGAAGAAGTGTCCTCCCCTCCTCAAGGGACCAGAGAAGGAGGATGGGGAGGAGGCCTGGCCCGAGGTCGTCTGATGCCAGCCTGGGGCCTGGAGCAGCCTGGAGCCAGCATGCGTTCCAAGGGGAATTCCTGGGGAATGATGCAGCCGGCCTCGCTATCACAAGCTGTCATTTGAGGGAGAGCCGCACTCGGAACGCCTCCCAGCCCCAGTGCAGGAATCCATCTGGCAAGTCTGCCCTCGGACACTCACAGGACACTCTTCCAGGATCCCTGGGCCTCGGGGTGGGGCCAGGGTCTCAGGGGAGGAAGTGCCCAGATTCCTGGACGCTGGCCCCGAGGAGGGTCTGGTGGCAGCCACCTCGGTCAGGACGAGGACAGAGCGTCCAGCCCCGTGCCAGCTCAGTGGCCTCAGAATACCACAGCCACGTCCCTCCTGTCCAAGGCCCAGCAGTCCCCGGGACACTCCAAGAGCCATCCACTTTCTAGATTTGGGCTTCCCCTCCTCAGTGACCCCAGCTCCTCCCCAGAGAGCAAACCCTGAAGCAGCTCCTCTGGGGGTCTTTAAGAGGAGAATAGGACTCGTGCTATGCTCGGGGTGGACTGAAATCATGCTCATCACACTAAAGCATACTGCAACATAAAGCCAGGTGTTTGCAAATGAAATGCAAACAGTCACACAGAGCCAGCAAAGCTACCCTTCACCTCACTTGCCGAATGAGGCTGTTCGGCTGAAACTCAGTGTCACCGGGCCCTGAGTCTGCACACTCACGCTCTCAGCTGCTACAGAATGATGACTCGGTTTCCCCACCGCTCTTTGGATTCAAGCTGCTGCAAAGCCCTCCCCAGCCTGGGTGTCGAGAAGTTGCTTGGCCCAGTCGCATGGCACGCCCAGGCAGTGGGGCCCGCAGACAGCGTGGGCACCGTTTACGGATGAATCGACGAGCCCCTCTTCGCCTCCATCCCTACGCGATGCACTTCCCCATTCTCCTGACACCGCATGGGCTGTTTCTGACTTCCAGCTACCAGGAGCAAGGCTGCCATGACCTCCTGTGTGTGTACATCGTGCTGCCGTCACACGTGCCCCGATTTCCGCAGGGTGCCCACGTCCAGGGTAAAGCCGCTGAGTCAGGGAATCTACATCTTCAAGTTGACCAGGCGTTGTTCAGCCAGTTCCCAAAGTCACTTCAGTGACTTCCACTCAGAGTATGAAAGGCCCCATTTCTCTCCAGCCTCATCAACACAGTACTGTCAGCATTTAGCCCCTGCCAACCAGGAGATAGCATGGTGGAGACCCACTGCAGTCCTGATGCGAGTCTCCCTGGTTACCAAGAAGCTGGTCCCTGTGCACACATCTTATAGCCAGTTGGGTCTCCTCTCTGCCAACCACCTGTCCCAGTGCCCTGACTGCTTTTCTGTGCAGTTGCCTGTTGTTTTGTCATTGATTTGCCAGTACTCTTTACATATTTTAGATTCCAAGTCCCGTCAGTTACATATGTTGGAATATTGTTTTTCATTCTGTGACTTGTCTTTTTCAAGGTCTTGGGACTTTTCCTTCCCTAAAACATTTAAGGACCACTTACCAGACATGCTGGCCCATACCTGAGTGTGGAGAGAACAAGGCGTTGGTAACAGCCCGGCCTTTGGGACTCCACCACATGGAACAGAGCAGCCCCCTGGTGCAGCAGGAGGGCTGCTGGGGACATCACTGAGGAGTCACATCTTGGAGCTGGTGTAGCAGGAGGGATGCCACTGGGGGACCTCACCTCGGAGTAGGAGTGCAGCGGGCAGACTGGCTGGAGAGGTTTCGCTGGAGAGCGGTGCCCATAGAGGCATCTCAGGGCCATCCTGGCCTGCGTGAAGCAACATGACGCCCCATCCCTCCATAGAAAGGGCTGTGCCAGCAGCTCCCACTTGGCCTCTGCGTCCAGGAGTGTGAAGGGATGATTTCTCTGCCCCCTTTGAGAGCCTCCATCTTTATTACATGGGCAGAGGGCCTCCTGGGAGGAAGGTACATGTGTCCAGGGCTCCAGAGCACAAGGTCAGTTTAGGAAGTGCTGACTGCAGCCAGGTCCTCACCAGCTCTCCCACACTGGAGCTAACTTGGCAGTGCCAAGAAAGGTCCAGGAAAGTCAGGGCTGGGGACTATGGGCAGTGGCAGCCTGGGGAGCCCCGTTCCATCCCCAGCCTGGGAAGGGAGGGGAAGGCGCCCCACCTGGGACCCCCGTGGGCCTCACTGTCCAAGGTGTGCAGTGAGCGGCCCACCTGAGTGATCAGCCTGCTCAGAGAGCTTCAGGTCAAAACGCTGCCTGCCCCACAGCCCAGCTGCTTCTTCCAGTCCCGTCCTCAGACACCCATGAAGACACAAACACAGACACTTCCTATCAGGAGACGAAGATGGGCAGATGGGAACCGGAGCCTGGGAGGACCGATACTAATTACAAGGCGACAGAGCCAGATGAAACACCTAAGCACGCCTGCGAGCCGGGAGCTCCGGGAAAACCACCTCACAGAAGCCCACCAGCCCCTCTACCCTGGCATGGCTGGCATACCTGGCCAGCCACAGGGCGCCCCTCCCCACACCTCCTCCCTGCCAGCTGCTGCTCCCGGGCAGTCTGGGTGCTGGATGGTGAGTGGGTACCAGAGGGGCTGTGGGAATGGCAGAGCCTAGGAGGGGCCAGCAGGGGCAGCGTCCTCTCCAGGGGCCACCCAGAACCCCTACATGACAGGGGAGAGCCAGGGGCTCGGAGTCTCTGAGGGCAGAGCTGCAGGCTTGGGCAGGAAGCTGGGACCATCAATCCGTTTCCCACCCGGGCCAGCATCAGGATTCAACCTCCACAGAACTGGACAAAAACCAGGTCCCGGGGCAAGCTGTTCACCCAGGGGCATCGGGGCAGGACCTCACCGGGTTTGAGGGTGAGAAAGGGGTCCAATGACCAGCACAGTGCTTCGAAAAACACCAGAAAATGCATAAACTCCCCCCAATGACTTTGCACCAACAATTACATAAGGAAACTGTTTAAAAAGAGGGAAGAGAGCCAGGCATGGTGGCTCACGCCTACAGTTCCAGCACTTTGGGTGGCCGGGACGAGAAGATTGCTAGAGCCCAGGAGTTGAAAACAGCCTGAGCAACATAGTCAGACTCCATCCCTACAAAAAATCAAAAAATTAGCTGGGCATGGTGGTACGTGCCTGTGGTCCCAGCTATTCGGGAAGCTAAGACGGGAGGATGGTTTAAGCCGGGGAGGCTGAGGCTGCGGTGAGCCATGTCTGCGTCACTGCACTCCAGCCTGGGCAGCAGAATGAGACCCTGTCTCAAAAAGCAGCAGGGGTGGGGAGGAGTGACTAATCGTGGAGAAACAGATTAATAGTGGGGAAAGGTGACATGTGCTTCTTCTCTGGAAGATCAGAAAGGCTACAACTTAGCAGATGGGAATTACCAAGTTAGGAAAAGTATGCCACATGATGTGAGCCCCTTCCATCCATTCATTCCCCAAGGAGAGTCCAGCCCTGGCTCTCAAGACCCCAGAAGGCTGAAAAGCAGGGCTCCCGCTGCAGGGGCAGAGAGGGGGACCCTCTTAGGGGAGTGTGAGCCTAAGCAGCCAGCCCTGGGGAGCGGTCGGGCTTCAAGTGGGCCTAGGAGATAGGAGAAGCCATGGCCCCATCCCCATTCCCATCCCCTTGAGAAGCCCCAGGGAGGTGGGGCATTCACAGGCAGATGTCCTGGCCTCTTCTGGGGAACATGGAGATTCCCAGCCGAGCTGCCCCGCACCTGGCATGTGCCCACACCTGCCACGTGGATGGAAAACATCACAGGTGTTCCGGGCATCAAGGGACCTTCAGGGCTTGAAGTGAGCAGACAGGCTGGAGACGGCGCCTAGGGGTGGCTGAGAGGCAAGTTTCCACACCCGGAAACTATGTTTGATTCAGGAAAGCACAGTAGACTCCTTGCCCCTGAGTTTGTCCAGTTAAACCCGTTCAGTCACACAAAGATAGAGATGATTTTATTATATTTTTAATTTTATCCTCAATAAAATTTAAAATATGCATACAATTGTGTAAAACTTCGTGATGTCATATATTTAGTTCAACTGTATAATATACTTTGTGCTCGGCAAGCAGTGGATACACCTTCTTTTCCAACACCCATGTGCTTTTAAAAAATTAACCATTGGCCAGGCATAGTGGCTCACACCTGTAATCCTACCACCCTGGGAGGCCGAGGCAGGAGGATTGCTTAAGCTCTGGAGTTTGAGGCTACGGTGAGCTATGATTGTGCCACTGCACTCCAGCCTGGATGACAGAGCAAGACCTCATCTCTAAAAAAGAAATTAACTCTGTAGTCATTCACACCAAACATCTCAATAAATTCAAAAAAAATCACTTTATATAAATGAAATCATACTGAAAAGGTTATTTTGTTTCTTCCTTCTTTTCTAATCATTACAATTTTAATACAAAAGTTAGGATGTGGGTCCCTCTGGCATTAAGAAAAGGTGAGGGTGCACCTGGATGCCGTCAAAACTGTGAGTCAGGACCCGGTGGTGGCCACACAGGAGTCCACCGTATGATTTTCTGTTAAGCTGCACATTTTTGATTAAGGCACTTTTATCTCATATATTTTATCTCTCAATGTTTAAAACATGCTTCAAACTATTCTCCCCAAAAGAAGAAGTTGTAGGAATTACATTTTGGGTGACAATGTTAAAATTTTTTAAAGAAGAAAGGTAATTGCTTCGGTGTTTATTTAAACCAAATTTAGATAATTTCTAGATCATTTGGCTCCTCTATTTCTTTATTACTCCAATTCTAATTTCTTAGCAAATGCTCCTGGCTCCACCCCTGAAAGGTTTCCAGAATTGGAACATGCCTGTCGTCTCCACTACTCTCTCCACAGCCTGAATCACCACCACCTTCTCTCACGTGGCCCCCAAGCTCCACCCACAACACAGAAGCCAAGGTGGCCTTGGTAAACCTGAAGTCACATCATGTCGTCTTCCATTTGGCATCCACAGCAGATGTCAATCCCTCTTAGAGTAGAAGTCGAAGCACCGACCTGCAAGGCCCCACATGTTCTGACCTCAGCGTTCACGCCCTTTCCCTGCTCCTCACGCTCCAGGCACATGGCCTGGCACACTCCCTCCTCACAACCCTCGTGTGTCTGGTCCCTCTGCTAACATGCCCTCCTGTTTAAGCCCACATGGTGACCAAAACTGACACTGTGCTGGGCCAAGGAGCTGGTTCCAATACATTTCAAAGGACTGCAGTAATTCAGAATACATTCTCAGACTACAGTAGAATTAAGCTGGAAATGGATGCTGATAAAAGCAACTAAAAAGTCTTCCAAGTGTTTAGGAATTAAACAATATACCTCTGCATAACCCATGGGTCGAAGATGAACCATAAATGGAAATTAGAAAATCTTTACACTGACTGATAATACAAATATAACCTATCAAACTTGTAGGATCCAGTTAAAACTGTGCTTAGAGTGAAATTTTGTGCTTAGAAAGAAAAAACTTGCAACAATGTAAGTACAGCCTTGTGGGAGCATTAGAAAAAGAGGAGCGAATTAAACCCAAAGAAAATAGAAAGAGGGAACTAACAGGGATAAAAGGAGAACATAATTAATAAAACAAATGTCAATAGAAAGGTGGGTTTTTGTACAGATTAATAATATTGACTGCCCAAGACTAATAAAAAAATAGCACAAAATAGTCTGGGCACAGTGGCTCATGCCCGTAATCCCAGCACTTGGGAGGCTGAGGTGGGTGGATCACCTGAGGTCAGGAGTTCAAGACCAGCCTGGACAACATGTTGAAACCTCATCTCTACTAAAAATACAAAAATTAGCCAGGTGTGGTGGCTGGTGCCTGTAATCCCAGCTACTTGGGAGGCTGAGGCAGGAGAATCACTTGAACCCGGGAAACAGAGATTGCAGTGAGCTGAGATCATGCCACTACACTCTGGCCTGGGTGACGAGAGCAAAACTCCATCTCAAAAACACACACACACACACACACAAAATAATATGGCACATGCTGGCAATAGTAGAGATTAAGAAGGGATTACTACTAAAGACCCCACAGACATTACAAATATTATGAAGTATGACAAATGGCTTTCTGCCAAACAAATCAATAAGTCAAATGAAATGGACACATTCTTAGAAAAACAAATATAACAAGAGACACAAGAAGAAATAGAGTATGTAAGTAGTCCTATGCATAATAAATAAATTAATTGAATCATTAATTTTAAACCTTTCCACAGAAAAACTCTAGGCCCAGAACACGTAAGATAAATATTTTCAAATATTTAAAGATGAACTAACACAAATCTTATAAAATTCTTCCAGAAAACAGGAAAAAAAGAAATATCCCTTGTTATGGTTTGGCTTTGTATCCTCACCCAAATCTCATCTTAAATTGTAATCCCCAGGTGTTGAGGGAGGAACCTGGTGGGAGGTGATTGGATTATGGGGGCAGCTTCCCCCCATGCTGTTCTCATGCTAGTGAGGGTGTTCTCATGAGAGTTGATAGTTTTGTAAGAGACTCTTCCCCCTTAGCTCCCTTCGCATGCTCTCTCTCGCCTGCCGCCACGCAAGATGTGCCTCTTCCCCTTCTGCCATGATCATAAGTTTCCAGAGGCCTCCCCAGCCATGTGGAACTGTGAGTCAATCAAACCTCTTTCCTTTATAAATTACCCAGTCTCAGGTATTTCATTATAGCAGTGTGAAAACAGACTAATACACCCCCCAGTTCATTTTATGAGGCCATTATTAATTCACCCTAAAACTTGAGAAGAAAACTATAAAAAATGAGTATCATAGGTTAATCTGTCTTGTGAACATAGGCACAAAACTCTCATCAAAATATTAGAAAATTAAATCCAGAAATATAAAGTAGATAAAACATCACAACCAAATTGGGTTCATTACAAAAATAAAGAGTTAGTTTAATATTTGAAAATCAACAAATGTAATGCATTACATTAAAAGAATAAAAAAGAAAAACCATTTAATAATCTCAGTAAATTCAGGAAAAGCATTGATAAAATTCAACACTCTTCAGGATAAAAAGTCCGAGAAAATAACTTTGTGTGTGTGTGTGTGTGTGTGTGAGATGGAGTCTTGCTCTGTTGCCCAGGCTGTAAAAGTAAAAGAAGTCTGAGAAAGTAACTTTCTTAATATGATACAGATATCATCAAAAAGCCTAAAGCCTACAGCCAACACACTTCCTGATAAAATGTCAAAAGTTTTCCCCTGATGTCAGGAATGAGACAAGAGTCTGCTATTTTCATTTCTGTCAAATGTGGTGGTGGAGGCCCAGGCCAGGATGAGAAGGTAGGAAAGGAAAGCAAAAGTATGGGACTGGAAATAAAGACATGAAACTGTAATTAGTTACAGGTAACACAATTGTGCATGTAGAAAATCCAAAAGAATCTACAGCTAAATTGTTACAGTTAATATGAGAATTTAGCAAGACACAAGATATGTGGTTAGCATGAAACATTGTATCCCAATATACCAGTAACACAAATAGAAAATAGAATTGTTAAATGCTACTTATTTTTCTGAAGACTAATGGAAAGATGGAAACTTTGGACTTTGTTAAAGTTAAGAATGCCTGTTTATCAAGGGACACTGTTAAGAGAATTAAAACTAAGCCAGAAACTGTGAGTAGATATTTGCAATGCATGTGTGATGGTTGGATTTATGCCCAACGCCTGCCTGTGTTCACCATGAGACACGCACATGAACGCGGGGCCACACTATGCCCCACAGCCCTGAACTATGCAAAAGAACAACGCTGTTCATGCGTGAGAAGAGAGAGACCCTCAAGCAGGATAAATAGCGAATGTGTGCTGGGCTTAATACCTGGGTGATGGGCTGATGGGTGCAGCAAACCACCATGGCACACATTTACCTATGTAACAAACCTGCACGTCCCACACACGGATACCGGAACTTAAAATTAAATTAAATTTGTTTAAAAAGAAGTGTACTCAGACCATCGAAGACAGCCATGGAGAAAGAAAGAATTTCTGCCCATAATGATCTAGACGAATCTCACAAATCTAACTTGAGCAAAAGAAGCCAGACACTAAAGGGTCCATAGCTTACGATTTCATGTATGTAAAGTTCAATCCCAGGCAAACCTCATTCACGGTCATGAAAGTCAGAATAGCGGTTCCCTCTAAGGGGGCCTGCGAGATGGGGTGCTGCAAACACCATGTCTCTTTGTCTGGATGGAAGTTTCAGGGTGTGTCCACTTTTTAAAATGCATCAAGCCATACATCTATGATTTGGGAACCTTTCCGTATGTATGTTATTCCTCAATAAAAAGGCCACTGAGAAAAACTGCCCACAAAAACCACATGTGCACCCTCTGAAGTCCAATCCCAGCCCAGATGCTGCAGGTTCCGCTGTGTTCCACAGCAAAGGTGGCAAACAGTGGAGCCCAGAAGTGATTTGCTGCCAGCCCAGAGGACGCGTCTAAACCACCTTGAAGGATCCCATCTGCCTATGAGCTGTACGTGTCAGATTCCAATACTTACCCACATATTCTCACCGGTTCCTTGGAGATAAGAAAATGAAACAGCTTGGAAGATTTTTAGCATGCTGGACTTGGCTCCTAAACTCACAGTTCATATCCCCCATAAAGTGAGATATTGAAAGTAAATTTTGTCCTCCGTAGATGAAGCCATCTTTTAGCTCCACGCTCTGGTGCTCACGGAGATGAACCACAGCTCAAGATCAATCCATTTTATACCCAACGACCCCCGCATGGTCTCACCCACCGCCCGCTCTCTGAGACCACGTGCTGAGAAGGACAGCTCCAGGTCAGGAGTGCTGGCGTGCTCTTCCCAGCAGGGGAATCAGGCAGGCTTGAGGGGTGCTGAGAAGTCTGCATTTGGCAGGTGGGTGCACCCAGGGCAGCCAGAGAGTGCGAGGGCCGGACATCCTCAGCGGGCTCTAGTGCCTCTCCAGCCTCCTACCAAGCCAGGTGCCCTGGGCAGCTGGCCAAGAACTCAGTTCTGGGGTTGGCCAGCCTCGGACCCTCCCAGTTGTGTCTTTCAGGCACTGTCCCAGGTTCTTTTTCAAGGCAAATTTCCTTCTAATGCCGAAAAGTCAGCCTCCCCGGGGCACGCAGGACTCCCCCTCCTAAGCCCAGACCACAATCCTGCCCCTGCCACTCCCCATCCACACAGAGCATCCTTCCCAGGCTCACCCCCATGGGCTCGCTGCCATCGGGTCCTGGGCCATGAGCCACGAGGTTCAGAGGGAGAGGGGCCAGCGTGGCCTGGGCAAGGTCAGGCCTGCCTTGCCAGACAGTTTTCCCGGAACAGGCTGGGGGTGCCGGGCCTGGAACAACAGGGTGAGGCTCCTCCTGGCCCCAGCAGCATGTGCTGCACCCACCCATCTTCCTTTTGTTCTTTCTTCTTTCTTTGCTCATTGGTGCCCCCCCAGCTGTGAGTCCCTGAAGACGAGTACCCTTGGTCACCAATGGACCAGCGCCCACCACTGCCCTCGGTCACCACTGGACCTGGCATACACCACTGTGTCCCCACAGCTAACTGTGACTACCTGAGGACTGACACCCTCGGTCACCACTGAACCCAGCACCCACCACTGCCCTCGGTCGCCACTGGACACGTCGCCCACCACTGCCCTCGGTCACCACTGGACCCGACACCCACCACTGCCCTCGGTCACCGCTGGACCCGGTGCACACCACTGTGTCCCCACAGCCAACCGTGAGTCCCTAAGGACAGCCAACCGTGAGTCCCTGAGGACACTGCCCTCGGTCACCACTGGACCTGGCACCCACCACTGCCCTCAGTCACCACTGGACCAGCGCCCACGACTTCACAGTGCTCACTGGGTGCTTCCAAGTGAATGAATGAAGGGGTGAAGGATGAGCAGCACATGCAGCTCTGCTCACTTCGCAGATCGCAGAGGGCTGTCTGGGTGGGGGGGTCTTTCAGACTGCCACCTTGAATAGAGGACAGAAAGAGGGCCCTGCTAGGCGGCTGGCACCTGCGTCCGGCACCCCCTCGGCCCAGCTGTCCCCTGCTGGCTACCCTGTGCTATGGCCGCAGGCGGGTCTCTGAGTCCTTCATGCTCCCTGTGTTCTGGCCCCAGCATGGAGCCCAGCCCTCTGCAGATGCGGGCGCCAGGTCCTGGATGATGGGGGCCCCACTCCTCGAGGGCTAGGACTCAGCTTGCAGCTGGTCCAGCAGTCAGGCCACTCAGGGGCTGCTCCTAGTCAAGGTCTCCAATGCCTTCCAACAGATGATGCCACACGTGGCCAGCTCCAACTCCAGCTCCTCGCGGGGAGCACAGGTTTCTGTACCACCTGCAGCCCACAGCCAGGTGCCACCTTCCCCTGTGCCAACCAGTACCCCAGCATGGACAGGAATGGGGCAGAGAGTCCTCTGGGGGGAACATCAAAATACCCTAGTATGTTAGTGACTCGGCCAGTCAGCAATGTGCTGGTAATTGCTTAACAAGGGACTCTCAGAAGGGGCAGGGCTGGTCTGCAGCATCCGCACACACTCCCACCGTGGCTGGTTGCAAACCACTGGTGTTAGGGCTTAGAACGTGGAGCGAGAGCGATGCACACAGTCAGTGCTCTGGAGCCTGAGCTGCCTCCAGCAACCATGGGGACCACGTGCTGACCTGGGTGGTGTGTGGTCAACCCGGATTTTTTGCAGGACATCCCAGCACTGGCCGTGACCTGCGCCTGGCCCCACGGTGGGGCGCTGCTGGTGTAATCTGCCCAGCAGGTGGCTGCTGAGACCCAGAGTCACGCCTTCCACACTCGGGTTTCCACAGTTGTCTCTATGTCAAATCCTGTCAGCTGCACAGTCCTGCAAGTCCTCTCTGCTCTGCCTCGAGGCCCCCATATGTGATTCCCCAAATGCCACAAGCTTGAACCCACAAAGCACATCCTGCTTTAGAAGTCATGGACCTGGAGCTGGGCTGGCTGGACTGGGCTGGGCTGAGCTAGGCTGGGCTGGGCTGAACTGGGTTGAACCAGGCTTGGCTGGGCTCACCTGGGCTGGGCTGGGCTGAACTGGGTTGAACTAGGCTTGGCTGGGCTAACCTGGGCTAACCTGGGCTAACCTGGGCTGGGCTGGGCTGGGCTGAACTGGGTTGAACTAGGCTTGGCTGGGCTAACCTGGGCTAACCTGGGCTAACCTGGGCTGGGCTGGGCTGTGCTGGGCTGAGCTGGGCTGGGCTGAGCCGGGCAGGGCTGGGCTGGGCTGGGCTGGGCTGAACTGGGCTGAGCTTGGCTGGGCTGAGCTGGGCTGGGCTGGCCTGAACTGGGTTAAACCAGGCTTGGCTCGGCTAACCTGGGCTGGGCCATGCTGGGCTGAGCTGGGCTGGGCTGGGCTGAGCTGAGTTGGGCTGGGCTGGGCTGAACTGGGCAGGGCTAAGCTGGGCTGGGCGGGAGCTGGGCTGAACTTGGCTAAGCTAGGCTGAGCTGGGCTGGGCTGAGCTAGACTGGACTAGGCTGAGCTGGGCTGGGCTGAGCTGGGCTGGGCTGAGCTAGACTGGACTAGGCTGAGCTGGGCTGGGCTGAGCTGGGCTGGGCTGAGCTAGACTGGGCTAGGCTGAGCTGGGCTGAGCTTGGCTGGGCTGAGCTGGGCTGAGCTGAACTGGGCTGAGCTTGGCTGGGCTGAGCTAGGCTGGGCTGGGCTGAACTGGGTTGAACTAGGCTTGGCTGGGCTAACCTGGGCTGGGCTGGGCTGTGCTGGGCTGGACTGAGGTGGGCTGGGATGAGCTTGGCTGGGCTGGACTGAGGTGAACAGGGTTGCACTGGGCTAGGCTGAACTAAGCTAGAGTGGACTGGGCTAAGCTGGGCTGAGGTGGCCTGGGGCCTGCCTGGCCATTTTGCCTGAGCTCATAGACCAGAAAAGCTAAGAGGACCAGGCTGGTGGAGACCCTTTGTCAATGCCCCCTCCCTTGAGCTCTGAGGGCTGTTGGGGGATGGAGGAAGAAGTTGGGAGCAGGGGATGAGGAGGAGCCTGGGGGGACCCAGTGTTTCCACCCACACCAGAGCCCCCGCAGCAGATGCCAGCCCACTAGGACCTGGTGGGCCCAGAGGTGTGCAGAGGGAGCAGGTGGCACCATGTGGCCCCACCACCTACGTTGGTGACAAGGCCAACCCAGAGCCAAGGGGAGGGGCGACGTGGACCCTGCCGCAACTGGAGACCTGGCAGAGGAGCTCCGGAAAACACCACGGGGGCCTCCTTGAGAACAATCTGTTCTGTGATTTCGTCAAGCTGAGTGAGGGAAGCCAGGCACGGGCTGCATATTGCATGTTCCGCTTCTGTGAAATGTACAGAACAGGCAAACTCACAGAGGCAGAGGGCAGACGGGATCGCCTGGGGCTGGGGTAGTTAATGGGCGGGTGACGGTCGAGTATGGGGTTTCTTTTAGGGGTGAAAAAAATGTTCTGGGGTAAGATAGTGGTGATGCCACAGAACTCCACAAACACTTAGCAGCTATTGAATTGAACACTTAGCAGCTATTGAACTGAGTGCTTCAAACGGGTGATTTATAGGGTATATGAATTACATCTCAATAAAGCTGTTATTTAAAAAAAAAAAAAAAAAAAAAGTAAAGGCCGGGAACGGGTGTGGTGGCTCACACCTGTAATCCCAGTACTTTGGGAGGCCAAGGAGGGTGGATCACCTTAGGTCAGGAGTTCAAGACCAGCCTGGCCAACAGGCAAAACCCTGTCTCTACTAAAAATACAAAAATTAGCCAGGCATGGTGGCAGGTGCCTGTAATCCCAGCTACTCAGGAGCCTGAGGCAGGACAACCACTTGAACCCTGGAGGTGAAGGTTGTGGTGAGCCCAGGTCATGCCACTGCACTCCAGCCTGACAAGAGCAAGACTCTATCTCAAAAAAAAAAAGAAAGAAAAGAAAAGAAAAGAGGCGCAACCCGCTCAGGTCTCCTTCCACACTGTGGAAGCTTTGTTCTTTCGCTCTTCACAATAAACCTTGCTACTGCTCCCCAAAAAGAGAGAGAGAGAGAGAGAAGAGAAATACCAGCTCCATAGAACGGGCTTCTTACCTGCTTTTCTACTTGAACCTCTTGTCGTTTGTGCTGAAAACCTCAGGTCCTGATCCCTGAGCTGCTCACTTGGGTTATCACTACAACAGAAACAGAAACACACGCACGTGCGGCAGCTGAAACGAGGACTCGTTACTCACAATCACCCCTCAGATTTCTGGGCTGCTCCACTGCACTGGAAACAGGCACACCACTTGAGATCTCAGATACACGTAATCATCATAACATTTCAATCGGAATATTCACATTTCAGCCATATCTGAAAACTGTGATTCGCGGAATCTGCGCGTTCCCAACTCCTGCAGGGGGAGGCCAATGCATCACATCTTCTAAAACAGCCAAGTCATGGGCTCTCAAATGGCTCAGCTGTCAATCCGACAGTGCCTGAGTCATCTCCAGCTGCTGAGTCACGATGACCCCAATCCCAGAGTCCCAGAGCTGGAAGGGACCCAAGAAGTCCTCTCCCTGGGAGAAGGCTCGTCCGGAGAGCTTTCGCCCGCAGCGGCCCCATCCTGTCAGCTGTGGAGCGGGGGCATGGTCTGGAGAGGGACTTCAGGTCATTCGGGCTCCTCTCCAGCCACTGGGACCCTAGGCACTGTGCCTGTTCTGAACACACAAGAGGAGCCATTATCAGGCACAGGGAGAAGGCACTGCCAGGCCAGGGAGGCTGTGGAAGGGCGTGAGCCCTGTAGGGCCCAGGGTCAGCCCACCCCACATGGATCCTGCCTGTGGGACCTGGGTTCATCCCAGCAGGGCTTCCTGACCCATCCTGGCCTCCCTCCCCTTGAAGCCCTTCACCCTGCCCACAGGCAGGGCCCTCCTCCCGGGGAAAGCCACGGGCAAGGGCAGCCAGACCTGTAGCTCCCTCCACAGCCAAACCCCAGCCAGGATCCCTACAGGCTGGCCCTGAGACTCACAGCAGCCCCAGGCTCCTGAGTACACCTGGGGAAACTGAGACTCACAGCAGCCCCAGGCTCCTGAGTACACCTGGGGAAACTGAGACTCACAGCAGCCCCAGGCTCCTGAATACACCTGGGGAAACTGAGACTCACAGAAGAGACCAGGTCTCCAGACCACCCAGCGGGGACATGGGAGCTGTGACGTGGAAGCAAGTGTACCCTCGGCCAGCCCAGCCCTGAGCAAGGTGTCCCAGGGTGGTTCAGCCCGGAGCCTCGCAAGAGGGGCGTTGGTGTCCACCAGGCCATGGGCGGCAGAAAGGGGGCAGTTGAAGGGAAGCACGTAAAAGGCAGGACCGCGGGGATCCCTGGGTGGTCTGCCCCGGCTTGGAGGGAGAAAGGACTAGGAGGTCAGGCTGGCAGAGATAGGGCTCTGTCCTGGGGTAACTCGATGCAGGACGCTCTGCACTGGCATTTTGGGAGGGGGCAAGGGCCAGCCTGGAGGCTGAGCAGTGACCAGACTGAAACATGACAGGGGTTAAATCGGGCAGAGGTGGGGTTGGGCAGGAGGGAGGGGGACGGTTGCAGGAGGGAGGGGACCCTGTGCACCACCCAATTCTGGCTTGAGCAGCTGGTGGCATGGGACACTCCGGAAGACTCCTGGGGACTCCGGGGTCCTGAGAAGCATCCAGGTGAGATCCTGGGAGCCGCTGGTGGGTGGGGCTGGCAGGAGGGCAGATGTGGGGTCCCCAGCATCTGGCTGCCCCCAAGCAAGGTGGAAGTGGCCCCACCAGGAGACAGCATCCAAAGGGCCAGGTGTCCCCAGGCCGGGCCAGGCTGCCTGCGGGCCATGGGCAGCTGCGCTGCAGAGGCCTCAGTGTGGCTGGACAGGCTGCTCAGGAACAAGGGTCCTTTGGTCCAGGGGCTCAGAGCCCCCACCTCCCTGGAGCCCTATCAGGGAGCCCAGGCCCTGTTGCTTCCATAGAAAGGGAGGGAGCTGGAAGATCAGGCCCCTCGTTTACAGATGGAAAGACGAGGCCCAGAGTTGGGTGCCCCTGACCTGGAGCTGCCTAGTCCTGCAGGGCCTGGTCACCCCTGCACTCTCCTAACCATGCCTGACATGAGCAAGTGAGCAGCAGCTGGGCCTTGGGCTGGGCGCTTCCAGGCCCGCACTCTGTCTCTGCCCCCTCTGGGGCCTAAGTCTCTGTTCTGGGGGCCTGTGACCTCAAGCTGGAAGAGGTGTTGGGTCCTGAGGTCCAGAGGGAGCTGAGGTGGAAGCAGCACTGAATCCCTCTCTCTGGGGAGGACCTGGTCCCACAGAGGCTGTGTGTGAGCTGCTGGCCCAGGGAAGCCCCAAATACCCACCCCAGCTGAGCTGACCTTGTGTGGCGGACAAGGGAGGAAAGCATCCATGGGCTCCAGAAACAGCGACTGTGGGAAGACTTCACTGGGAGGGTGAAATGAACCTCCCTCCACTGTCCAGTACATGCCTGAGCATCTGGGGGACCTTCTAGAAGTTTCCATCTGATGGCAACCCTCCCAGGGAATGCTGAGGTGGCCTCCAGTTCTCTGCCTGTGACCCTCATCTGGTCAAAGGCCAGGTCGGTCACATGTCCATACCCCCACAGCGTTGTCTACAGGTTAGAAATTGCCACACAGAAAACCAAAGATGTCTAACATTTGGTCACACAGCCGTGCAGCCAAGTATCACAAGCAGATGTCCCGTAAACAGGACAGAGTTTATCCTGACGTTCAGTGGTGGATGTTTTAACAGATCTGAACTGCAGTGCCTGGAACTCACAGAGGGCGGGATCCCAGTTCCCCTTGGCTGGGGGAGTTCGCTCGCTGAGGACACACTGGGCCACTGGGCAGCACTGGCTAAGGCAGCTGGGCCGGAGGGGGAACATTGGAGAGTCCCCTCCTTCTCCATTCTGCACCGGATGTGGGGACAGGCATTGAGACTTCCAGAGTTTCCGGTTTATTCTAGAGTACACACTGAACAACCACGCAGGTGGCTGCTGAGCCAGGGGTCTCCCCTCTCCCCACAGAGAGCTGAGGTCTGCAGCCTCGGGGACTGAGCGGAAGCTCCAGCCTGGGTCTCAGGGTCTTCTGACCCCAGCTCCACGGCCTCAGCACTGCCACCCAGGAGTGGCCTGGACAGCTCATTCATGGGAGGGTGTCTTCCAGCCCCATGGGCCATCGCATGGGAGGGGAGCCTGTGAAACTCAGTGGTGCAGGAACTAGGGGGCAGGCATAGAGAGGCCGGTAGGGGACACTAGAGCCAGGCCCCAGGGACAAGGATGACCAGCCACCTGGCAACCTGGAGACAGAATCCCGCAGGCAGCAGGAGCCGTGCACGGGCAGGGCTCAGGCACCAGTGGTGAGGGGCAGCGCCAGTATCTGCCTCTCTCTTGCCAGGAGCACAAGGGCTCCTCTGCACCCTCCCTGCTGGACCAGCCCCTCCCATCCACCTCCCACTGCAGCCTAATGCTCCCGCCCAACTGCACAGCCATCCACACCTGCGTCCCCAGCCCCAGCAGCTCCCCTGCTGTCCCAACCTGGGCCAAGCCCCTTTCTGTGTCCCAGAGGCCCTTTCGCCCAGGCGGCCGCCTCTTCTTAACGCGGGCCTCACGCTGTGGCACCCAGCACCCAGACGTGGACCTTGAGGTTCCAATGAAAGGCCCTGGGCCCGTCCACTCCCCGGGGGAGCCTGCATCCCCTCCAACCGGGATTCCAGCCTGGGGGGTGGGGGGGGTCACAGCTCACCAGGCAGACAGCTCAGCATTGCAGGTGTCACAGCAGCTCTCGATGCAACCGGCTCCTCTGGGTTTCTGTCAAGCCCAAGAGCCTTCGCCCCACGCACAACAGAGACAAGCCCAGCGTAGACAGATATGATAACACAGGGTTGTTCTAGACAGGGGCTTGGACATACTCTGCAAGCAGGGTCGGGCCACCTTAGCCGCCTGACAGGGGAGGAATCACCGCTGAGGGCGGGTTCGGGGTCAGACAGGACAGGAGTCTGGATTTCCTCCTGAAGCGACAGAGCCATGGAAGGTTCCGGATGGAGTCGGAGACCAAGCTTGGGGCACAGAGAGGATGAAAGGACGGGGGTCGGAGATCTCACCAACATTCCCTGACCCTGGACACAGACCCCCCAGGGTGACCAGCCCAGGGCCCGGGGCCTTGGACCCACCCCCTCTTCCTCCAGGACTGAGGACTCCTGTCCTCCACCCTGACCTAGAGGAATGTCCTGGGCCACCCCACTCAGCTGGTGGTGGAAGCCTCCTCCTGGGCCCATGGCGGGTGCCCCCAACCCATACAAAGAAGGGTAGGGTCTGCCTCTGGGTAATGGGATGTCACCTGCCCAGCCCTGCAGCCCAGAGCCTCACAAGCCCAGGGGAGACAAGGGCATGTGAGTCCCAGCCCCAAAGGCCCGTGGACGGCCCCAGGGCAGGCAGGACCTCTGAGTTCTGTGGCCCACCCTGGACTCTCCTGGGCGCCCCTCCTAGAGACAGAGGCTGCCCCAGGAATGAGCACCCCCGGGGTCCAGCAGTAGGTGGGCGATGGGAGGCAAAGGTGCTCAGGCCGGGCCCCTCTCGGCTCCAGGCTGCCCCTGCAGCCATGCCCCTGGCCTGAGGTGCCCCTCTGAAGGAGAACTGAACCTCCGCAGTTCGCCTAGA
Source organism: Homo sapiens (assembly GCF_000001405.40). Lineage (NCBI taxonomy): Eukaryota > Metazoa > Chordata > Mammalia > Primates > Hominidae > Homo > Homo sapiens. Next base: position 240,391,981 of record NC_000002.12, read on the forward strand.
ATTTCCTGGGACCCAGCCACATGGAGCCATGAGCACACAGAGGTGGCCAGATTTCATTCAGAAGCTGGGTTTCCACCTCACCTGTTGTGTCTTCTGTCCCATCTCCTACCAAGTGAACAAGGAAAGGGAGGGGCTAAGATCGTCCACCCCACCCCTCCCTCTCTTCCCACTGTCCACCGTCAGTGCCAGGGCGAGGCCAGCACAGTCTCCAGGCCCATCAGGGCACGCGCTGGTCATGACTGGCCCCAGCCCCGGCCGGGCTCCGTGCCTGCACCCTCCACCCTGCCGCCTGGCCGCCGTGTGGGCTATGACCTCCTACAGCCCCTCCTGCCTGGGCAGGGGCCTAGGCTGCACCTGTCGGTGAGGGCAGCTGGGGTCCTGCCTGGGGTCATTGGCAGCAGCTGGCACACAGCCCTTGGCTGACCCAAGGCAGAGCGCGAGGACACCTGCGGGAAGGGCTTGACGAGGGTGCAGCCCCCTCCTACCTCCGTGCTGGATAATGGCACCCCCAGACCCTGCGAAGTGCTCAGCCCTCCTTGCCCAGGTCGTGGTGGTGCAGGCGAGGGGCAGACATGGTCTCGGACAGACCACAAACAGACTCCAGACAGACAGGCAGTGAGGCCGAGGCAGCAGCAGGCCCGGGAAGTCGTCCCCTGTGGAAAGTGGCCCACCCCTGCCACCGCAACAATGACCCCAGCTGCCTCCATCCAGACTCAGGGTCCTCACCCCTCATAGGTCCTCACCAGGCCCTGCCTCGTCTGGAACGCAGGGGCCAGACAGGCCCAGATGCCCCTCCCACACCACAAAACACTTCCTTTGTTTTTAGTTCTTCAAAGAGAGCACAGGAAATGCCCCGGGCGCTCCCCTCCCTGGCCAGCCCCTCACATCTTGAACCACTTGGAGGAGTCCAGCCCTCATCATCCACAGTTTGCTCCCCGAAGCCCAGCTCCGGCCAAGCCTTCCCAAGGAAGCCTCTAGAAACAGGGCATGTCAGGTGGACATGGATGGGTCCTTGGGTCTGTCCCCAGGGCCACTTTGAAAGGAGGCCTTGGAGCTGGGAGGGAGCAGCCCCTCCATGATGTCCTCCCCATGTGTTGCTGCATGGGGCCTGCCCCGGCCCTGGAGGCCATGAGGGAGCCCTTCCCTGTCACCTGGTCACTGGGGACGAGTGTGTGGCTTGCGTGTGTGTGTGTGCATGCACAGGATGGCACACACGTGTGCATACGGGCATGGGTTTATCCACGTGGACGTTCATGTGTACACACACACCTTGACACACGTACACACACATAGACTCGTACACACACAGTCTCACAAGAAGGTGTCATGAATGCAGGGAAAGCTGTGGGTCATGCTGCGGTGACCAGGGCGGGAGAATGGGCAGACGGGGCTGTGAAGCTGTGCTTGGTTGCTCAGAGGCCCCGGCCCAAGCTCCAGAGCTCCCACGGCCTGTAGAGGGGAGGACAGATGCCCACTGCTGCCCCAAAGGTCCCTACTTCCCTCAGGCAGGACACCAAGCTACCGAGTCGCCTCTGGGGCTTGGGGCTTGTCTTTCAACCCTGGCCTCACGTGGGTGGGCAGAGAAAGGTCCCACAGGAGCCCACTCCCCTCCCCCTGGCCATCCCCCACCACACCAGGCACAGAGGTTGTCTGCTGCTTCCAGGAGGGCATCTCCTTGGCCCACTCCGTCTCTCCCAAGCACAACTTCCACCATGCTTCTTCCCGCGAAGCACAGTGCCATGTCACAGGTCCTCAGGGGCCACAGGCTCGACACCCTCATCTTGGCATTCGGAACCCTCCCACTGTCCTGCAGAGACCCTGACATGGAGGCCTCAATGTGGGACACGCTGGTATCCAGCACACAGGCTTTGACCCTCGGTGGCCAGCATCAGGCCCCTGCACCGCACCTTGGCAGCTGTGTGACTGCCTGCGGGCAGTGTGTGGCATTCACTCCACGGCACAGCCCCCCCCGGCACCCACAGGGCTCACAGGGAGTGGAATCAAGCGTGTGGTCAGTGGTGGTGCAAATGGATGGCTGTCAGGTTCGGCTGGCTCAGGGAGCAGCAGCTGCAGCTCTCACTGTGAGCCCGAGCAGCCGCCCTGGCCTCCCTTCACCCTGCCACCCACTCTGCGACCCCGTGCATCAGCACCCACGCTCACGAACATGGAGAAGAACCCCCGGATGCTCACTCATGCTTCCTAGTGTGAACAGCTGACTCAGTCATGTCTGTGGAACGTCAGGGCCAAAAGTCACACTCTCAACAGGCAGGAAGGCACATTCGCTCCCCAGGCTGCAAAGCAAAACACCACAGAGTGGGGAGGTGGGGATGGGCTTAAAACATGGGAATCCTTGGGCCAGGCGCGGTGGCTCACGCCTGTAATCCCAGCACTTGGGAGGCCGAGGTGGGCAGATCACGTGGACAGGAGTTCGAGACCAGCCTGGCCAACATGGTGAAACCCCGTATCCACTAAAAATATAAAAATTAGCCAGGTGTGGTGGCGAGTGCCTGTAATCCCAGCTACTTGGGAGGCTGAGGCAGGAGAATCGTTTGAACCTGGGAGGTGGGGGTTTCAGTGAGCTGAGATCACGCCACTGCACTCCAGCCTGGGCGGCAAGGGGATACTCCGTCTCCAAACAAAAAAAAAAAAAAAAAAATCATGGGAATCCTCACAGTGCCAGAGGCCAGATGTCTGAAACCCAGGTGTGGGCGGGCTCCTTCCCAAGGCTTCAGGGGACGGTCCTTCCTGCCTCTTTCCTTCTGGTGGCGGCCATGCACCCCTGGCTTGTGTGCCTCCCTCCCATCTGCCTTTGTCTTCACAGGGTCCTCTCCAGGGGCACTGGCCAGGTAACCCAGGATGAGCTTATCCTGAGAGCCTTCACCTGATTCCAGCCGCAAAGCCCTTTCCAGTACGGCCCATTCACAGGTTCCAGGTGCAAAGCCCTTTCCAATACAGCCCCGTTCACAGGTTCCAGGTGCAAAGCTCTTTCCAGTACGGCCCATTCACAGGTTCCAGCTGCAAAGCCCTTTCCAATACAGCCCCGTTCACAGGTTCCAGGTGCAAAGCTCTTTCCAGTACAGCCCATTCACAGGTTCCAGCTGCAAAGCCCTTTCCAATACAGCCCCGTTCACAGGTTCCAGGTGCAAAGCTCTTTCCAGTACGGCCCATTCACAGGTTCCAGCTGCAAAGCCCTTTCCAATACAGCCCCATTCATAGGTTCCAGGCACAAAGCCCCTTCCAATATGGCCCCATTCATAGGTTCCAGGTGCAAAGCTCTTTCCAATACAGCCCCGTTCACAGGTTCCAGGTGCAAAGCTCTTTCCAGTACGGCCCATTCACAGGTTCCAGGCACAAAGCCCTTTCCAATATGGCCCCATTCACAGGTTCCAGCTGCAAAGCCCCTTCCAATACGGCCCCATTCACAGGTTCCAGCTGCAAAGCTCTTTCCAATACAGCCCCATTCATAGGTTCCAGGCACAAAGCCCCTTCCAATATGGCCCCATTCACAGGTTCCAGGCGGATGTGTCTTTTTAGTGTTGGGGAGGTGGCACGTTTCACCCAGTGCTAGTGGCTGGACATAGATAATGGGGGTGACGGCCTCTGTGAGCCGTTACCAGCCCCACCTACTGCGGCCCTAGGCCCTGGAAAGGCCTCCCATGCTGGCAGCTGAGTCACCTGTTCCTGATGGTTTTGTGCCACAGTGATGGCCAGCTCTCCTCCCAGTGGGCAAAGACGGTCCTCGCTGGCCCCTGAGGAGCCCTGAGCACTGGGCAGGCTGCGGGAGGAGCCAGGCCAGGGCAGCCACTTTCAGATCTGGGTACCAGGCTGCCCCACTGCTTCTATGAGCAATACCTGATTGCTTTGCTAGTAAAGATCTTATTCCACTTGACAAGGAAGACTGGAACCCAGAGAGGTGAGGAGATTTGCCCAAGGTCACACAGCAGCAGTGCAGGAGTCAGACTTAAGCAGCTGCCCACAAGTCCTGCTCTTGTAACAACCACCCTTAAAGGATCTGTTGTAAAGAAAATCCAAACTGGAGTTGTATGGTGCTCTGTGAAGCCACCCCTGCCCGCCCCCGGGATCCTCAGCTGCTGCACTCACAGTACTTTCTGGGAATGTTCTCCACCTGCCTGAGGTCATGGACCTGCCAGGGGCAGCGGGCTTCAGTAGCCATCCATGGAGGTCTGGCCCAACCCCGCCATTCAGGACAACTCTGAGGGCCAGCCCAGCTGCAGCCCTCCCCACAGATGGGCAGAGCCACTGCTGGACATGGGTCAGCTCAAGGCCTCCCCTCAGAGGCTGCTCCCAATAGCACCTCCATGAACCTCAGCCCATCTCTTCCCCAGAGTCTGTTCCAAGAACTTCAGGCCCAGTCAAGCTCATCACAGTGTTATTTAAACTCGTAAAAGGAGAGGAACAAGTTAAAACTCCTCCCTAGGGAAAGCTCAGTAAATGGTGGCACATCCACCAAGAGGGGCCCCTGCAGGTCTGCACCTGTTCAGGTGTGTGGAGACTGTCCAGGTGTGTGTGGAATCCAGTCGGGCGTGTGTGAAGACTTCGGGTCTGCATGGAGCCTGTTCAGGTGGGTATCAGCCTATCCAGGTGTACATGGAGCCCGTTCACGCCAGTGCAGAGTCCTTCCAGATGTGTGTAAAGACTCTTCAGGTGACATGGATCCTGTCCAGGTGTGCATGGATCCTGTCCAGGTGTGTGTGGAGCCTGTCCAGGTGTGCATGGAGCCCATTCAGGTCAGTCCAGAGTCCTTCCAGATGTGTGTAAAGACTCTTCAGGTGTGCACGGAGCCCATTCAGGTCAGTCCAGAGTCCTTCCAGATGTGTGTAAAGACTCTTCAGGTGTGCACGGAGCCTGCTCAGGTGACATGGATCCTGTCCAGGTGTGCATGGAGCCCATCCAGGTGAGCATAGACCCTATGCAGGTGTGCATAGAGCCTGTTCAAGTGTGCACAGCCTGTCTAGTCTGTGTGGAGTCTGGGGCTTGATGGAAGAGCAAGTTTCCCAACTCTACACACCAATTACAGCTGAATAAAAGTGCCTCATCAGGGTAAGGGATTAGCAGTAAATTCCCCGAAGATGCTGAGCTTGCTTGTGTTCAGCTAGTTTTCTCTTCTCTCTTTCCAGATGTTTTGTAACCAAATTTGCATTACTTTTAGAATAAACATAAGTATAGAAATACGAAGTGAAGACTGAAGGTCGGAAGGGCACCAGCAGGGGCCCCATGTATTGGCCAGACCCTGGGGATGAGTCAGGCCCGGCACCGCCTAGTGCCCAGCGGGAGCCCACACCCACCCTCCTAACCAGAGTGGGACCAGCTCTCCTGACATCACAATGCAGGGGCAAGACACAGGCTCCACCGAGAGTCAGGGCCAGGCTGGCCAGGGCCAGGGCACTGCCCACTCCATCCTACAGGTGGGCCCCATGGCAGGCCTCTGGCAGGTAGGCCAGTGCAGCATCGTCCAGACTCCCTGCCTCATGGCGTGCTCCTGGCAGACCCTCTAGGCCAGGCCACTCTTTTTTTTTTTACCAAACCCCAGGTGACCCGGGACTACCCCTCCAGCACCCCCTGCACTGCCCAGAGTCCTGTGAGCTCTGGCACAGTCCAGGGGCTATGACTCGGAATAGGGATGTTACCAACCCCTTTCTACAGACGAGGACAGTGAAGTTCAAAGAGGGTTGGCGACTTGACTGAGGACCACAGCCAGGAGGATGGGCCAGGATCTAGGATCTAGCCCAGGTCTGGAGGCTCCAGACCCCACCTTTGGCCTGCTGCCACCGGGTGTGTGGGACACAGCAGGAGTCAGGGTTCCAGCACCGTGGAGTCCGCCTGCCAGGGCGAGGCCCTGCCTCAGGCTCGCAGAAGCTGAACAAGACGTGGCAGAAGTAATTGCAGATAATCTTCAGGCCCAGAAAAGACAGCAGGCAGGAGGGTCCTCCTGGCTGTGGTCCTTGGTCAAGTCACCAACCCTCTTTGAACTTCACTGTCTGGGCCTGTAGTGTCCCCACCAGAAATACCCTAGCCCTGAACACAGGATGGTGACAAGCACTAAGTGACAGGTGCAGTGCCAGTGCCTTGGGAGGCGCTGCCGAAATGCTCTCTGACCCTCGTCGTCGTCCAAGGACTCACTTCTAACTGCACCAGGGGGACAAGTGGCCACGCCTCATCACCAGCTCCTTCCCTTCTTCTGATTCTAAAGAAAATACCGGAAATTCAGAAATTGCAAAAAAGCAAAAATTACAGAGAAAAATATTTAAAGCCAGCATAAATCACTGCCAACAAAATCTGAAATATCTGTCATGTTTCTAATTCAAAACAAGTTTGGATGGTTTTTCCCACGTCTGGCCACCGGTGCTTCTTCCCTTACAGACCGCAGGGCCCCACTGACGCCAGCGTCCATCCCTACACTGGCCTCTGAGAGCCTGGAGAGCCGCGCCACCAGCCACCGTCTTTCCCACGGGCTGCGAGCACTGCTCCCACCGGCAGGGCCTCTGCCTTCTGCTGATGGTGTTTTCTGAAATGCAGATGTTTGTAAATTTCCAGGCTTTCCAATGGAACATCTGTGTCTCCCTGGCTTCTTCCTTCACTTTGTTACTTTTATGCTGTCCCTTAGAAGTTTTCCAGAAGTTTAAAATGCCGTATTTCACAAGTGACTGCTAATACACATGTGAACATGTTAGGACCCAAAGGCGGAAGGAGGTGCAGACATGGGAGGCGCCCACCCCTCCCTCCCTGGGCTGCTGGGGCCGGGTGGCCGGAGCCCAGCGAGACTGGCCCGGCAGGCTGGGCTTGGCCTAAGCAGAAATGGAGCCCCTCTGGGACAGCACAGCAGACCCCTCATTTTCTCCCTCTGAGCAAGGTCTGTCCAGCAGGCCACGGGGCAGCCCGCAGGCGCCAGGGTGTGGGGTGCCCCACTTCATCTTTTCACATCCACTCGGAGTGCATCCCCCCAAAACTCTGAGCGTGTGGGGCTGGTGGGGGCATTGAGGCTGTGCTGCCTCCCCAGGTCCCCCCAAAAGCGAGTGCTGGGTTCCCCCGGAGCCGCGTGGCTTTATGAGACCCTTCCCCAGGAGGTGACCTCAGCAGGGGGATCCGATGCCTGGGTGACGCCCTTTCCAGACAGCAACATCAGTGACTGGTGGGTGTCAGGGTGTGAAGCCCCAGGCCCAGCCGTGTCCAGGATGCAGACACCTGGGAAGGGAGAGGGCAGGGGTCTCGGGAAGCCTCCGGGCAGCTGTTCCCAGCCCCACCTCTCTCTGCCCACACTGCTGCCCTCACACCAGGATATGGACCCCAACGTGTCCCCAACAGGCCTCCACCCTAGAGGTGTTTCTAGACCCTGACCTAAGACACACGTCTTACCTTAGAATTGGCCGTAGTTTTATTTCTGCATTTAACTTTCTAATCCACTTAGCCTCACTTGGGTTATTATCTGAAGCTGGAATTACCCCTCCCATCCATTTGTCTGTGTTTCTGGAGCTAACAGTGGTTCCAGAAGTCACTTTCCCAGGCCCCTGGCCCTGAGGGGGCTGAGAAGGCCATCCTCCCTGTCCCCTGCCCTGCCCCCCGCTGGGCAGGGATTCTGTCCTCCTGATCTCTTGTCCATCTTTCCAGGCAGCCAGGCCCAGGCTGGTCCTGCCCTGAGGGGAGGGCAGGGGACGGGAGCAGGCAGGTTCCTCCATCCCACCCTGGAGGCCAGCAGTGAGGATGCCCTCTCCAGCTTCCCTAGCCTTCCCAGGGGTGTGTCGTTTGTAACCGGGAGGGTCGGTAAGGTGAAAGGATGGGCTGGGAACTCACCAAGTGCTGGCTCCATTCTGCCAAGGGCCCTGACCAGCGCACACCAGGGACCCACCAGCCTACAGTGAGGGCCACCCTGCTGTGACCACAACACGTCATCTTTTCATAGGAATATATCTAGAGAATGGCCTCAGTCCATAGAAGCCTGCTCTGGAAGGTAAGGGGTGATCAGGGCAGCCTGGACACAGGCCTCGGGTGCCCACCAGCCTGGACACAGGACTCAGGGACCCACCAGCCTGGACACAGGACTCAGGTGTTTAACAGCCACCTGTGGGAGGTGCAGGGCAGGCGCAGGACAGGGAAGGGCGGGGCTGGGCAGCCTCTCTTTTGGCACTGCCCAAATTTGGGAACCTTGACTAGATGCCTACCCTCTCCAGAACTGCACCTGTCCGAGGTGAGCCCACAACTTTGAGGCGCAGCCTTCCCCTCTACAAACCAGCCCTGGGCGGTGCTGCCACCAGGACAGCAGGGCTTGCGGGGCTAGAGAGAGGAGGGAGCACAGGAAAGGGCCAGGGGTTCTGTTCCAGCCACAGGCAGGGCTGGCAGGGCTCCTCTGGAGACCCCTGCCCCAGGCCCTGCCCACGATTTTTCATGTATGACTTGATTTTTTCAGCCTCAGTTTTTCCATCAGAGGATTGGGGGCCAGGTGGGGAGGGTCCCGGAGATCGAAGGGGAGAAGGAACAGGGAGATAAGGGGTCTGAGCTCTGGGACGGGCAGGTGCAGGGTCTCTGCAGCTGCTGGGTCTCTGCAGCTGCTGCACCTGCCCCACTGCCCTCAGGGACCCACAGCCCAGGAGGTGGGACGGTCGATGCCTGCCCAGACAAGGCCTGTGCAGCCAGGATGGAGGATGGCACATCAAAGGGGACAGGCTGCAGACGGGAGGTACAGAGCCCGGCCCCAGAGAGAAGGGTAGTCCCTGCAGCTGGGAGCCACCCTCCACAAGCGCCACCATCACCACACCCCCCAAGGCCTGCATGAGCCCAGAGGAGGCATACAGACCACTCCGGGCTCTGGGGAGGGCCCAGCGGGCTCTCTGCTGGGATGGGGAATGCAGCCTCGGGGCGTTTGGCTGGGTGTGTTTATGAGCTGGCGTCTGGGCGCACATCATATGAGCATGCAGGATATCCACAGGGAGGGGCCGGGGAGGGACCGTGGGTGCATGTTGTGTGTGGACATGGGTCCCAGCCCTGACCGTGCATAGGCACGCGCACAGTCATGTGGACGGCCACAGGTCATGCCATTTTGCTGGGAGGATGGAAGCTCCCAAGGGTTTCTGTGACCCCATCCATTGCCCCTCAGTCTGTAGATGAGGATCTGGGTCGGGCTGGGGGTGGATGAGTACCTTGATATCCATCCCACTGCCCACAGCAGGACCATCTCCTGGGAGTCAAGAAAAGACACCCCAACTCACCCTGGAAAGGTCAGGAAGCTGACTCTGTCCCCTAGAGCCTCAGAGGAGCAGCCATGGGACCCCTGCACCATGGGACTTCGGCCCCTCAGAGCGGCAAGGGAATTAACTTGTGCTGTTTTAAGCCACTGGTTTGAGGGTCGCTTATTACAGCAGCCCTAGGAAACTCGAACAGTGGCCGGCTACGAATCCTGTGCCCATGGAGCGGGGTGCGGGAACCCCTGTGCCCACGGAGCAGGGGTCTATGAACCCCTGTGCCCACGGAGTGGGGTGCTTGGAAACCCTGTACCCACGGAGCGGGGGGCAGGAAACCCTGTGCCCACAGAGCGGGAGGAGGCAGGGGCGTCATTTCTCAGAGGAAGGCAGTGCAGCAGCAACCCTCCCACCAGCAGCCACAGCCCTGTGCATCTCACAGCCTCAGGGACACTGAAGCACAGCCTGTAGCACAGTGGCTGGAACCTCAGACTGATCCCAAAGATCCCCTCTGTGTCTGTCTCTCTGTCCCCATCTTCCTCCCAGAGGCAGTTCTGGGCCCAGGTATTTAATCAGAGTCCAGGAGAGGGGGTGAAAACTTCCCTCAGAGGAGCCCAACACCTAACGTGGAGCCTCCGACCAGCAAAAAGCAGACGCCACCCCACACCCGGGATCCCCGCAAGAAGGGGCGGGAGCCCAGGGCCTGGGAGAAGAAGGAGAAGAAGGAGCTCTTTAGAGACAAGGCCCTTCCTCTCCCAGCACTCTTCATTCCAAGTCCAGGGGGGAGGCACCCGCTGCTCCCCAGACAGTGCCCACCCCGCCCGGCAAAGCCCTGACCTGGGCTCTCCAGGTCCCCGCCAGGAGGCTCGCCCACGTTCAGGTCTAAGCCTTGTGTCCCCCTGAGTCTAGCCACCTGTCTGTCTCATAGTGCAGAGGATTCAGGAGAGAACCTGCTGCTGGGGCTCCACCCTGAGGAGCGGTGCAAGGCCCCTCCCTGTCCCTGCACCCCAGGATTCCTGCACCCCACGCCCAGAGCAAGGCACACCCCTCCCCGCAGGCTGAGCTCCCCACTCTGGGTTCTGATTCCCAGCAGGAGCCCCCTTTCCTCCGTTGCCATTGCCTCTCTGCCCCCGCCTCCACCTTCCTCTGCCCCCAGCTCAGGGACCCTGCCCTGTACCAGCCGGGCCCTGGCAACTTGCCCCTCTGAGCCCCCACCTGCCCTGGCCTTTGGTCCTCCCTGACTCATTCTCATTGTGTCTTTACTGGGCTGGAAAGGGATATAGACGGTGCCTATCGCAGCCGAAGTCCTCGCTCCTCTCCTGCCCCACCCCTTCCAGATTCCAGAGGACTCAGGGGAGCCCCTCCTCACAGCCAAGGCCCCTGGCTGGATCCAAGCTCCAGCCACACCCCGACCCCAGACAGTCTCCCCAAGAACATGGCCCCCAGACCCATCAGACTCCACATTCTCCACCAGTGCCCGAGTCAGCAGAGGCCTGCCCTCAACCAAAGCCCCAGCGGATCCCCTCAGTGCGGCACCCAAAGCCCACTGGAGCCCACCTTCACCTCTCCTTCCCACCACCCATTGCCGCCGGGTCCCACAGCCTTGCTGCCATGAGCTCCCTCTGCTCAGTCCATCCTCACCTGGCCCCCAGGGCCATCCATTGTCTGAGGGGCTCAAGATCCCAGCCCCCATCATCCCCTCCTGCCCCCGCTCCCAGGAAAGGTCCTCAGTGTCTGGTCCCGTTGGGAGGAGGTGAGCCCTGTAAGTTTGCTCTTAGGATTGTGCCTGCTTCTTGGATTCAGGTGCACGGTGGCTGTGGAGGGGTGGGGGAGACCCCGGGCAGAGCTTGGTGAGAGCTGGGGTGACACGGGGCTGTGGAATCGTGTGGACCACTGTGGACTGCGGAGCCTGGCCTGGCAGGAGGCCCCGCGGAGGGTGAGTGGGAACCAGGTGCTCGGGCCTGGCTGGGAGGGGCCGCAATGGGTGCCTGAAATGAAACTGTCCAGGAAGATTCACCGTTCTGTGATTTCCTTTTCTTAGTTATAAACTTGTTTCCAAAATGAGCAGCCTCAGAAGCATAACACTTCCTGGGCATGCAGGAGCCTCGTGTGGAATCGAAGTGGTTTCGTAGGGCCCCATTTTCAAAGAAGATTAAAATTAAAGTTTGAAAGCGATTTCCAAAATGCGCAAAGTTAAAGAAACTCTGAGCAAAGTGTCAGAGATGTGGAAAATAATTCAACCCATCAAAGGCTTTCAAAAAGTCAAGAAATGATTCACGTGTTAATCCCTGCTGCGATCTTTCCCACGAAACGGCTCTTTTCTGTCAGATCATCTGTTTTATTTCCTGAATAAGGAAACCAAAGTCAAAAGTGGCTGCTCATCGTTGCTCTGTTTGCTGTGTTGGCCTCACAATATTCTGTTGTCCTGAGCACTTCCGTGAACTTCTGGGAGGTACAAGTCCTTTCTGTCAAAAGTGAAAATGTGCAGACATTTGACCCTGCAATTCTGAAAATCTCACTTCTGAAGACTGATTCTAAGGAAATCATTGTGAAAAACACATGGGCCAGGAGCATCTGTCAAATAGCAAAAAGCTAACTAGAAAGCCCTCAGCACCTGGCTGGGCAGGTGAAGAAATGACCTGCCCGCATGGTGGTTTACTTCTCGGCATTGCGGAGAGCTGCCCACGTAGTTTCAGATGCTGGCCGCGACCTCAGGTACACTCCAGCGCGGCAGCAGCTCCCAGCCCTGGGCAAGGCCCCACCGGCACCCCCAGGGAACATCTGGCAAAGTCTGGAGATGAGACGGTTCTGATAGTCTCTACTGCAGGGGAAGCTACCAGCATCCGTGGGTGGAAGCTGGGGCTGCCAAAGACCCTGCAATGCACGGGGCACCCACACAAGGAATCACTCCAGCCAAAATGCCAACAGTGCCAAGATTCAGAATCCCTGAAATGTGCATATCAAAATATCAGAATGTCACTCCCCACACTATTGACAGAGTTGAAATCTGAAAGAATTGCAATTAGACTCCCTTTCTCTATGTCATTTAATTTTCAATATTATTTGGAAAAGCAGGCCAGGCGCAGTGGCTCACACCTATAATCCCAGCACCCTGGGTGACCGAGGCAGGAGGATCACTTGAGCCCCAGAATTTGAGACCAGCCTGGACGACATGGCAAAACCCCAACTCTACAAAAAACACAAAAATTTGCCGGGCATGGTGGCCTGCACCTGTGGCCGCAACTACCCCGGCTGAGGTGGAATCACCTGGGCTTGGGAGGTCAAGGCTGCAGTGAGCTGCGATCGTGCCACCGTTCTCCAGCCTGGGGGCTGGAGTGAGACAGTCTCAAAAAAGAAACAGAGAGAAAGAAGGGAAAAACAATACAAGATTTGTCTCAAAAAAAGTAGGCCGAGCCCATTTCTCTTGAAGCTCCTGGCTCGGCCCAGGCACATACTGTAAATGACGACCCGCCCTTCCACTGCTGGGTTCGTGTCTTAAATGTTAGGATAAAAACTTGCGCCGGCTGCGCATGGTGACCCACACCTGTAATCCCAGGAGTTTGGGAGGCTGAAGTGGGAGGATTGCTTGAGCCAAGGAGTTGGAGGCCACTCTGAGCAACATAGTGAAACCCCATCTCTACGAAAAAAGAAAAGTTAGTTGGGCATGGTGGTACATGCCTGTATTCCCAGCTCTCAAGAGGCTGAAGCTGGAGGATGGCTTGAGCCCAGGAATCTGAAGTTTCAGTGAGCTATGATCATGCCACTGCACTCCAGCCTGGGTGAGAGAGCGAGACCTTGTCTTTAAAATAATAGAAAGAAAAATAACAAATTTCTTTTAAGTTACATGTGCTGAGGATGTGTTTACTTTTTTACTCCATTTTTAGTGGCCTCGCCCATTGAAAGTATACAATTCAATGATTTTAACATATTTACAGAATTGCACAACCGTCACCATAATCTGACTTGAGAACATTTTCATCATCCCCAAAAGAAACCTTGTGCCCACTGGCGGCACCCCATACCCCCGACCTTCAGCCCCCGGCAAGCGCAACGCTCCTCTCTGTCTCCTCAGGTTTGTCTACTAGGGACAGTTCGTAGCAACAGAGCCAGAGTGTACACGAGCTCTGTCACTGGGTGCCCACCCTTAGCGCCTCGTTCTCAAGGTCTGTCCACATGGCACGTGCCAGCGCTTCACTCCTTTTTATTGCCGAGTCATACTCCAGCGTATGGAGAGGCCACGTTGTACTCAATCACGTACCTGTTTATGGACATTTGAGTTGTTTCTCCTTTTTGGCTTTTATAAATAATGCTGCCAAAAACATCTGTGGACATATGTTTTCATTTCTCTTGGGCCCATACAAGTTGAGAGTCCCTTATCTGAAATACTTGAGACCTGAAGTGTTTGGGTCCTCACATGTTTTTAAGTTTTGGAGTATTTGCATTATTCTGGTAGGTTGAGCATCCTACATCTGAAAATCAGAAATTCTAATTGTTCCAATGAGCATTTCCTTTGAGCCTCATGTCATGTCAGCACGCAACAAGCTTTGAATTTCCAAGTTTGGGATTTGGGATGCTCAGTGTGTTCCTCGGATGGAGTTGCTGGGTGGTGTGGGCACCTGGTTTAGGCTTTAGAGGAACTGCCAGGCTGCTTTCCACCACAGCTGCACCCCGCCCCCAACACACATGAGGCTTCCTGTCCCTCCAAATCAGAGACAGGCCTGAGCCTTACAGGACAGTAATGCTCTTGGGATCAAGGGCTGTGGTTTTAGCTGAGTGGCCACAGCAGGCCCGGCCAGGAGAACATGCCCAACAAGCACTGGGTGAAAGTCACCAACAGCCACAGAAATATCATCATCAATAAGAAGAGCAATAACTAGACGGCAGTGCATACGCGGTTTGTGCAGCATCCTGCATAAGCCAAGGCTGCAGACCCCCACAGCCTCTGCACAGCCCCAACCCCACACCAGGCAGGCAAGGGACTTGCCGGAGGCCACAGCACAAGACAGGCTGATCAGCCTTCTGGACTTTCGGGCCAAGGGGCTGGAGGGCACTACTAGTCCCAGCTGGGCAGATGCTGCTCACAGGCCCCAGGAGGACAGTCAAGCAGAGACATGCCAACCTGGGGCTCTGGGACCAAGCTGGCCCCAGGCCCAAGCACAGCAGGAGGAAGGAATCTTTACCAAAGTAAAAGGGGCCTTGAATGATTGAAATGGCACAGTGGGTCCCAGAGAACATTGTACAGTCAGCATCAACATGTATCCTCCAACATACTTACTGGACTTCTCAAATACAGACAGAATCCTAAAGAAAGCCAGCCTCTCTCCTTCCTCCTGCCCCCTCCAAAATCAAGTCACTAATGAAGGGAAAATCTGATCAGCTTCAGACGGCAATATTCTGTTAGAAGACAGTTGAAATTTAAGTATAAAGGTGAAAAAGATTTTTTAATCATTCAAGCACTTAAGAAACACGGTTTCTATACATTCTTATTGAGAATTTACTATTGAAATGTACTACTATAAATTTCAGCCAAAGCAAGATGTAAGTAGAAAGACCATCGCAAAAAGAATGAAAATGAGCATTGAATCTATTTAATCACAGAGGTAAAATTAAAATAAACACAGAGGTTATTATGGCAAATAAGGATTTCAAACGTGAAATGTTCTCAGAACTTAGAAAAGATGTTGGCTGGGCAAGGTGGCTCCTACCTGTAATCCTTTTGGGAGACCAAAGAGGGTGGATCATTTGAGACCAGGAATTCGAAACCAGTCTGAGAAATATGGCAAAATCCTGCCTCTATAAAAAAATTCAAAAAACTAGCGGAAGGTGGTGGCACATACCTGTAGTTCCAGCTGCTGGAGGGACTGAGGCAGGAGGACTGCTTGAGCCTGGGAGGTAGAGGCTGCAGTGCGCAATGATGGGAGGATGTTAGGTGCATTGATTTCCTCATCTTTCATAGCTGAGGATATTGTTTGACGCTCGTGATATGGTGTGGATTTGTGTCTCCGCCCAAATCTCATCGAATTGTAATCCCCAGTGTTGGAGAAGGGCCTGGTGGGAGATGGCTGGATCACGGGGCAGACTCCTCCTTGCTGTTCTCATGAGAGTGATGAGTTCTCACAAAACCTGGTTGTTTAAAAGTGTGTGGCACCTCCCGCTTCACTCTCTTGTCCATGCTCTGGCCATGTAAGACGGGCCTGCTTCCCCTTCGCCTTCCACCACGATTGTAAGTTCCCTGAGGCCTCCCAGCCATGCTTCCTGTACAGCCTGTGGAACTGTGAGCCAATTAAACCTCTTGTCTTTATAAATTACCCAGTCTCAGATAGTTCTTTATAGCAATGCGAGAAGAGACTAATACAATTCCTAAATTAAGTAAAAAAGATGAGAATATGCAAAAATATAAAAGTAAATATTAAGAATTGTAATATCAATTATGACTACATAGTAAAGAAAAAAGGGAGTAGGAAAAAATAAATATTCTAATTTCATTATTGCTACTAGTAGTGAAGTAATAAATACTATTGGAAGAAATTAGGGGTTCAAATATTCTGTAGATTTGTTGATAATACTTGCACACACTGTACTCACACAAAGAAAACAAGCCACATGGTGAAAGGTTTTGGAAGGTCAAGAAACACGCATGATGGAAACATTATGGCAAAACGAAGAGCAAATGTGTCATCATATCAATGTACAAAGATGAGCTAAATGCATCTATTAGAAAAACGAGACTATAAGGATTAATCATAAAACAATACCTAACCGCCAGCTGAATATTCAGATTCAGACAGGCTGAAAATAAAATAAATAAAAGGATTGACAATGTCAGCAAATCCAAACAGAAACAAAGCAAGCAGCGGTTACAGTCTTCATACCAGGAAAGGCTGAAGTTCCGCCAAATCTCTAAACAAGACCAAGAGAGGCTGAAGGACGGTAAAGGGTGCAACTCACAGTGAAGCTACAAGAGTTGGGAATATTGCGCCCCGCAATGACATGGTATCAGCATTAATGAGGCAATGTCACCTAAGAAAGAGGAAAGGCAGGCCAGGGTACGGGAGTCTTTTCTCACCTCTCTGGGCCAGTCACAGATCAAATGGCCTAAAAATCAGGAGTATAAACGACAGAGGTAAGATCGTAAGAAAGGCCTGATTGATACCTCTTAAATGTTATGTTCTGAAAACTAAAAATTCACCTTCTTTTAAAGTCCTTCTGAAAGAGTCATAAAAATTAACATGTTGCACTGCTTAGGAAACAAATTCCAGAAATTCGAAATTATACAGTCAACTTTACGTACACAAGATATAAAACCAGAATTTACTAATACAAGCAGAAAATTAACAGTCCCTGCCTCTGCCATCTGTACGAAAAAAAAATGTACTTTTCATAAATCCCTGGGAAAATGGAAAAACCCAAACTGAAATTGCACAATATCTAGAAAACAGCAAAAAGAATAAAGTATATTATATATAGAATAATAAAAAATAATAGGATCACACGTTATTCGAATCTATAGGATACATCTAAAACTGTTCTCACAAATAAATGCTAACATTAATTAGGAAGAATAAATGAAAATAAATGCTATATGCATCCACCTCAATTTTTAAAAGAACAAAAAATATGCTACAGGAAAAAAAGGGAAATAAAATTTTTAACCTCCTAAGTAGAATTGATGGGTTGAAGAATTGGTAAAAAAATAACAAGAAATAGTAAAATAGATAAAATGTTAGAAACTCAAAAGAAAGAAATATGAAAATACACAAAAATAAGAAAAGATATGGTGAAAATAACAGAGTAACTTAAAAGAAACATAAGTAAGCAACTATCTTGTTCAACTCTATGCAAATAAATGTAAAAAAAAACAGATAAAACAGATACTCTCCTAGGCAACATAGTTTACCAAAACTTTAGTAACTAAAGAGAGATAGAAATCTGAATAGAGCACCGTAAGAAAAAGAGAGAAGTTGTCAAGCAGCTAGTTTTCCAAAAGAACCAGGCCTAGGTAATATAACAAAGGAATTCTATCAAACCCTCAAGGAACAGGGCATTCCAATGCCATTCAACAATTCTAGAGCATAGATGTAGAGGAAAAGTTCCTGAATTCTTATATAAGGCAATCATAAGATGGATTTGAAAACCTAACAAATATTATGCACAAAGATCAAGGTCTTCTATGAGTATCCATGCAAAAATCCTAAATAAAATACTGGCAGATGGAGTCCAGCACACATTTAGAATATCGACCTCCAAGAGAAGTGGGCTGATCTCAGGGGGAAGTTGCTGGCACGGTTCGTCCATGTTGAAGAAGGCACTAGATTAAATTCAACATTCATTCTCACTTAAAGTTAAAAACAGTAATGAAATAGAAACAGATGGAAGCCTCCCGCATGAGACGGAGAGGCCAGCGTTGCCCCAAACCAACGTCATGCTTAATGGGAAACCCATCCCCCAGTCACATTAAGAGTAGAGTGAAATGAGAAGGCAGCCATCAGCACTATTATTTAGCCTTGCTACAGAGGTGCTGGCCAAGGCCATGAGAAAAAGGAAGAACTAGAGCCTTCAAAACTGCAAAGAAAGAGATAAAATTAGTACTGTTTTCAGATTATATCACAGTGTACCTGGAAAAACAAACAAGAAAATCAACTAAACATTGTTGTAAACCAAAGGAGAGTTTTGCCTGACAGCTGAATACAAAATAAATACAACTAAGTAATAACAAATTCAGAAGATAAAACGGGGGAGAATATCCCATTTAAAATTGCAATAAAATCAATAAAATCGCAAGGAATAAAATTGAAAAGAAATGTAAAAATTCTACATGAAGAAAAACTGTAAATGCTCTGTGAGACACAGATATATTTTAAACAAATGAAAGATCCGATTACACCTGTGAGGAGACAGATTTAACATCAGGAGTATGTCAACCCTCCATAGCTTCATCTAAACGTTGCGATTCCCATAAAACACCAACAAAACATTTAAGACAAAAAAGCAAAAGTTTACGTGAAAACATATCATGAAACAACATCAGTATAATTAAACCTATGAGGTGGCGTCACATGAGTAAACAGATAAATGGCTAGACTGGGATGTCAAGATGTCAACACACACGCATATTTTCAACGTGTTTGAAAATATGACATTTTCATATTGTGAAGAAGGAAATGTCTCAAGTAAGTGCCGGGAAACCTGGGTCATTCAATATAAGTGCTGTAGGGACAGCAAGAGCTATCTGAGGAAAAGGGTCAGATGCGTATCTCACGTTCAACACCAAAACATCAGAGTTATAAACAATGCAATCACGTAGGTATTCAGAGAAGCCATGGGGGGGCTGCTATATGTCTCTATCTTACAAGGAGACCTTTGTGCACAGGACAAAACCAAGAAGCCATTAAAAATGTGTTGCAAATTGACAACTGATTGGGGTTTTTGCTTCTGTGAGGATGGAAGAAGCCACAAGAGACCATCACTCCCACACTGACAAGAACAAGCCTTCAAAGTCTTATATTTTGGAACCCACTGGGGAGCTGAGGGGGGCGAGACAGCCTGGTGAACTGAAGCCCAAAGATGACAGCCCCCAGGAAAGAGGAGACACCGTCCCCCTGGGCAAGCGGCAAAGCAGGTAAGCAGAAAACAGCCGGCAATTGAACATTCATAAGGGCCAGTGTAGAAGGAAGAGCACCCAAGCGAGGGAGGCGGCCCCCACCATGGCAGGTGCAAGGGAGGCGGCCCCCACCATGGCAGGTGCGAGGGAGGCGGCCCCCACCATGGCAGGTGAGAGGGAGGCGGCCCCACCATGGCAGGTGCGAGGGAGGCTGGCCCCCAGCATGGCAGGTGCGAGGGAGGCGGGCCCCCAGCATGGCAGGTGCGAGGGAGGCGGCCCCCACCATCGCAGGTGCGAGGGAGGTGGCTCCCACCATCGCAGGTGTGAGGGAGGCGGCCCCACCATCGCAGGTGCGAGGGAGGCTGGCCCCCAGCATGGCAGGTGCGAGGGAGGCGGCCCCACCATCACAGGTGCGAGGGAGGCCGGCCCCCAGCATGGTAGGTGCGAAGGAGGTGGGCCCCCACCATCAAAGGTGCGAGGGAGGCAGCCCCCACCATCGCAGCTGCGAGGGAGGCGGCCCCACCATCACAGGTGCCAGGGAGGCCGGCCCCCAGCATGGCAGGTGCGAAGGAGGCGGGCCCCCAGCATGGCAGGTGCGAGGGAGGTGGGCCCCCAGCATGGCAGGTGCGAGGGAGGCGGGCCCCCGCCATCGAAGGCCCAAGGGTGCCCCCACCTGGGGAGGACACGGGAAACGAGAGCAGCTGCTCCCCTGAGGGGGTCTGGGGGACAGGAAGCTGCAGGGCTGCGCATTCTCGCCCACGGTCACTTCTGGGGCCTCGCTGCCTATCCTGGGCCTGCACTGTGGGAACCCAGTCCCAGGACAGCGCTGACCACCCACCAAAGAAGTCGGTGTGCAAACACCAGCATTCACTCTGCCACCCTGTGGCCCAAGAGGCCCTCACCCCCCATGCCATCCACCCTTGCCGCTGCCTCACCCCCACTTCCAGGCTAGTAGCTGCATTTTGGGGTCCAGAGCCAGTCCCCGCTCCCTGATCTGTGCCTTTCTAGGGTCTATCCAGCAACCTCCATGACACATCACTGTAGGCAGCCCTGCAAGGTACGGCATGTCCTGCCCCCAGCCCCCATTCAGTCCCCATCCAGCCCTCAGTGGACCCTCATCCCTTCTAGGGCAAAGCACCTGCCATGGGGCAGCTTGGTCCTGCCCAGGTCCCAGGTTGCCAAGAGGGAATAGGGGAGCTAGGAGACGTCTCCCAGAGCCACCAGGGACTTGGCACACCATGACGTTCCAAGGCCCCTGTCCCCTGCCCCATCCATCTGCACTCCGAGGAGACACCCCTACCCTCCCCCCGTTCTCCTTCCCCGCACACAGGACACAGTTCCTTGATATGTCAAAGATCAGGAGCCAGCCACCTTCTCCCGGATCCTCCAGGGAGGGGCCTGCAGAGACTTCCCTCACCATCCCCATGGCTGCTCCTTCCCTCCGGGTCTCAGGCTGAGCCTGAGGGTCAGATACTGGGGAGCAGGGCCTGGACAAAGGGACAAGGCCAGGCCTTGGGGTGAGGTAGGGGTCTGTAAGAGTGGTTCTCATCCCTGGACAGAGCCGCCAGCTCTGACTGAGCTCAGGAATCCGAGCCCAGGGCGGCGGCTGGGAGGTTTTCCAAGCAGCTTCAGAGGAGCTTGTCCCCAAGCCCTGGAGGCCCCACTGGGGGATTCTGGCTCCGCCCCACCCCCCAGGCTTTGGGTGTGATTGACAGGCATGAGGATGAGGCAGGGCCAGGCCAGGCCCGGTCTTCCTCCTTCCGAAGGCTTCTTGCAGCTGCTGCCTGGGTGGAAACCAAAGCCAGGCCAGACAGGCCCCACAGACCTCGGGCAGCTGGACCAGTGGCTGTCCACCCTGGTGGGCCGGGCGCCTCAGCTGGCCAATGGAGCATCCATGTGGGGCTGGCCCAGCTCTGCGGCCGTGGCAATCTAGGCCCTGTTGTTTGCTGTGGCCAGTCCAGGGCCCAGGGTTGGAGATTCAGGTCCCATCTCTGGGCTGTGTCCAGCTCAGACCAGGCACCAGCCCAGTCCTTCTCCCACACCCTGCCTGCCCCCGGCTAGGGTCATCACTGCCCACATCCACCCCGGGATGGAAGGTGCCTCTCCACCTCCCATCCTATCTCTTAAGCTCTCTGAAGATGGAGCCCACTGCCTCATGTCTCTGCCCCCTAGTTCCCAAGGGCCGCAGACCATCCCAAAGGACCGCCTGTCCAGAGTGTCACAGACGTGCAGTCCACCCTGGGGACAGGCACTGTCCTCCCCTGCAGGCCCACCACACTGGCCAGAGAAGGGGTGAGGCCAAGCCTCACCTGGCTCCCGCTGAGGCTGGAGCATCCAGGGAGGGGCCAGAGGCCAGGGGTCAACCTGAATGGACACCAGTGGGGACTGGGGGGTGCCTAAGGCTGCCAGGTGGAAATGGGAGGGCTGAGAGGAGCCAAACCACCCTGGTGGGGGCCTGCAGTACCCCTCAAGTCCGGAGGAGGCTGAGCTGCAGTACCCCCCAAGTCCGGAGGAGGCTGAGTTGGGGAGGGAGCCTGACACACTGCCCGAAGTGGCACAGGGGAGTGGACGGACGCGCAGGAGTGCCACGCGGGGCCAGACAGTCTGTGTTGCGTTGCACTGGGCTCCTCGGCTCCCTCACACGGAGTGGGTGGAGCTGGGAGGACTTGGGTCCAGTCGGGACACCCGGCTCTGGCCTTGCCCTCCCCGACCAGCCATGGGGTCCTCTGTGTCCTCACATGACAGCCAGCCCCACTCGCTTCTGCTATGATGTCTGCCAGGGGCCGCTGGATCCAGTGACGCTGAACCCCAGGGAGGGGTTCTCAGGTGCATCCTGAGACAGCAGGCCTCATGACTCCTCCCCACTCCCTCTCTCTCTCCATCGGCTTTGTGGCCGTGTTGTCATGGGATGGCTGCATTGCCCACAGTCCCGCGTGAGATCTGAGCTACTCTCCATGGTGAGAGGCAGGAGAGGTGCAAGGTGTCAGTGTTGGCGGGGGCGCTCCTCTCCACCCCTAGATGAGGCCACTTGGTGGGTGGGAGCCCAGGTCAGCCTCCACCAAGAGCAGGGTGGGACAAGGATTCCACCTCACTCTTGGGCAGAGTGCTACACAGGGAGGGGCCAGCAGCTCCCAAGACCTCTGCCCATTCTTAGAGAAGCAGGTAACCAGAGACCCTCAGGGTGCCGGGAGCAGAGGCCCCTGCAGATGGATCCTGAGTGCTCTGGAGCCTGGAGGTCCCTAGGGGGGGGCCACCACAAGGGCAGTGGGACTGATAGGGCGGAATGTGGGGTCCCCTTCCATGCTGTAGCCCAAACAGCTTCAGCTTTGTCCACTAAATACACCATGGGTGAGGGGTCTATGTAAGCTATTTGTTTAACTAAGCACGTGCTACTAAAAATAAAGTTCACAAAGTACTCACAAGTCCAAACCTCATCAGTGTCCAAAATGAGCTGAGCTGGCCAAGATCAAGGCTTAGGGAAGCCCAGGCTTACATATTTTTGGTCTCTTATTAAAGAGGAGTCAGAGATATGTGGGTCCGTGGGTAAGTATGTCCTGTGCTATGAGGATGCACAGGCTATTGAAAAATTATGAAATCATGTACTTCCTAATTTTCACTAGATATGAAGGATACTGATGATTAAGAATTTTAAATAATATATGTAATTGAAACTACTAGAAATAATAGGGCTAAAAGAAAACTGTATGTGAAAAATGCACAAAGAAAGTACAATGTGGCTTCAGTAAGGGAAGGTATACAAGGTGTGTGTTTTCGTTAAGGAAAAAAGAGTAATTTTGTCTTAAAGCAAGATAGATTGTTTCAGAATGAAAAAGAAGAAAAAGAGTGAGACAAAAACTGAACAGATATAGAAAGTTGTAGAAGGCCGGCAAAAGAGGAATGTTAGGTGTGGTCAAACTACTAATATTAGATAGTTTTTATTCATAAGATCTTTTTTAAAAAAATAAGTTCAGGGCCAGGCGCGGTGGCTCACGCCTGTAATCCCAGCACTTTGGGAGGCCGAGGCGGGTGGATCACGAGGTCAGGAGATCGAGACCATCCTGGCTAACACAGTGAAACCCCGTCTCTACTAAAAATACAAAAAATTAGCCGGGCGAGGTGGCGGGTGCCTGTAGTCCCAGCTGCTGGGGAGGCTGAGGCAGGAGAATGGCGTGAACCCGGGAGGCGGAGCCTGCAGTGAGCCCAGATCGCGCCACTGCACTCCAGCCTGGGCGACAGTGAGACTCCGTCTCAAAAAAAAAATAAAAAATAAAAAAATAAGCTCAGTAATGTACGGTCCAAAGTAAGAATTAGGTTTCCCCTCTGCTAAAAGGACAAAGCTTTCTTGGACTATTGTTCTGCTTTTGATTATGAAGATATTTTTTGCTTTACTTTTAAGCAACAGGCCCAGGAAACAAAGATGTGTTTTATCAGGATAATTTCTCATGCTGCATGTTGCCTTTCATAAAGTCTTTTATCATTTAAGAAAAGTGAGACTTTTCAATATTAAAAGAGCTGTTTTTTTATGCCTATGTAAGTTTCTATATTTGCCTTTAAAACCTTTTGTATTGGTATTATTTCACAATGACCTGTAATCTTACTTAATTAAGTGTTTTAACCCTTTGGGCATTTTTGACAACTTCCCAAATTCAAATTCTAAATTAAGTCTTTTTTACCTCAGATTAACTTTGTGAGTTTCTCTGGGCTTCTTCTTTGTGAAGGATGTCTGGACTATATCAAAAGCATTTATTTTCTCTCTTAATAAAAAGAGATGTTAAATTAACTAGGCTTATCTAATACATTAAATGTCATGGGAGGCATTGCCAAATAATGAGTGATAGGTACTACACCTTTTTAAAGTTATATTTATTATTGATCTGACTATTCCAGAAATTATTTGAAATTCCTAGAAATATGATATATCCTAGTATGTTATCATCCATAATTCTAATTATGTTGAAATGTTATATATCACCAAAACAACCAAATTTCTCGTCAGTTGCATGATACAAAACTGCAAGAGCTTCATGAAAAAGACTGACAAGTACAGGTTTCTGGTAACCTTAAGCTCACACTCTCACAGGAGGGTAAGATTTTCCAGAACAGTCATGAAAAATTGATAGATTCATAAAACGACTAACCCAATATCCAACAAAACATGGAACTAAATTAGCTGATGACAATAATTATAATTTGTATCACCTTTTGTTAGAAACATTGTTGGTTCTCTAATGTCTTATTTTTCAGATTTTCGAAATCCTTTTTCTCTTAAGCTACCTATAACTTGTAGAAATTTAATAAAATATATTTTGTAAACAAAAAAAAATGGAACATTTATATTTTTCTCCCTATCTGATTGCTCCAGAATTTGGGAACTCTTATTAAATATTCTTATTTTCAGAGCAATACCAGTATTTGCATAAGTTCAATAGGGATCTGTTCTCCTTGTAACAGGGCACAATTGGACAAGTCCTTGGCTTGGCTTCTTAGCCTAGAGAGGTTTTTAAAGGTCTAATCTGAGATTTCTCATTACTAAATAATTCTTTAAAATGAAGGTTGAGTGATACAAAATCCATAAAGCCCCTTAGATATTACCAAAGCTCTGACTAAAATATGATATTTTTGAATATACATAGAATTACTATTCTTGTTGTACTTATATAAACAGTCAGGTCAAGCTTAATGAAATGACTTATTTTTAAAAATTGGCCAGCCTTGTTGCCTCATGCCTGTAATCCCAGCACTTTGGGAAGCCAAGGTGGGAGGGTTTGAAACAGCCTAGATAGGCCCCATCTCAATAAGAAATTTAAAAATTAACCGGGCATGGTGGTATGCACCTGTGGTCCCAGCTACTTGGGAAGCTGAGGGAGGAGAACTGCTTGAGCTCAGGTGTTGGAGGCTGCAGTGAACTATGTTTGCACCACTGCACTATAGCCTGGGTGACACAGAAAGACCCTGTTTTTTAAATATATATATATTATTTTTGACTATAAAAGATTGTATTTCAATAGGAAAGTGTAGTGCACCCATTATCAAATTCTAGTCCTGTTTATTTTCTTTGAGATTTTGTTATCCATCTATAAACTGGATTGAATCCTGAATTCTTCTACTTACACAAGAAAATAGAACTTCCCTTTTCGCATGCCCCGAGGCTGAAACTGGATGACTTCAAACTTCAGAAAAATCACTACAAGAGACCACGTATGGACAACCTTGAGGCCTGCTGCTCTACAGGTCACTTAGAGAGTTCACCCAAACACCCCATGACCTCATCAGAGACAGTCACACTGCCAACCAGGAAAATCCATCAGGACTGCAACTACCATCCCTCACTCCACCATCTAGAGATGTTTTTAGCTCTAGAAACGTAGAAATCTTCTCAACTAGCTGTCCTCTGCACTCAAAAAACTACAATCATATTTCAGTTCAAATATTAACCATTGATTTTCTTTTGTTTTCATAGGACAGCTAAATGAACAATTTAGCCTCAATCATACTACAAAATAAAAGTTATTGATATCTTAACAGCTGAACAAGAATGAGCTTGTTCTCTTATAGATTTAAAAAAATGTTTTTTCTATCTTAATAAATTAGAAATTGTTGCCAAAACTTAAAGGCTTTGGAGAGACAAACACTAGTCTCACCAGACGGGTGCTGCCTCCTCCACTGATTGATTTCATTGGTTAAATCTGGCTTCTGGGAATCTCTGCCCCAGGAAAATGTTCATTCCTGGCTGTGACTCTCCTTACAGTCATTGTATTCACCTCCCAAGTGCATGGTATCCTCTCAAGTGTTTTTTTTTTTAATTATACTTTAAGTTTTAGGGTACATGTGCACAATGTGCAGGTTTGTTACATATGTATACATGTGCCATGTTGTTGTGCTGCACCCATTAACACGTCATTTAGCATTAGGTATATCTCCTAATGCTATCCTTCCCCACTCCCCCCACCCACAAATGCTTTCCAGCAGCCACTCATGCATGGAAAGATTGCCATCAGAATTAGACAACTCAGAGAGTTCCACAACTCAGCAACTCAAAGTCACAATGACTGTGTAATTTTGTATAGCAATGACTGTAAGACCTTATATCTCAATGCAAGTATTGAGATGATACAGGGACTACATCCATAGTGGTAACCTAGAGTAATGCTATGCTGTTTGGTCCCGGTCTCAGCTTGCTGAGAGGGTGCCCAAAAGTTGGGGGGGCATTGTTAAAGTAACTGTTACAGAGGCTAGGCCTGAAGAGTCCCTGAGTAGACAAAGCCAGTTAGGCCTCATAAGTGCAAACTGCTTCATTTGCAGACATAAGTGAAACTTACTGTGAACCTTTTCATGTAAATACCTACATTAAAGAAAAACAAAACTTAAGCTCCACCAATCAGAAGTAGCCAACAAACTTATAATTCTATAACTAGGGACTTTGCAACAGGATGGACCCAACAAGGCACTTGCACAACTGTGAACAATCAGATATTTTATTTGTGTTACTTCTGTATTCATTCTGTAAAAACCTCCCTCTTGTTTTCTCTTGATGGAGCTCCTAAATCATTTCTGGTTTTAAGCTGAGTCATGAGTTGTCTCCTCAAATAAACCTCTTTTAAAAATTTTATGGTTCCTCAGTTTACCTTTTGATGGCTCTACATCATCTCCCTCAAGCTGGGACCCCACTGACATCCCTAGCCATCCATCTAGGACCCTCAGGTGGAGGGTTGGCTGGTGCCCCTGCAGGATGTAAGGGATGCTGCCTGCCCCCCGGGTGGCACAGCACTGGGCCCTCCATGGCCAGCCCTGGAAGGAAGGCCAACCCCATGCCTCCCACTCATACAGTTTCCCCACTCCATCCTCCATGGAATCCAGTGGAGGTGAGGCTTCAGAAAAAGCTTGGAATGACAACTGGGAGATAAACACAGAGTGGAGGGCAAAACCATGCTGTCTGGGGGCCGCAGGAAAAACATGCTCATCTTCAACAGGGTTCTCTGCCCCTGCACACCCCTAGAGCATACCCATATAGGAAAGAATTTAACTTTGTCCAGAAATCAGTGTGGCATTGGCCCCTGATTCCTAGGAGGTGACACTCACCCTGGAATGTCATGCCTGATAGGACTGTCTTTGTTGGCCTGGGGACCTGAGACCATGCCGCATGATCACAATGTGCTTTGCAGAGTGTGGGCGGGCAGTATCTGGATCAGGTGATACCAGTTGGCCTTGGGAGGGGACAGAGACTGAGATAACCACACAGACAATCAATCAGTGGTGCCTGTGAATTGGAGCCCCAATAAAAACTCTGACCACAGAGGCTCAGGTGAGCATCCCCAGTTGGCTACGCTCCAGGTGTGCTGTCCCACAGAGATGCCGGGAGAGTGACACTGTCCTGACGCCACGGGGAGAGGACACAGGAGTCTTGAGTTTGGTGCATCCCCAGATCCCACCTCTGTGGTTCTTCCTTTGGCTGACTTCATCCCTGATCCTTTCCCTATGAAAAACCATAGCCTTGTATACGACAGCTTCTGTGAGTCCTGTGGGTTTTCTGGCAAGCTGCTAAGCCTTGAAAGTGGGGTCTTGGGGCCCCTGAACATACCACTACAGTCAGAAGCAAGGGCAGTCTGGTGTGGACTGCGCTCTCCCACTTGTGCCCGGAAAACTCTGGGCAAGCCTGGCCCCGACCCCCACCTCCCAGAGCACCTGAGCCCCACGAGGAGGCTGGTCCTCCTGGTGCCCAGGGAACTGCAGACATAGGGGCAGCTGGAGACCCACCCCAGCTCCTCTCCACACCCACGAGTGCACTCCCAGGTAGGGAGTGGGGTCTGCACACATCTAAGTGAGCCTCAGCCATCGGCCCTCAGGACCCAGCTTCCTGGGTCCTGCATGGCTCATGTCCTAGGACCATACTGTGGTCACACTGGGGGGCCTAGCCTAAGCCCCCCCCCATGCCAGTGGCCAAGCTTGTCTTCAGGGCCATCTGCACAGACCTCAAATTTCAAGCAGAATCAAAGCCTTTTCAGAGTTTAGGCAAAAATCTTGTGATTTTTTTTTTTTCCAAATAGTTTGGGCTTGGCAGGTCCCATGTTGCACTTTGCCAAGCTCTCCTCCCTCCTATAATTTAAAGAAGAAAAAAGCACAAATTCAAAACCACTGTGCATTCCGGAGGAGACGTGGTCTGCAGGCTGCTGACTCTGCCACAGGCATCAGAGCATCTGCACCATGTCCACACAGCCTCACCCAGCCTCTTCCTGAGTCCTGCAAATTTTCATTTTACATTTTATTTCATTTTGCAATCTGACAATGAGGCAGAATCTCTGCAGGGAGTTAGAGCCAGCCTGGCCCAGGCCACAGATGGCCAAGTGAGGCCCGTGGAGACCCCCAGCTCCCAGACCATTAAGGCCAGTATCTGAGAGCCATAGCCAGGCCAAGCCCCAGCTGGTGGCAGAGGAGCCGGGCAGCCTGCAAGGGGCTCCTGGTCCCAAGGAAGCTTGATGGGGGGGCCATGGACTGAACCCTGCCCCCACCCCACAAGTCCGTTTCAGAGACTGCACACTGCTCAGGCACCCAGAAGACCCTTTCCTGACCCCCTCAGTGGGCCAGGGGCAGACATAGGCAAGCAGACACCACCCACAGTGCCCGAAGGCTCAGCACCCTTGGCACACATTGGGAGGGTCTGGTCCACTTCAGAGTGGGGGGCTGGGGGCATGGAGAAGACCTAGAAAGGCACGGCTGATACTTTGGCCCGAGGCTTGCCTTATGGGAGTACCCGGGAGAATGGGAGGGCTGAGGGATGAAGAATGGAAGGACGACCTCCTGGGCAAGCAAACGGCCCCAAAACCAGAGTTGTGGGCAAGTCCTAGGCTGTGGGACCCCAGAGGGACCGGGAATCTGGTCTGGGCCCTCAGGATAGGCAGGCAGGGTCCTGGGGCTGCTGCCCACTATCCTATCCCCTCAGCACAAATGGCCTGGCTCCTCCGGTTCCTCTGGTGTGCGTGCCCCGACATTAGGGGCTTCCTCGGCCCACAGGGAAGGACAGTCAGGTCCTCACAGGGCCCCACGCCCTCTGCAGATGGGAACCACCCCCACAGTAGCCACTCAGCCACATGCCCATGTGGAATGACAAGGCCATCAATCCTGTTCCCCAGGGCTGGAAGCCACGTGTTGACAATTTTGAGCAGTGGGTTTAGCTCGGTTTCGGAAAGGATAAGAAAATTAGAGGATGGGTGTCTTTGCTTCCAAGAGTGTCCCATTCTGCGGATCTGCCCAGGAACACAGCAGTGGTGCCAGAGGCCTGCCAGGGACACTAGGCCCACAAAAGGCCCAAACTAGCATCCAGGCCTCATGTGAGGTGGCAGCCTCCACCCCAAAACCCCCAGCCCTCAGGCAGCACTCACTTGTGCATTTCCAGCTCAATCTTCCAAATTACCAACTTTAAAGAGATATTGCAGGAGGAACACCCAGGACCCTGGAAGGCAGCTGCTGGGCCTGGATGCAGAGAGTGGTGATTCCTCCCAACTGGGATGCACAAGACCAGGATGCCCCAGGGTCAGGGAGGAAGCCAGCTTTACAAGTATGCTTTTCATGACATAACTCACGGGTGTGGGTGCCTTCTCCCCAAGCAGATGAAGGGTGTAGAATCCCATCAGAAGCACCCCTGTCCATTTCCAGGTCCCCCTGGACAGGTGTGGCCAGCAGGCAGGAAGGCACAGTCAGCAAGCACAAGCAACACTGATGCGGGGACACTGAGCAGGCTACAAGGATCCCAGAGGGGGGATGGAGCAGGCCCTGGCTCCCCAGGGCCCATGCCAGGCCATGGGACATGCAGCCCCAGGAGAAGCTGGCCAGGGCAACCCAGGCCTGACAAGTGTCCTCGTGCCACACAGGCCAGGAAAGCCACTGCTCACGCCTCATCAGAACAGCAGCCAGTGCAAGGCAGAGACAGCATCACCTGTGCTCTGGCCTTGCTGCCACAGGAGTGCTCTGAGCCCAAGGAGACCCCCACAGCAGGAGAGCCCTGCAAGACCATGGAAACAGACAGGGCTTAGGGCCCAGCCTCAACAAATCACATCCAGGATGGCATTGCAAATGCTTCCATTGCAGGTAGGGTTTAGTCCTGGAATGCAAGGATGGGTTAATAGCAGTAATTCTAGATGCATAACTCACTACACCAAGAACTGAGTTGAGGAAAATGATACGATCATGGAAACAGATGTTGAAAAAATTCCATATCCTTCCCTACTAGGACTTTAAAAAGAAACCTTGTAGCAAGGAAAGAATAGGAAACAACTTCCCCAACTTGATAACAGTTTGTTCTAGAAGCCTTTAGTCAATATTGTAATTAATGATAAAACTTTCAAAGCATTAGTCTTAAGGTCAGGAGAAAACATGAGTGTTTTCATCATTACCAATTTTATCTTTACTATTATACTAGAGATCCTAATAAGGATAGTAATGCATTTATTAAAAAAAGAAATGAAAGGCATAAATACCTGGAAATTAAAAGATTAAGTCATCACTACTTTCAGATGCTATGATTGTCTACCTAGAAATCAGAAGGCAGCCAACTGAAAAAGTATTAGAAGTAAGGAAACAATTTAGCAAAGCTGTGACTTGAAAGATCAATGGAGCCAATGACTTCCCTAAACACAGCAATTACCAATGAAAACGTATGCTCAGAAATACTGCTCACAATAGACAAAGCCTTAAAACAACTAAGAATAAACCCCAAAATATAAAAAGGGCTAGATGATGAAAAACGTGAGACTTTACTGCAAAGCAATTTTTTAAATTGAATAAAGGGAGAATTTGAAATACCTAGAATACCTGGATGTCTGAGAAAATATCAATTCTCCCAGAACTAATCTATGAGCTCCAGACAATTCTCATCCATTATTTATGGATCTTGACGGATGAATCCAATGTTCATCTGGGGGAGACACTGGAAAGAATAGCAAGAAATTTTGAATAAGAAGAAATGTACATCCTACAAAACTACATTATTCAAAACAGTGTGGCCTTAGCCCAGCAATATGCAAAAAAGATCCAGGGTGAGTCTAGAAACAGGCCAGTGTATGCTGGAATGAGTATTTACTGGCATTTCACATAAGTGAACAGGGGAAGGAGGAAATATTTGCAACACAGATTCCAGGCAAAGAGCCTAATCTTTAATCCATAAAGACCTCCTCAAAAATCAATACCAAAAAAAAACAACAAAGGTGAAAAATGGCAATGGACTTGAATAGACAGGCCATAAGAAAACCTGACAGTGGCTGGTAAATGCATGAAAAAATGTTCAGTTTCCCAGGGAGCAGGGAGTACAAACGGAAACACTCCCGGATCTCACCCCTCGAGCCTCAGGTCAGCAACATCGAGAGGTGTGATGACCCCTGCTTTGACAAGGGCATGAGTCACCAGGGACTGTGCCTGACTTTGTCTTTTTGAAGGACATTAGGCCACCTCTTTAAAATACTGAAATGTGCACCCTGTAACTCAGCAGATGTGTTTCTCATCATCTGTTCTATAGAAGCCACCGCTGCCATTTTAATATCACTTTGTTTGAAATAAAAACACTCTTGAGCTGAGGCATGGTAAAACAGAGGCTGCAGCCCTTTTCTGGAATAGTGACAATGGGTTGGAACAGAGGTGTGGGCGGAGCTTTAGGCCCTGATGTGGAGAGGCCACCAAGGCTCGCTCAGGGTTCAGTTAGAAAAACAATGCCGCAC
Source organism: Homo sapiens (assembly GCF_000001405.40). Taxonomy (NCBI): domain Eukaryota; kingdom Metazoa; phylum Chordata; class Mammalia; order Primates; family Hominidae; genus Homo; species Homo sapiens. The sequence continues at coordinate 240,423,477 of NC_000002.12, forward strand.
ACAATGGGCATCAGATGCTTGAACAGGGCCATTTACGAACCAGAGAAAGTTCTAGAAAGATGCGCCCACAGTGGCTCACCCTGATCACTCTGGGTGAGGGTGTGAATGGGAACCCTCTTTTTTCTTTTTCATATATTTCAGAATGTGATGTGTTCTATTTTAACCACTACTAGAGATTTTTCAAGCTTTTCAAAAGCTTCCAGTTCTGGTTGTTGGTCCCAAAAACTGGATCCTGTGGGACAACACGGTCTTCAGCTGATCTAGCCCTGCCTCCAACCAGCGACAGTCCCTGGCACCTGCGTCTCTGCTGCTAACCCTCCTGATGAGTGCGCCAGGAGTATTCCGACCAGTGACAGTCCCTGGTGCCGGCATCTCTGCCACTAACCCTCCTGATGGGTGCACCAGGCATATGGCCTCCGACCAGTGATAGTCCCTGGCACCGGTGTCTCTGCCACTAACCTTCCTGATGGATGCACCAGGCGTACGGCCCTCGGGCCTCTCGCGTTCAGCCCAAGCTCATTGAGTGGAAATCCCCGGGTTACCAGCCCTCCCACTACCCTGTACCCAATGCCACTCCGGGTGCCACGCGCCAGAGTCAATTTCCGCCCAACACCACGACTGTGTGTGGCTCTGGCATTTCCAACCACTAGGAGGGCAGGAGGGCTGGCCAGCAGGCGAGGTCTCTGTGTGTGATTTTGAAATGCCTTTTCCCACAATGGCAATTAAAGTGCAATGCCTAATTCTGGACAGCTTCAGAACGAGCTTTAGAAATGGATGAGCTTTAGAAATGGTCACGTAGCAAGAAAATCTCCTTCCAGAAAACCTGCAGGCATGGAGGGAGACTGAGGTGGGGCTAGGGCTGGGGCTGAGGGCTGGGTCTTCCTGAGGCACTGTGGGGGCAGAAAGCAGGAGGCTGGCTGGTGACTGACGCTGCAGAGGAAGACAGAAAGCTTGCACTTTCTCCACGATTGTGTTGAGCAACATTCTAAACACAGTCCTGAGGCTCTCAGTGAATACAGGAGTCTTCACGTTGGGGACAGAATCTCGGAGGGCAGGCCTGTTGGTCTGGACCAGGGGCATGGGGGAAATGTCCAGGCCCTTGGGGCCACACAAGTGCAGTGCCCGGCTCCGCCAGATTCACACTTTTCCAAACACCCCTGCTCCTTCTTAGCTTGAGGGTTAATGGCAATGCCACCTCACGTGGTCATTCATTCATTCAACAAGCATTGGTCACTCCTACAACAACCACTCACCACCCAGCCGTGAAGACCCGAGTCTCAGCGGGCACTGCCCCACCAGGCACATTCTGGTGCTTCGGATACAGCAGAACCAACAGCTGCCCTTGCCCTGGTGATGCAGTTACCTTCCAGGGAGAGGAAGCCAGCTCATCCATGAAGAGATGATTTCTTAGGGCAGCTGGTGCTGGTGAGGACACCAGGCGGGAAGCCCAGCCAGCAGTCACTCTGTGAAGCGGCTTAGCGGACTCTGCCTAGCCTGGTGCCCAGCACCTCTGACCCCGCAAAAACACGCACCCATGTGCCCCTGGTGGCAGAGACAAACACAGCTACAGCAGCGCTCTTGAAACCACACGATTGTCCAGCCACGGTGGCCTGGGCATGGAGACCACAGGCGCTCACAACGGAAGGCCACCTGAGGACGAGAAGTGGGCAGCAACGCAGGTGGTGCTCAGGATCGAGAGACCGAGGTCAGCGCCAGGGAGAGTGCCAGGCCCGGCGGCCCAGTCCATGGGTCAGGGTCGAAGGCAGGGCACCTGTCCTGTGGCAGGGGAGCTTTGGGCAGGGGGACTTCAGGGTGCAGGACAATGTGGAGAGGACGTGAGGGGTCCCTGGGGCAGGGCATGCTCTGTTTCTCAATCTGGGTGCACTTTAAGAGATGCAAATTCATCAAGCCCTACCGTCAGGCTTGCACACTGATCTGCGGTATACCACACAGCGTGGTGACTCACACCTGTGATCCCAGCACTTTGAGAGACCAAGGCAGGAGAATTACTGGAGGCTAGGAGTTCAAGAGCAGCCTGGGCAAATAACGAGACCCTGTCTCTACAAAAAAAAAAAAAAAAAAAAAAAAAAAAATTAGCCAGATGCGGTGGTGTGCACCTGTAATTCCAGCTATTCAGGAGGCTGAGGCAGGAGGATTGCTTGAGCACTGGAATTCAAGGATGCAGTGAGCTATGATCGTGCCACTGCACTCCAGCCTGGGCAACAGAGCAAGTTCTTGTCTCTAAACAACAACAACAAAAATGGTTAAAATATCACGGGCAACACCTTGGAAACCAATTCATGCACAAGGATTGAAGATGCTTCCAGTTCACTCAGACCTCTGTAAACTGTGGCAGTTCCACCTGTCCAGAGTCAGCCCAGTGTTCCTGCTGGGTGGGAGGGAGCCAGGGCTTGCCTGCTGGAGACCTGGCGCCTCCCCTTCCAGGTAAGGGCTCTGTCTTCAGGGTCTGCCCACCTTTTCCAAGGCATGAGATGATGGGAGGGGAGGATGTCGCTGGAGAACGTAGTGATAAACAGGGAGGTGACAGGGCAGGGACGATCACAAGCTGTTGTGAACTTGTGTGAATTGTTAATACTTAACCTCCCTGAGCCAGGTGCTTTTCTATAAGCTGGATGCAAACAGACCCACCTCTCAGGGAGACTGTGCACATCTGAGACAGTCTTCAACTGCGTTCCCCCAAGAAGCAGATGCTGAGACAAGGTTCGTTTACTGGATGGTCCCAGGAAACAGCAGCAGGGGCGTGAGGAAGAGATGAGGAGGGAAGTAGCAGGATGGGTGATCGGTGCAGCTCACTGTGACCTGGCTCAGCCACAAGAAACCTCAGGAGACAGCGTAGAGCAATGGTCAAATAAAAACGACCGTGGCCACTGGTTCAGAGAAGCTCCTGCCCCAAACCCAACACCCAGACCAAACCAGAATGGAGTCACTCATGCTTCATGTCACATCATCAAACTGAACTTAGAAAGGGCCCCTTTTCCCAAAATGAAGAGATTCACCGCAGCCAATCAGTCTACCTGAGTCAGGAGACTCAGGAAGTCCCTCCGTGTTAGTCTGACAAGGAAAGTGACCCCACAATGCCCAATCACTTGCTGTCCTCTTATTTCTGTTTCTTCAGCCTTTTCTGCCTGTAAAGCCCACCTCTTCCACTCAGCTTATGGGAACACCCTTCCTAACTCTCCAAATGCGATGCTGCCTGATTCGTGAGTCACCAGGGATAGCCAATTAGATCTTGCGCGAGTCGGCTCTTCCATTGCTATGAAGAAACACCTGAGGCTGGGTCGTTTATAAAGAAAAGAGGTTTAATCAGCTCAGGCTGTAGAGGAAGCACAATACCATCATCTGCTTCTGGTGAGGGCTCAGGAAGCTTCCACTCATGGTGGAAGGCAAAGGGGGAGCAGGTGCGTCAACGGCAAGAGCAGGAGGAAGAGAGAGAAGGGAGAGGCCCTAGGCTCTCTTAAACAACCAGCTTTCTCGTGTGAACTAACTCAGCGACAGCTCACTCATCGCCAAGGGGATGACGTCAAGCCATTCACTAGGGTCCCACCCCTGTGACCAAACACCTCCCACAGGGCCTCACCTCCACCACTGGGGATCACATTTCAACAGGAGATTTAGAGAGAAGAAACTTTCAAACCATATCAGATCTTAACTAAATGTGTTGAAAGTTTGTTTTGTAACAGCACACACATGCCTGGGTTTCCAGCTGTGTAGCAGGAACTGGTGCCTGTCCACCAGCTAAGGGATACGTCTAAGTCATTTTCTTTCTGCCACTTCCAGGTTACTCTGCCAGGGGACCCAGGGAAACCCAGCAGGCAGCGGTCACTGGCGACCTTGAGTGTGGAGAAGGGAGCGAGGAGGAGCCTGGGTGGACACCTGCAGCACCTGCTTCAGAGGCGAAGTGGGTACAGGTACTCACTGCACTCGCCTCCCTGCACTGGGTGGGTCCTCATGGGTGGGCTGCCATGGTTCTGTTGCAGGCACATGTGATGTGTGGTGGCAGTGGGAGGTGGCCAGGTGGCTGGATTGAGAAATGCAGCTCCCAGCCACCTGGCCACTCCAGCCTCATGATGCTGAGGTTAAGACAGGGTCGCTCACTGGGGGACGGCGCCTTGCCTCTTTCTCTGCACCTCCAGCAGCCTGAACTATGCCCACTTGGGAAGGACGAGATCGTCGGACGCTGGGAGAGGCTCCCTCCATGTCAGGCCTGCTCTCGGGCTCCACGTGGATAATCAGCTCCACACCTCATCCCTCATGGCAATTCTGCTTGGCTTTGGTTTCTACTGAGGTAAAATTCATGTAACATAAAATTAACCACTTTAAAGTGTCCAATTCCGCAGCACTTCATCTGCTCACAGTGCTGTGCAGCCTCACCTCTGTCTAGTTCCGAAACATCTCATCTCCCCACAAGGAAACCACTAAGCAGGCTCTCCCCATCTCTCCGTGCCTCCAGCCCCCACAACCACGCACCTGCTGTCTGCTGCTGTGGGTTCAGGGGAATGTGAAATGCTGGTTATTTCACAGAAATGGAGTCACATAGCCTGTGACCTTTGATGTCCAGCTTTTTTTACTTACCGTGATCTTTCCAAGGCCCCTGCACACTGCAGCAGGAATCGGTGCCTGATTCCTTTTTATGGCTGGAGAACATTCCCTTGCATGGATAGGTCAGTTTTGTCTGCTCATTGGGTGGATATTTGGGATGTTTCCATATTTTGACTACTGTGAATGGTGCTGCTGTGAACATCCATGCAAAAATTTTTGTTTGAATACTTGTTTTCAATTATTTTGTCCATACCCCTAGCTGTATGTTAATTCTGTTTTACTTTCTGAGGAACCACCAAACTGTTTTTACAGTGGCTAAGCCATTTCATGTTTCCACCAGCAATATACAAGGTTTGTCATTTTCCCACATCGTCGCCGACACTTATTTTCCGATTTTTGGTGCTAGCTATCTCGAGTGTGGTGTGTGACATCCTGTTGCTCTGATTTACATGTCCCTGATGACTAGTGATACTGAGCATCTTTTCATGAGATTATTAGTCATTTGCATATCATCTTTGGGAAGGTGTCTATTCAAATTCTTTGCTATTTTTAAAACTGACTTTTTGCTGTTGTGTTGAAGAGTTTTTTTTTTTTCTTCTGGAAACTAGACATTCATGAGATATATGATGTGCAAAAAAATCCTACCATTCTGTGGTTTGTCTTTTCACTGTTTTGATAGTACCCTTTGAAACACAAAGGGTACTATCAAATTTTCATAAAGTCCAATTCTTCTGTTTTTTTCTTTTATTGCCTGTGTTTTTTGTTTCATATCCAAGAATCTCTTGCCAAATCCAATGTCATGAGATTTCCCCAATATTTTCTTCTAAGAGTTTTTGCTCACTGGGGGTTTTGGTCCATTTTGGGTTCCCTGTTGTGTATGGTGTGAGGTAGGGTCTAGCTTCATTTGTCCCTGTACCACTTGTTGAAGAGACTACTCTTTGTCTCATTGAATAATCTTGGCATCCTTGTCCCAAAAAATTGACCACAGGTGTGTGGGTTTGTGTCTGAACTCTTCTATTCCATTTGTCCACATGTCCGCCTTCATGCCAATATCAAACTGTTTTGATTACTGTAGCTTTGTACTGTAGTAAGTTTTGAAACTGGGAAACTGAGTCCTCCAACTCTGTTTTTGTTTTTTAAGACTATGTGGCTATTCAGGGAATATCCTTGTTTCATGCCCATTTTTCCTCCGAGAAAATGAAGAGAGAAGAAGACTGAGTGACCTAAGGGGGTGGCTCAGCTGGTCAGCACCAGCAATGACAGAGGGAGTGACGGGGCTCAGGGGCCAGAAAAGGAGCAGGATGTCCATAGGGCAGAGGTCCTGTGGCTGTGCCTGGCCCTGACCCAAATCTACTGTCCTCACCTGGCTGACAACCCTGCCCTCACAGGCTGCAATCACTCTGCTCATGTGACACTTACTCAGGAAGCCCTGCACCTGCCTGAGAGTCACCTCGCCTCCCTAAAATGAGGCCCAGAGGCCAGGTGTCTAAGCCTCCCTTGGCCGCCCTCCCTGGGCCGCAGCCCCAGGTCTGGGGAGCACTTTGGCCTGAGGCCCTCTGGAAGGGCAGGGCTTCCCTCTGTCACCTTCTCAGGATGCCTTTGCCAGACTTTCGTTGAAGGTAGGGGACCAAGGCCAGGTGGGCTGGTCAACGCCACCTTTAGGGAGGGGCCTCGCCACCACTAGTGCCTGCCCACTCCCCAGCACGGGTGGGCCAGCCAGAGCTGACCCGATGTGGCTGAGCTTGGCTGTAGGTGTGACCCATGGGCCAGGCCATGGTTGCAGGGTGTGGTCAGGGCCTCTCCTCCTCCCTGGTCCTCAGCCGTTGTCTACGGCTTCAGCCTCTCCTCCTCCCAAGTCCTCGGCTGTGTCTTGTTCCAGCCCCCCTCCTCCTTCCCTCCCTGGACACTCCCACTGTGTCCAGGAGGGCCCTGCAGCTGCCTTCACCTCTGGTTGTGCCGGTGGCTGCAGGGCAAATAAAACCAACCCTTCCCCCATCCCCCTCCCCAGGGACCAGGCAGCCTGTCCCTGTCCCCAGAAGAGGCCTTGCACCACCCCTTCCCTCCCACAGGCCTCAGGGGCTCCCTTGCCCTTCAGCCGTCCAACGCTCAGGACACCTGTCCCCTGCCACCTAGCGGGGCATTACTATTGCACAGAGAAACAGACACTCGGATGCGGCAGTTTCGCCTCCTCAGGAAAATAGGATTCCCAGAGAGGACCAGCAGGCCAGGGAGGCTACAGTCCTCCCTCAGCTGCACCATGCAGGTGCCTCTCTCGCCTGTGACTCAGCCTCACCTGCCAAGGTTGCAAGACCCTGCTCGGTGGGCCCTGGCAAGGCCTCCCCCTTAGGAGACGGCTCTTCCACTGAGCCCCTGGATTCCCTCCCACCCAGCGCAGGCCGGCGGCACACAGGGCAGGCCACTGTGAGCACTCTGGCTGCTCTAGGCCCTGACACAGTACAGGCCTGTGTCCTCCGCAGCCAGGTGTGCAGGCCCCCAACCCCCCCCACCCCCAGCCCATGGCTTGCCAGCCAGGGCCATGGAAGCCACAGCCACCTCCCCACATGCAGGCTGGTGGCTCCTGCCCAGGAGGACAGATGCCTGCTGTCTTGTTCTCTGGTCTTCCAGAGAAAAGGTTGGCTGAAGAGGGTGCCCCGGCCATGTTCCTGTCACCAACTGGACAACTCCCCTCAAAGGGCCTTGAGCATCCCAGGACACCCTCCCCAGGAGCAGGGAAGGTTGGGAGTGTGGCGTGGACAGTGCCACCCTTCCAGGCCAGCATGGTCCAGAGGCAAACCCTTACCTGCAGAGCAGCTCAGAGGATGCCTCCAGTTGGCCTCACCCTGGAAACGGCTCTTTGCTTTGGGGACCAAGCAAGCTCTTCAGACAAGCCTGCAGAAGGGCAGTGGGAGGCGGGACAGGGCCACAGTCCGACCCCCTCAGACCTTAGGAGCCTCATCTACAGGGAAATGAAACCCTTCAACTCCAGACCTCTGGAGCTGAAGGCAACTTTAGGCCTTCCCTAAGCTTAGGGGAAGGTTTGAGGTGACCCTGGAATCTGAATGGGGAGGGGAAGAACGTTCAGCTTCCTGGACCCCTTGAGAGGAGGGGGAGGCTCAGGGGCTCCTGCACTGTGGCTGAGGGCAGCTGCATTCTGATCTTCAGAGTCCTTGCAGGCTTCGGATTGAAGCTGGTTTTCAAATGATCAGCCAGGCAGTATGGACTGCAGGAGGAATAGGTCAAAAGCCAGCAATGGTCCAGAAGGGGAGAGGTGGAGGGAAGGGCAGGAGCCACACACAGAGCAGACAGGACCTGGCAGGAAAGCCATGAGCTGCTGGTGCTGGGGACACCAAAGCGTGCACGTGGGTCTCTGAGCTCCAGGTGTGTGGGGTGCTTTGTCCTAACATAGCAGACAGTGCCGGAGTGCCCCCATCTGCTCCCTCTCCTCAAGGAGACCAGGCCAAGAGTCAGGGTGGGGAGGGGCAGGAAAACAGCCACAGGGAAGGCCAAACCCAGCTCAGCCCAGAGTGGAGTGTTTGGGGTCATCTCTTGCTACCAGGGTCCTCAGACTAGAGAAACAGGTGCCAGCTCTTGGAGGGGCCACAGGTGCATTCTTCTGACCCCACCTACCACACGGGTGACCCAGCCTCACTGAAAAGGCTTGCTCTCCTCTGACCTGGATAAGGGAGGCCAGCCCAGACTTCTGCTGATCAAAAGGACCCAGCAGAGCAGAGCAGGCTCCAAACAGCTTCACCTTCAAGTTGACTGCCCCACGGCAGGGGCTTGGAGAGAGGTGGAGGGAGGTGCAGGTATGACCTCCTTTGAGAATAATGGTGCCAGGTTTTCTCAGTCCTGCAAACTCTGCCCAGCTGGCGCCCTTGTCCACCCACCCTCACTGCCCAGTGGCAGCCCCTAAGTTGGGGAAGCCAGGGCAGCCCTAGGGTTCAGACTCAAAGCCGAACTCCTGTAGATTAGGGTCCTGGCTCAGGGCTGGAAGACCTTCCAGGGTACCACTGAGTGTCCAGGCAGAGCAGGGACCAGCACCCCACCTCACAGACCCCACACGAGTACAATCCTGCAGGGTCGTCTGGAGCCGAGCTCCTTCATGAGATGACAGCGGCTCCCTGAGCCAGCACCAGAATGAGAGACCGGATGAATGTTCCCCAAGTGTCACCACCAAAAGGCAGGGCAGGAAGCACGGGGTGAGCTGGAGGTGGAGTCCATGGGCCAGAGCAGGCCCTGGGGCAGATCCCCTCCCCATCGCTAAGCCCTGTAGAGCTGCCCAGAGCCCCGCTTCTTTCTGGCAGGCACCCTGATTACCATTTGCAGAAAGATCTCCAGCTCTGCAGGCAGGCTGTCCTGCCCACCCTGCTCTGCCCAGGGCTGCCAGCCACTCCTGGGGACCATGTTCCCTTCATCAGCCACATGCTGGGGTATCCACTTCCTCCTTCAGGCTGCTGCCCAAGGGGTCCCCAGACCCCCACAGAGGTGTGGGGACCCTACATCCTCCACTATGCCCCAGGGCACCAAAACACCTCCTGGGTGCTCTAACAGATCAGATGCCACATCCCAGCCAGCCCTAGTCCACGCCCTTGAACCCCTGCTGTCTGCAGGCACACGCGCGCACTCCTGCCTCCCACGGCCAGTAGGACAGGGCTCTCGTAGGTAGGGATGCTACAGGCAGTGACATTCACAAGAAGGCAGCCATGGATGGCAGCGACAACAATCGCTCAGTCTGTTTGGAAACTTACTTTTGGAGTCTCCGAAAGACAATCCCTGAAACCAAACAGAAAGGGAAGCTGTCCGTCCATGGCAGCGGGCAAGGGCGTGCACACTCACGAGGGTTCCACGGAGCAAAAGTAGGATAATTTCTGGGCAGACCTGCCGTCCGAACGGCTGGGAGCTGCGGGCCCCCCGGCGCTCCCTGTGTCTTCTGAGCAGAGACCAGGCTCAGCATCCCGCAGACCCCCACCCTCCCTAGGCAGAGGCAGGAGTGGGCCCTAAGCCAGCAGTACACGCCCTCCAGGACCTGGGGTCCTCCACAGAAGATGGGGGCATGGAAGGGAGGCCCCCACGCCCTGGCCCAACAGGCACTGCCTGCCTCAGCCCGTCAGACAATGCTAAGTGTCCTCTGCCCTCACTGCACCTGTGGAAGAGCAGGTCCAGGCTGCGCCACACGCCCACTCTCAGGGACAAACTTTTCCTCTCAGGTGTTTCCTCACTTGCTCATTCATTCCTTCTTTGTGTCGCATACGTGTGCCCCCACTGTCTAGCCAGGCAAAGACACCAAAGCAGGAGGGGGTGGTCTTGGTCAGAGCCACAAGGGTCACTGTGGTGGCTGGGATTCGAGGCATCAACTATGTCCTCAAACCCATCCACGTGTCCTGTGTGGAGCGGCCCCAGGGACAGCGGTGGAAGAGGGGGCTGATCAGCCTTGCCCATCCTCCCAGAGTCCCAGTCTGGACCCTGCACCCGACTAGCACGGGCAGCCTGGCGGCTCCTGCCCTGGTGACAGCGGGCGTGTGCAGCATTGCCAGGAGGGAAGCAGGGGTAGCTGCAGCTGCTCAGGATCCTGCGGCTCCTCCCAGGTGCAAACACGGCTTTTGCTTCCAATGCCCCCGGCGGCATGTGCATCCTCTCCAGGGAAGGCCCTGGCTACAGGTCTCCTGGCCTGCGGAATGGGAATGATTCCAGGACCTGCGATGGTGGTAAGGACTTCCTTAGGAGATGAAGCCACCCAGGGGTCACCAGGGCCAGGCAGAGGCTGCCACCATCGCGTTCTAAGCCCTGCTGTCCACACTGCCATCCAGAGGCCCAGAACTAGGCTGGAGGAAGGACTTGCCTGGAGGAATAACCCAACCTGGTCAGATTAAGAGGAGGCGTAGACAGTGACGGGGTAACTATAGAGCCTCAGGCCGGGTTAACCTCAAGTCCAGCTTCCTAGGCCCAGGCAGCCCTGCCTGATCCCGCAGTGCGTGAGACCACACAGAGAGAGAGCGGGATCGTGGGCCCAGGCTCCTGACCGTGCTGGATAAGGTGTGCAGGCAGCCACGCCAGGCCCAGGCAAGAAGGAGCAAGCCTGGAGCATGTACTGAACAGGGGTCTGTGAGTCACAAAATGTGACGCAGCAGAGGGTATGTGGGGGAGGGCAGGGAAATGCACACTTGGATTGGGTCCCCAAAGCCTCCCTCTCCAGCAATGACTCAGTGTCTCTGGGTGAAGGAGCAACCTTCTCTGGGAGGCAGGGCAGGAAACCCCAAGAGCCCAGGGGGAGGGCACCCCACCTTCCTGCTCCAGCCCCACACAGCGGCTGAGAGCCCCAGGCACAGAAGGGGTAGGGAATGTTGCCACCACCCCCACCACGGACCCCGCTGCAGCTTCCAGGTGATGCCACAGGCCCTGAAATCAGGACACCCTTGCTGTACATGGGGGTCATCTTGAGGTTCTCTGCCAAGGATACTGACCTCTATGCCTGCCCCCAATTCTGCAGCTCAGGCACCTGGCTTCACCGCCAGGCCTTACCATGTGGAGAACAGGGGGCCGGGGTGGGGGGTCTGGGAGCCAAGGAAGGAGTGAAGCCCTCCAGACACCAACATCGCAGTCCTCGCCCCCTCCCTACAGACCCCATCCAGCCCAACTCCCCATGTGCAGCTAAAGCCACGCGCCCTCCTACCATACAAGGTGCAGGCAGCCCTCCCGCCTTCTTCAAAGAGGCATCTGCTCCGGCTCACTCCACCCTCCTCCCCCAGTGGCCTAACTAGTCGCCGGGTTCCAACCCTATCCCTTCTCCAGAGGTCATCTGGCCCCACCCAGCAGCCCAAACCAGTAGACCGGCCCTGCCCCATCACTTTGGTTTCTCCAGCATCCAAAGAACGTGGAGGGTCACCCCCCCAAAACAGCTGTCAAGGTCCAACAATTAAGCCATCTGTTGCCGCTCCCTGGGACTGGGAGAGGTGAGGTCGAGTTTCTTGGCGAGTTTCCTGCGTGCAGCCCCCACACCACAAAAGCCCCCGGTGCGAGCCGGAGCCCAGCGCGAGACGGCTGGAAGGGCGCGGGGAGGGAGCCGCTGCGGGGTGCAGGCGGGGAGAGGGGCGGCGGCTCGAGGCGCGGCCGGCGGGCGGAGGGTACGGAGGCGCCGGGAGAGCGTTCTCGGGGCGCGCTGCCAGGGTGCAGGAAGCCGGAGCGCGCGGGAGGGAGCGGGGAGCGGGATGCCGATTTCGGCTGGGGGCGGGGAGGCCCCTGATTGGGGCGCGGGAGGCGTGATGTCACGTCCGGCGGGGGAAGCCCTGCCTCGCGCACCCTCCGCCCCCGTCCCCGCCCCCACAGGTGGTGCCACCGCCCTGGGCGCTGGGCGTGGGGGGCCGCCCTCGGGGACCCCGGCCGCGGCCCCGCGCTGCCCGGCTCCGCCGCCTCCCGCCGGGGATCGATAGAGTCGCGCGGCCAGGCGGGCCCTCTGGGTCCCTAAGAGCCAGAGGAGCGCCCAGTGCGCCCCGGCCCGCGCCCCCGCGCCGCGCCCCGCCCCGCCCCGCCCGGTGCTCCCAGTCCCTCCCCCACCCCTGCGCTCCCACCCTGCCCCGCCCCTCTCCTCTCCCGCGGCCGCCTAGGGGCCGGGCCGGCGGCGGGGGAGGCGCCGAGCCGGGACTGCGCTAGCCCGCCGCGCTCTGGGCTGCCCGAGCGAGCGTTCGGACCTCGCACCCCGCGCGCCCCGCGCCGCCGCCGCCGCCGGCTTTTGTTGTCTCCGCCTCCTCGGCCGCCGCCGCCTCTGGACCGCGAGCCGCGCGCGCCGGGACCTTGGCTCTGCCCTTCGCGGGCGGGAACTGCGCAGGACCCGGCCAGGATCCGAGAGAGGCGCGGGCGGGTGGCCGGGGGCGCCGCCGGCCCCGCCATGGAGCTCCGGGCCCGAGGCTGGTGGCTGCTATGTGCGGCCGCAGCGCTGGTCGCCTGCGCCCGCGGGGACCCGGCCAGCAAGAGCCGGAGCTGCGGCGAGGTCCGCCAGATCTACGGAGCCAAGGGCTTCAGCCTGAGCGACGTGCCCCAGGCGGAGATCTCGGGTGAGTGAGGGCGCGGCGCCGGGAACCCGGGCCTGGCCGGGCTTTGGGCTCCGGACCCTGGTCTTCCCGACGCGGCTACTCGCCCCCGGCGCGGGATCCTGCCGCCTGCGCCCCGCCGCCCGGGCCCCGAATGGCTCCCTGCGCTGCGGCTCCTCTGCAACCCCACGGCCCTCGCCTCCAAGCCCCGCGCCGCACTCCCTCGCCAGGGTCTCCTCCGCCCCGCTCGGTCGTCCTCCGCCCCTCCCCGCCCCCCGCACGCCGGCTTCTTCCCTGCGGAGCTGATCTCGCCGGGCTGCGGGCTCGGGGCGCTCCTCCCGGGCCACGGCTGGAGCTGGGCGTCTTCTGCCCGCCGCTCGGCCCAGCGCGCCTGCAGGCCGGGAGTCCCAGCCCCGGGGCCGGCTGTCGGGGCGCTGTGGGGCTCGGCGTGGCCGGGCTTTCGGGGCGCCGCTGACGGTGGCCGCGGACCCCTTCTGCTCTGTACAGACCTCTCTGGGAGGCGTCTCCGGTCCTGCCCGGGGATTCTCGTAGGGTCTCCAGCAAAGGCAGCCTAGGTGGGTTTTATAAGCTGACCCCCTCGGGGGGTAGTGCGGAGGGGTGGGGAGGGAGCTGGGCACTTATCCGCGGGCGGAACGCCGCCGCCTCGTAGAGATTCCTGTCGAAGAACTTGTACGCGCCGGCCCCCGCCTGGCGCTTGGGCAGCCTCGTGCCGCGAGTCCAGCTGCAGGTGGTCGGCGCGTTGGATCCCGCCCAGGGGCCGTGTCATTTCTTTGTAAGAACAGCGGCCCTCTTGGCGCCCCCTAAGCCCTGCAGCCGCCTGCGGCTCTGCCTCTTCCCTCCCTGTGGTCCCGGAGGAGCTTTGGGGACAGAAGTGTACGGGTGGGTGGAACGGTGGGCTCCGTGTGCTAAGGAACTCTTGGAACCCAAGCTTCACCTTTCCACGTGTGGGAACCAACCTCGGTCTGTACCGCGTGCCAGGGACCCAGTGGGCAAGAACAAAACAGACTAGGTTCCTGCTCTGGGGGGCTCCTCTGAAACCAGGGGAGTGGGAGTGCGGGTGGAGGGCTACTCAGATGGGGACTCAGCGCAGAAATGCCCATGGTCCTGGGGATTCTGAGCAAGAAGGATCCGTGCATCTGGGTGAGGGGGGTCTGTGGCCATGCCTTGCCGCGGGGGGCGGAGTGGTGGGAGGAGGCAGTCGGGCTCTGGACCCCTGCCCCTCCAGGAGGAACAGAACCCACAGACAGCCCCTTGCCCTTGGTGGATCTCCCGATGCCCCCAGCCTGAGGTTCTTGTAAGGGCCCCCTGACCGCCCCCCACAGAAGGAACAGAACCCGCAGACAGTCCCTTGGCGGATCTCCCGATGCCCTCCCCACCAGCCTGAGGTTCTTGCAAGGACCCCTCCAAAGTCCCCAGGACAGGCCTTCCTGTGCCTCTGCAGAGGCAACCCTGTCATTTCCAGGCTGCCCCCCTCACCCCACTGGGCTCTGTCTGTCCCAGGTAGGGGGCACACCTGGATGCCAGGCAGCACAAGGCCCTCGGCACAGTTGGGTTCGTTCTCTGCCCCTCTACTCACACATAAAGAGGCATCCCTGGCCTTCCTGGTGAATCCCTCCCCAGGCACCAGGGTAGCAGAGTGGCTGAGTGGCTGCCCCTCCCAGCCCAGAGTCTTGAACCCTGCTCCTTTGGAAACCATTAGCCCCCAGCCCTTCTTAGCACCTCCATGTCCTCTGGGCAGTTGCATCCTTAGGAGCCAACCTAACCTTCCTTGCATCCACAGGCCACTGTTGCCAGTTAGAGAGACAGAGTGGCAGAGTTTGGCCATCTCCCAAGGGTGAGAAGAGAGGGCAGGACAAGATGGAGAAGTTGATGTGGGGCTGGGCCAGAGAGTGTGGGTCGTGCTGCTCTTGGGTTGGGGAATGCAGTGGGTTAGGGACCCAGGACAGGCAGATTGTGTTGATTTCTCTGTGTCTGATGGGGCAGGGGATGCTGTCCACCCCGCGTGGGGAGTACGAACGCCCTGCAGCTGTCTAACCACGGTGCCAGCCATGGGCCAGTGCCTGCTGCCAGGGCTCGGGGTGCCACCCTCCTCCAGACTTGCAAGGCCAGGACTGCACTGGGCAGGATTACTGCCTCTCCAGTCGGTGCCCCTCCGACAGGAACCTCTCTCCCTGCACCCCCTATGGCTGCAGAAGTGGGGAGTAACCTTCGGGACCCAGGGTACAGAAGACAGTGTGGGAGCCACGTGGGCTGAGGGAAACAGGGTGACTCCCTCGGGTCGCAGCAGTCCTGGGGCAGCCAAGCCCAGTGTCCCCTCCTGCTTTGTCGGCTGGGCCTGGGCTCCGTGGAACGGGCGCCCTCTGGTGGCCCCTGGGCGGCAGATCCTCCCAGGAGCCCTGGACCCTCTGTGGCCTAGTAGGCACCATTCTCAGTCCCCTCTCTCCTGCATCCAGACTTCTCCAGGGGGACCTCCTCAGAGGGAATGCGAACCCCCTGGGGTTGGGCACCTCGCTGGCCCGGAGCAGGTGGGGTAGAGATCTGATACTTCCTCGTGGGAAGGAGAGCAGTTGGCCCTGGGTGTGTGGCGGGCCTTCCCAGCCTCTGCCCCAGGGACCAGAAAAGGCAGTGGGTGACAGGAGACTTAGCTCATGAAAGAGGGCAGTGTCGGGACATATTGGGCTCCCTTTTGAGACTTCCTTTGTCCTCTGGACAGCCAGGCCAGGCTGCAGTGACAGCAGTGGTCATCCCATTTTATGGGCAAGGAAGCAGGCCTGGGTGCCACCAGCTGGACGGTGGCACTGCAGCAGGGCACCCGGCCACCCTCCCTTTATGCCAGGGCACGGCACAGAAGGCAAGGGCGGAGCCGAGTGGCACCCCGGGTGCCCCTGCGCTGCCAGGAGCCCTCATGCTGAATCACTGCCCGCGTGCCAGCAGGCCTCCTGCTTTTGCTTGCAAGGTTGTGTCTGGGCATAGGTGTTCCCAGAGCACCTGTCTGGCCTCCTGATGTCTGATGTGATGTGATGTGTGTCTGTTTGCTCCTTTGCTGGGGTCTCAGCGCCCCACCTTGGCACCTGAGCTCCCTGGTCGCTGGGACCACCTCTAACTGTTTCCCTGTTGTAGCCACAGAACCCGGCTGGCTCCCGGCCCAGGATAGCTTCTCGGAGGACACCCCCAGGCCTTCCTGGCTTTATACCTGGCTGTGCTGGGTGGGGAGCGGGACATGGAGGGTAGAGGAGGGTCTCCTTGGAGCAGACACCCCTGTTCTCAGGGTCTCCCAGCCTGAGGCAGAGGAGGGGCCCTAAGGTCTAGTTTTGGGGGCAGAAGTCAGAGTGGGGCATGGGACTGTCGGTGGCACAGAAACTGCCCAGCCGCTCCTGTGCCCAGAGTGGCAGCCCGCCTACCAGCTGGAGCGGGCACCAGCGTGCCCTGGAGCCTGTACCAAGCACCCACTCGTTGGGCCCCTCCGAAGGAATCTTTTCTTCTCTGTGCCACTTTTGACCGCCTGGGTGGTTGGCACACAGACTCTGGGGAACCATCCTCAGAGGGCCTGGACCTCTCCTTCCCACATCCCTGAAAGGGTGTTTCCGGCTGGGCCCGGGAGAGCCCACCAGCATCTGCTTCTCAGTCCTGCTCAGCGGGCCTCTCGGAGGCTGCCTGGCACACAGCCCCTCACCAGACCAGACAGTTCCCTGTGCCCTGTCCTGTCCAGGTGGCTCAGCGTGGTTCCCAGGTGGTCCTCAGCCTTTGCTGTGTCGCTGCTCTTCCCTCCATGAGAGGAGCTCATCATCCCCAGCGTGAGGACCGAGCGGAGCCCAGGGGAGCCCTGATCCGACAGGGCCACCTGCGTGATGCAATGGCCTGGGTCCCTGCTGGACCGCCAAGCCTCCCATGCCAGGCAGGCCACAGCACTCCTCAGGCACAGATGCCCCCACCCCCATCCCATCCCCGGTGTCCCCGGGCCTTTTCACAGGAGAGAAAGGGAATAATCGTGACCTCCTGTGAAGGTGGCCAGGAGGGAGAAGGTGCTGGGGCTGTGCACCTCGTGGGCAGCCTCGGGCTGTGTCCCCCCTCTCCCCGGACACCCTCTGCAAAGGCCCACACACACCCCTCTCAGTTAATGGCATCCGGTACCCTAAGAGCACTCATGAACCCGGGTGCTCTTAGAACACGGGGAAACCCGGCTTGTGGAGCGTTTCCCATGACTGTCTGGTTAACACATCAGACGGAAGGGGTCTTTGTAGACCTGTTTTACAAATGAGTAAACCGAAGCCTGGTGAAGCGCTCCTCTTAGGGCCAGATCTGGCTACAGCATTGACCACTGCCCAGTAAAGCCAGGCCAGGCTGCTTGTCCCAGGCTCTGCACTTCTTGGAAGGCTCGTGCTTTTCCCAGCCCGCTCTCCTGTCCTGGGCCTGGGCTCCATCTCTTAGGCTCATTTAGAACGTTTAACCGGGACTCCTCCTGGCCTCCCTGCCTCCGGTCCTGCCCAGCTCCTCCTGGCCTCCCTGCCTCCGGTCCTGCCCAGCTCCTCCTGGCCTCCCTGCCTCCGGTCCTGCCCAGCTCCTCCTGGCCTCCCTGCCTCCGGTCCTGCCCAGCTCCTCCTGGCCTCCCTGCCTCCGGTCCTGCCCAGCTCCTCCTGGCCTCCCTGCCTCCGGTCCTGCCCAGCTCCTCCTGGCCTCCCTGCCTCCGGTCCTGCCCAGCTCCTCCTGGCCTCCCTGCCTCCGGTCTTGCCCAGCTCCTCCTGGCCGTGCCGCCCAGAGAGTCGTACTTCCACACAGCTGGGCCTCACCCTCCGGCCTGGCTCCACTGCCTGTGGGGGGCAGGACTGCTAGGAGGGCTGTTCCCAGCGTGTGCCACGAAGCCCTGCATGTCCCCAACAGGGCAGACCAGCCACCCACACTGGGCCAAGTGCCCCAGGATTAGTGGACAGGTACCCTATTCAGGTGCCCACAGGTGCCAAGCCAGGGAGATAAGGCAGTCCAGTCTGTTGGGGCTTGTACCTTCACACCAGCAATCTCTAGGGACAGTGTGAGCCTGTGGTTAACGCGCCTTCCCAGGTACCGAGGACGCCTCCCTACAGCAGGACGGGGGGCATACCTACCTGGTGGCCGAACCGCAGGGCTGCACATCAGACCTCGGAGGAGAGCTTAGTGGGTGTCTGAGCATGCCCATGTCTGTTCTATGGCATCCATGTGCATGGCACAGGTGTCAGCCATGGGCTGGCACTAGACAGGAGACGAGCCAGGGGAGGGGCTCACCCGAAGCCACACTGGTCAGGTCTGGCCTGGGGCCCCACATCTGCCGTGCCCGGGCCAGTGAGAGGCTGGACGCCTTTTCTTAAGCCAGACCGTCCTCACAGGGCCTGGCTCAGTTATTTCAGATCAAGACTGGACCCGTGGTGGAGGCTGGGGTGGGCACTCCTACATGCGGGGCCTCTGCCCAGCCCTGGCCCTGTCCAGTGTCGACGTGCCCAGAGCCCTGAGCCGGCCTGGATCTTGCCAGTCGCCAGCACAGCCCTGTGGGGCCCGGGATCTTGCCCACTTTACGTGGGGGCTCCAGACAGGAGCCGCCTGCCCGGAGCCTGGGCTCCTCGCTGCCGTGCCTGTGGTGGCTTTTCTTTGTCTGGGAACAGGCCTGGGCAGGTGCCCTGAGCCGCTTGAAGTCTCCTGACGGGGTGGGGGGTGCAGTGTAGGGTGTTGAGGCTTGGGCCAGGGAAGCGGGCGGTTCTCCCTCCACCTCCAGGCCCCACACCCAGGCGGGAGCACGCAGCAGCCAGGTGTTGGGTGAGGGCTATGCTGAGGAGCAGGGCCCAGAGCTGCAGCCTCCTTGGCTGCCCTTGGCCCGCCGTGGGTGGCGGGGAAGTACAGGTGTGAGGGGCATACCCCACTGCCCCAGGCTCGGTAGCAGTCTGGAATCCGGGTGGGTTTAGGAGCCCCTGAGAGGGCCAGGCCAGCCTCACACCATCCCCTCTCCTGCCTGTGGCCTCAGCTCCATCTCCCGCCAGCTCCTGCTGACCCACCTTTCTGGCACACCTGTCCCCTCCCTCCACGGTGTCCTCCCTGTGCCCACCCACAGCACCCGCCTCCTCCGGCCTTTCCCCACAGCTTGACTTCCCGGGCATCGGCCAACACGTACCCTCCCTGTTGCCGGGGCCCCCGCCTGGGCAGGCCTGAGCTCCACACAGGGTGGGGAAGGCCCCGAGTCCCTCCCGGTACCGGGTGGGGCTGGGTGCCGGGGTTGGGAGCACAAGTGTTTCCAGGGCTGTCGGAACAGTGCCACAGGCTGAGCAGCTGCAGCTGCAGACATGGGTCGTCCGTGGTTCTAGAGCCTGGAAGCCTGAGATCAAGTGTGCGTCCACCAGGCTGGCCCCTTCTGAGGCGTGAGGAAGTCTGCTCCACACTGCCAGCTTCCAGGTGTTCCTTGGCTGGTAAATCCCACCTTGGCCTCCACAGGCCGCTCTCCCCGTGTGCGCTTCTGTCTCCGAATTCCCCCTCTTCACAAGGACACAACTCTAATTGGGTCAGGGCCCACCGGTACCATCTCTTCTTAACGAGAGGTGTCACACAGACTCCACACCCAAAGTCACATCCTGAGGAATCGGGGTTAGGCCTCAGCCATGTGGGTTTTGGGGGTACAGTTTAGCCTGTAGTGGGGAGCTAGCCCAGCCCGGCACACCTACATCTTCCCATCAGGTGGCAAAGACCCCGAGGCTCTGGGTGTTTTGTGATTGTGGCCTCCTGAGCACTGGGCCGTGTTTCTGTAATGGGCTTAGAGCTCAGCACAGATGTGCCCGAGACCCTGGTGACAGTGTGAGGGAGTGACCACGCCCCAGCCTGCCACTCACCCCCGTCCACCTGAGGCGCTCTCTGGGCACAGCCTGGTCCCCACAAGCCTGGGAGGCCTCAGCGTCAGGCCCTGCACAGCTACTGGGTCCTTGGCCAGCCCCTCCTGCCGTGGGCCTCCGCTTTTCCCTCAGGTCCGGGTGGCAGGGCCGGGCCACTCAGGTGATGTTCCAGGTCTAGTGGTACAGCAGTGGCTGAGGATGCCGCCGCCTGTGCCGTCACAGAACTGGGGTGGGGGGCAGTGGCCAGGCTGGCCTGAAAACCTTCTCCAGGTTGCGTTGCGGGAGCCCAGGCTGGGAGAGTCGTGGTTCAGTGGTGTGAGTGTGCCTTGGACAGGCCCCAGTCTCCCACTTGTCAGGGGGCAGAGCCCTTCAGGTGGACTTTGGGCGGGGAGGCAGTGGGACTGCAGGGCGAGGGTTTGGAGATGTAGAGATGAGGGAGGCCTGGGGGCCAGGAGGCTGCACCACTGCTGTCTCCTGAGGCGGTGGCTGGCCGAGGAGGCCCGCTGCTCTCTTGTGCTGAGTGCCCCTTGGGTCCTGCAGGCTTGGCAGGGTGACAGGGCAGCCACCCAGGGGCTCCACCTGTCCTGCTCCTTCAGGAGGAGGAGACCTCCCAGGGCTGTGGTGGGGAGGAGGGCCAGCCACAGAGCCACTGCAAATCATCCCTGAGGCCAGGCGACTCGGAAGCAGAAACCCTGAGCCCAGCACGGGGCAGTGGGAGGTGAGGCCCAGCGGCATCTGTGAACTAGGCCTCCTGGTGGGCTCTCAAGGTCTTTGATGGGGCGCAGCCGGTGGACAGGGAGAGAAGGGTCCCTCTTTCCCCAGGCCCTCCCTCCCCTGGTCCTCTCCCACCTTTGAGGTGCCCCAGGAGTTCCCAGAGTCGGCAGCACCAGGGGCTGTCTACCGGGTGGGCTGAATACCACTTAGTTTGCAGATGGGAAAGCTGAGTCCCAGAGAGGGGTTCCCAGGGCTCAGAGCTGAGAGGCCTCGCCGCCTGGGGCCAAGCCCCACACTTGCTTGCCGAGTGACTCACTCCTGCTCTGGGCCTGGCTAGCAGGGGTGAGGCTGGGTCAGAGGATGGGGAGCTGGGCCAAGGCCACAGACTACCCCGCAGGTGCAGGCACCCAGAGGCCTGAGGGGCACCGGGAGCGCACAGGAGGGGAGGCTGTGAACACGGCCCGGCTTCTTTGCAGCTCCGTGTCGGGGCCATGTGAGGACACACACCGCAGGAGGGCCCGGCCAGCCTCAGCCCAGCCCAGCCGCCACGCCCGGTGGGTCTCCTGAGGTCAGAGCCAGCCCCACAGTGGGCACCACATGCCCGCCTGCTGTCCTGGCTCCTCCTGAGGGACAAGGGTGAGCTGGGCGGGCCAGGAAGTACAACGCTGCTAGGCTTCTGCTCTCGCCCCACAGAAGTTCAGGTTCTACTGAGAAACTTGGCTGGGGCTTCCGGGGACTCCCAAATCCAGCCGCCCAGGACCCTGCGGCACTGTCCATCCTGAGCCCCGTCCTCACCCGCTGGTCCATCCTGGGGTGATGGATCTGGCTGCAGTGACCCCGATGCTCTGAGGCCCAGAACAGCACGTCTCCCTCCTGGGAACAGCCAAGCCTTAGGCCCATGCAGCAGCGACCGGATCCCTAGCCTCCCCGGCAGGGGTGCTTCCTGGGTGCGCCATCAGCAGTGGGACCTGTAGGGAAGTCTGTGGCCTGTGCGCACCTTCAGACGATTTCCCCAAACACCGACGACAGCTGTCCAGTGCGTCACAGAGCTGTGGCCTATGGGTGATCGTCTCAGCCTGTCCCTGCATCTGGTGCAGCCTCAGTGCCCACTGTGGACCCCGCAGCCCACCCGTGTCTGGCGCATCCTTGGTGACTGGGGCTCCCTGTGGCTGTCTGATCCCATCCCTGTGGTAACCCATGTGTGACGTCCAAGTGTCTCCTCAAGAACCGGGGCCAGGAGGCCCATCCTTGGCTCTGGAGACTGCAGGGAGAGCATCCCACCCACCTGTGACCATCTACCAGGCCCTGGGGACAAAGCTGATGCCACCTGCCACCAGGGTTGGCTCAGGCGTTTACATGCATCTCCAGTTGTCATGGAGCTTGGGACACACTGGACCCAAGGAGGTATTTTAAAAGGACAAGTCTCTCACGTAATCCAGCCCCACTGTTCCTGAACGCGATGCCCCCTCCCCGAGCCTGGCGGGGGGCTGTACACAGAACACTGCTCAGCATCTTCAGTCTCCCTCCTGTGGCCTCACACCCAGGATGGTAGGTGTTAGAACAGGTGCCTCCCTGTTCTATGTGCGTGGCCTCATCCTGTGGGCAATTTGGGGTGAGGGGTGGCTGCAGGTCAGACAGATACCTGGGAAGGTCCCCTGGGATAGGGTGGCTCCCAAGCGGGAGCAGTTGCCCTGGGCACTTGTGACATCCCAGTGATTGAGGAGTGGGGGTGCTCTGGTGTTTAGTGGGTGGGGCCAGGGAGCCCAGTAATCCTGCAAGATGGAGGTGCCCTTCCACAAACGCCAGTAGCACCCCCAAGAGAAATACTTGAACTGAAGCTATAGGCAGAACCACGCCAGGGGAAGAGGGAGCTCAGGGGAGGGGGCACCACTCAGCGCCAGGTGCTGGGATGGGAGGAAGGGCAGACTGTGGTGGCCAAACACCAGCATGCAGGAGGGTTGTTCTAGATGCATCCATCCTTCTGTGGGTGCACGGATGAGGTTCTGGATGTAATTCATGGGCTTCATGAACTTGGCTGAGAAAGAGATTACATCTCCATCGTTGCTAACCTCTAACCAGAATTTAGCATTTTTTCTTACTCGGAACGATGGTGTTCCGGGACCTGGGGCTTGGTCACCAGTAGACGTCGCCGCTGTTTATGCCCCTCCACGTTCGTAGCAGACAGCTTGGAAAACGGCGTCCTCTCACTGTGACTTTGAATTGTAGTCAGTATTAGGCCCGTTGCGGCTCCTGTGAAACGGCTTCCCGGGGAAGCACGTGCGTTGCCACCTCACAATTCGTTGTATCACATTCTGGTAACTGCTGTGTGATGAGTGCTTCCTCCATGGTCCTCTGTGTAGTTGTATGCTTCAGAAACAAGCATCGTCCTGAGAAAGCGTCTGCGGCTTCACCAATGGGCAACGGGGCCCACGGCACAGAGAAAGTCCGGCTGACCTGAGCAGCAAGTCGCCCTCGCAGCAGAGAAGGAGAGGCTTGGGGCCCAGTGTGTCTGCGCCCAGGAGGGCCCACGGTGGCCTAGGGTCCGAAACGGGGGAACGTCGTGGGGAGTCCCCAGGCACCTTGGGCGGAGCAAGGAGCAGGGCCATCTGCCTGCCGTGCGAGTGAGAGGGACACATCCCAGGTCCTCTGCATCATTGGAGGCTCCGTGAGCTCCTACTGGGTGCTGTTCTGGGTGCTGAAACGCAGCTGCAGACAGAGCCCTTGCTCTCTGGACGCAGTTAGCGCAGAGACAGGGCACGTATGAGAGGATCCACACAAGCTGTGCCTGTGCTTGGCCACCATGAGTGTGTAGCTTGTGTGAGTTACAAGTAAAGGGGTGTGACATGCAGGAATCTAGGCATCTGCATGTGAGGTTTGCAACCACTCACCCATTTGAGTCATGTGAACCCTGAGGGCCGAACCCTAAAGACCACTCCCTGGCTGGGGACTGGCCCAGGGCTCCCAAGTGCAGTTTGGCCCCTCTCTTGCCATGGCCATCTCTTGTCCTGTCCTCGGCCTCCCATGCTGCCTTACAGGACCCTCAACTGGGGCTGGCCACCTGGGGCTCCTCCCCAACCCAAGGAGCCTGGAGCATCTGGGTCCTGGAGCACTGGGGGCCAGCTCATTGAGAGGACCAGAGAGGAGACTTGGGGAGCAGATAGGAAGGGCTGGGTTCTTCCAGCCCACATCATTCGGCCCGCAGAGGACGGAGAGGGGACCAGGGTGGGCAGCCCCTGGGCAGTGTGGAGAGACCTGCCTGAGGGGAGCAGTGGAGCTGCACGGCTGGCATCAGAATCCGGGGTGGACTGGTGCCCCGAGCCCGAGCATCTCATCCATGGGGGGATAAGGGGTGTCCATCCACAGCCGTGTTGGGAGCCCAGCCTGGCATGGCCGAACCCCTGGCGTCTGGCACCCAGGGATGCCCAGAAGGGGTGGGCTTCACCCCGTTTCTGAGTAGCAAAGGCAGTGAGTGGGCCAGGCAGAGACGGGGCTGGGGGCTTGGTAGGCAGGGTCTGAGGGCATTAAGGCTGGACCCCAGAGCCAGGAGGGGCGTGACCAGAGGTCTGAGTCGAAATTGAGGTGTCGTAGATGACCCCCATGTTCGTTCCTCCCTCAAGCAGAGATCCCTCGAGCTATGCCCCGACACAGAGGCTGTTCTGGGTACCGGGACACAGCAAAGTCCCTGTACTCCCTCCGGGGCCTCTGTGTGGTTGGGGCGACATTGACAGTCATTTCGGAAGGTCAGGAAGGCTCAGCGCCGTGAGGAGGGTGTGGCAGGGCTGCTCTGAGGCCGGCGTGGAGCCGGCGGATGGAGGGGGAGGGCACGTAGGTGTGCACACACTGCCTGCGCCCCTGTCCCCATGGACCTCGGGTTCCCAGGGAGGCGGCCTGCCGGGCCTCTGGGGAAAGCCACACCCTTGGCCGAGGGCTGGCTCTCTTGAAGATCATGGCCGTTCCTGGTGGCCGTCGTCTTAGCAAAGGGGCGGGTCCTGAGAGAAGCCAAAGCCAACCTGCTGGGGGTCAAAGGGGGTCAAGGGCCGGCTCCACACCGGCTGTGTGCCCCTGGCCCTGCCCACAGTCGCTGTGTACCCTGGCAGAAGGCTGGCCCGCCCTCTGCCCAGCGTGTGTCATGTCAGGGAGGCCTATTCTTTCTCTAAGTCCCATCTTCCAGAAGGTGGGCTGTGGATGAGGGCACTCCATGGGGAGGGAGGAAGGCCAGGCTGGGGAGCCACATCTGCCTGGACAGGAGGCCCCGTCATTGTCACCGGCGCAGCTGCTTCCTGGTTGTCACCCTGAGCGCTCACAGCACGCAGTGTCGGCGCTCCCATTCGCTGGCTCTGGGTGTGAGATGGTGGAAATGGCAAGAAGAGTTGCTGCCAGGCCATTCTGGGTGGAACACAGTGTCCCCAGGGCACAGTGACAGTGGAACGGCCGGAGGCGCTCTCGAGCCCGCCTTGAGGGTGGCAGCTGGTTTTCAGGAAGAGAGTCAAGGGTGGAGAGTTCAGGAGGCACCGCAGGCCCTGTGGAGAGGCAGGAAGGGCAGGAGATGCTGGCCCCGGGTCTGGACAGCTGCCCTCATAGGGGCCTCTCCCTTCCCCTACGGGATGGGGCTGGTTCGTTCCCCCAGGCTGTCTGCCTCCTGGATCTCATGTGCCCGCCCCAGGCAGTGTCCCCAACCTCTGCCCAGAGCCATCTCATGGGATCCTGGCATCCCTCTGTCTGCCAGGCAGTCCGGGTGTAGATAGTCCCTGCCAGGCAGTCCAGGTGTAGACAGTCCCTGCCAGGCAGTCCGGGTGTAGATAGTCCCTGCCAGGAAGTCTGGGTGTAGACGGGGTGGAGTCAGGACTCCAGGTGCCTGGGGGTGGAACTCTGAGCCTCCGGCTCTCCTCCGGCAGGTGGCTTCGGGAAATGGGTGGGAGTCACGGAGGCAGGGGGCCCCCATTCCCACCTGCTCCAGGACCCGCAGGGCCCACAGGAGGTCGAGGTCGGAGCTCACCTTTGGGGAGGCGATCAGGCAGGCACATGACAGGACCACCTGCTCAGAGTCTCCCTGGGCTGGGAGCCCTGGGCGTTCTCGGTGGTGGGCTGTGTGACCAGCAGCGTGACCGGCAGTTATCCCTCCCCGGACGTGGCCTTGCAGACACCAGCCCAGCTGCCTGAGGCCCAACTAGGTTTCAGCAGCACCTGGCCAGCAATGGGATAGTCAGGCCAGCGAGGGTGGCCAGGCCTGACCCTAGTTTTGCAAGAGTGGCCTAATCTCCATACCTGGGCTCGGGGTGCCCAGGTATCAAGCCTGGGCTTCTCATTTCCTCCCCTTCAGTGAGGACAGGGGGACACTCAGGCCAGTGGAAGGAGATCTGCCTTAGGGAGAAGTCTGAGACCTGGGGGGGAAGCCACCTAACCTCCGTGAGCCTCAGTCTTCCCATCTGTAAGCTGGGGGTGGTCCTGTCTGCCTGTTAATTGAGATAGTGCTGATTTCAGGAGAGACCCACTGCTCTCCAAGGAGGCTGGGGACAGTTCAGAGTTGAAAGCGGCCTTAAACCTCCTGCTGACAGCCTGGACGGGGTCTGAGACCTGAGTGGGGGAGCCAGGGATACGTGGGTGCGCAAGCATGCATGGGTGCCCAAAGGTGGTGGGCTGCTGCGGGTGGGGAGACCTGTGTGATTCCGGCAGGCGCCCCCCCCCACCCCCACGCTGCAAAGGGCCGCCGGACTTAGCGGATGCAAAGACAGGACACGAGGTACATGGGAATTTCAGGTAGACCCTGAATCATTTTGTAGTGCAGTGTGTCCCAAATACTTTCATTTCAAATAAGGAAATAAATGTTGAGAGTAAATATGCCCTACATATTTAGTGTAAGTACACCCCAGATATTTTTGGGGAGAAGAGTTGTTTGCTTTTTGTGGCAAAATATGCATAACAAAATTTGCCAGTTTAACCATTTTCAAGAGTTCAGTTTTCAGTGGCGTTCAGTCCATTCATGCTGTTGTGCGGCCGTCACCCCCATCCAGCTCCAGGACCCTTTTCATCTTGTAAAACTGAAACTCTGTCCCCATTAAACAGTAACTCCCCATTTCCCCTCTCCACCGCCCCTGGTGCCCGCCATCCTTTCAGTCTCTATGAATCCGACTCCTCTAGGGACCTCACATAAGTCGAGTCTTGCCGTATCTGTCCTTTCGTGTCTGGCTTCTTTCACTCAGCGTCGTCCTCAAGGTTCCTCCACGCCGGAGCATGTGTCAGAATTTCTTCCTTTTCACGGATTAATCCTATTCCATTGTATGCACCTACAGACAGTTTGTGGAAACAATCTATTCGACTGTGGAGAGACATCGTTTCTACCTTCCGGCTCTGGTGAATAATGCTGTGAGCATGGGTGTATGAGGAGCTGTTCCTTTTCCTGCTTCCAGTTCTTTGGGGCCAAATACTTTCATACTGTACTAAAATAACAATTCATTGTTTATCTGAAATTCAGATGTAACTGGCCCCCGTGCTTTATCTGCACTCGTCCCCTAATTGTGGCTGTGGGGCAGGGCTGGGCAGAAGCTCCAGCCCACACACCTGCCATGCTGGGCAGGCAGGCAGAGGTGCCTGGGCGGCCACCAACTCATCAAAGCCCTAGGGAGACGCCCTCCTGGGACCGCCCAGACCTCTCTGGGCTCAGCAGGGCTTGTCAGCTCCTGCTTCAGCCTTTGCCTGCAGCTCAGGAATTCCCCTGGGATTGGAGTCAGGGCAGGCTGCAGGGTTGGGGAGGCGGGGGATGCTAAGGCTGTTCCTCGTGCTGGGCCCCGTGCTGCTACTCCTAGCCTGTGACCTTGCACAGGTCACTTTAGCTCTCTATGTGTCAGCTATGTCAGCGGGACCTACAGCTGCTGTGAAGATGAAATGACTCGGCTTAACCCCCTGCGAGGCCCATAGTGAGCTCTGCATCTTAGCAGGGAGACAGCTAGACCTCTGGGAACAAGGGAGCCCTCACCATGTGTGACCTCCCATTCAGGGGCGTGCCCCGTCGAGCCCCGTGCTTCCTCTGGGGAGGAGGTGCTGGCTTGGGGGGGTGTGGCTCGTGGGCCATGCTGGCAGTGGGTCGTGTTCGCTCCAGTGCCAACACTGGGCAGATTCCCCCCGACATCATTTAGACGTGTGCCTTTATTCAGTACCAGGGTACCAGGGCCGGCCTGGGTGCCAGGTAGGGAGGCAGGAGCAAGAAAGTGGAGGCTCCCCTGGCAGAGGTTCCCTCTGGAAGGAGCATGGCTTGTTGGGACTGGAGGCCAGAGGCTGGGGAGGCTTCCTGAGGGAGGTGAGGGGAAAGCATGTGAGATGGAGGGAAGTGGCAGGTCACAGCTGGGTGGGGTGACTGGGTGGAGTGACTGGGTGGTGGGGGTGGGCGCAGGGAGAGCCAGGCCTGGGACCACCATGACCACAGAGATGGCTTCTCGGGAAGTGGTTGGGTCGGAGGTGAGCGGCCGAGTTCCTTTGCTCCCTCCCCTTCTGTTCCTTCCCCAGTGTTTATGAGCCATCCCTCTTGGCGGGCTCCCTCCAGAGGCACCCAAGGGTTTGCTCTGGGATCCGGCCCAGCCTCAGCTGTATGTGTGTCTCTGCCTGGTTGGCATTCACGGGGCAGATGGACGGGCCTGCGCGGCGTCTTTGTGGACTGGAATGTGGCTGCTGCGTCCCCTTCTGCGTTTCTAGCGTGCCCCCTGTGGGTGTAGCAGACAGGGAGGGCCAGTCCATCTTCCAGGCCTCCTTGGGTGCCTGTGGCCCCTGCAGTGGGTGTACGGGAAGCTAGATGGGAGAGCTGGGCAGAGCCCCAGGAGGACAACCCCACCCTCCCACAGCCTGCCTGAATTTCCACCCTGCTGGCAGGGTTGGGCATAGAGATGTGAGTGCCCTCTTCAGCTCCACCAAGCCAAGGAGGAGAAAGGCTGAGCCAGGCCTGGGGGCACGGCCTCTGGGGAGCACCTCATCCTGGGTTCGAAGAGTGGGCTCTGCCTTACAGCCAAGACACCGGGTCCTGGGTGTGGCAGGAGGTTCGTGACACAAATTCTGAATCCCCTTTCATCCCCAGTCTGAGGCCACAGCATGAGCCTCAGACAGTGGAGCAGGCTGGCATGGGGGGAGGCCTGCACAGGGCACGCGGCTTCTTGGCCCGAGCTGTGACTAGGCTCCCATCTGATGGACCCCTGCCGTCGTGCCATGCCAGGGCCGGCACCGCCCAGACCTGGCGTCTGCCGGCAGGATGGCCTGCTCAGGGGTTCCCCAAGCAGGATCTGGGCAGCTTAGAGAGCAGTCTTATGAGTTGCCTGGTGAAAGCCCCGTCTTTGGGGGTCTCCGGTGTTGTGGCCTGCCTTGGTGGTCTGTCCAGCAGCTCTCAGTGTGCCCATTGCAGACCGGCCGAGAGGCCGGAGTGCGGCCAGAGGGGAACTGGTGTGAGTGGGTGGTTTTGTCTGGCTGGGTCAGCAGGCCTGGGGAAGGTGGGGAGCTGGGCCGGGACAGTGGGAGCCACGCAGGACCTGGGCTGCAGGGAGGGGAGGGTGTTGGCGGGAGGCTGTCCCTCTGGTGTCCAAGGAGGGGCCAGAGGCGCACAGCATAGACCTCCCAGGCTGGGGGCACCTGGGTGGGAGACTTGGTGGAAGGATGTGGCCTGTTGGGTTTGGTATGTCAGAGGGAAAGCAGGTCAGGATATAGGGGCAGGGGGGTCTGGAGTCAAGGCCCGGGTGCCATTGGACTGGGGGCTGGAGGGGGCAGGTAGAGGATGTGGAATGACCATGGCAGCTTTGCGTGAGGACAGCGGTGGTCAGCTGCCACCTTCAGCACAGAGAGAAACCCGACACCCCGCCCCCATTACCCTCCGGGGAGGGGCCCCGGCTCCCCCGAGCGCCGGCCCTGCTGAGACCCAGGAGCCCCTGCACCAAGGCCTGGGCCCGCTTAGCTGCAGTGGGGAGCCTAGGAGGCCCGGACTGCCCGCGGAGAACAGGAGCAGCACCCGCAGGCGGGAGGGAGGGGCCCGGCCTCGGCGGCGGGCAGGAAGGCGGGCGCAGGGCGGCGGGGACCTGGCCGGAGGGGCCGGGGCGGCCGCCTGCGGTTTCCAGGGAGACGGGGGCGGTGCCGAGCGCGGCGGGGCGGGGGCTGCGGGAGGACGCTCGTCCCCGCGCCGGGAGCCACCGCCCTCGGCCGTGCGCGCCAGTGCGGCTGCGGCGCTGCCCGGGGTGGCTGCGGCCAGAGTCTCCCGCGCGCCCGGCGGACCGCAGCCCGCCCTCGTCCCCCGCTGGCTTTTCGCCTCCTGCGAGCCCTTCCGCCCGGCCCCGCTCCGCCGCCTTTCCCCGGCCCGAGCACCTGCACCCAGAGCCCGCGCGCCGCCCGGAGCCGCTGGAGCCGCCGCTGCGAAGGGGGTCCCGCGTCCGCCGCCGCGCTGGAAGCCAGGCCCGAGGACCTCTCCCGCAGCGCCACCGTACCCGCATCCGCAGGCGCGCCACCCCCATCTCCACCCGCTCCTCGTCCCCACCGCCTCTGTCCCATCCTCCGCTCCGTCCTGCCCCGCTTGGCCGCCGCAGCCCCATCCCCTTTCCGCCCCTCCTGTCGGGAGTCCGTGGCCCGTCCCCAGTCCCACCCCACCCGTCGCCCCAGCTGCACCTACCCCTACCCCTCCCGGGCCGCATCCCGGCGTCCCCGCCCCGCTCCCACCGCCCGCCCCGCTCCCACCGCCCGCCCCGCTCCCACCGCCCGCCCCGCTCCCTCCGCCCGCCCCGCTCCCTCCGCCCGCCCCGCTCCCTCCGCCCGCCCCGCTCCCTCCGCCCGCCCCGCTCCCTCCGCCCGCCCCGCTCCCGCATCGCCTGCCGCCGCCCCGGGGCCCCCCTTCCTCTTCCGCCAGGCCCATCCCCCTCCCCGGGCCGTCGCAGCCCTTCGAGCCCCCTCCCCCACCCCCGTGCCTGCCGCACCCGCTGCGACAAGCCCCTTCCCCGCCAATCGCGGCGCCCCCCTCCCCTCGCCTGCCCGCCGCAGCCCCCTCTCCCCGCCCGCCCCCTTCCCTCCCCGCCGCGCCCACTGCACCAGTGCCCCCTCCTCGCCGGGCCGCCGGCGCTGCTGCGTGTCCAGACCCCTGCGCACCCGCTCCGGCTGCGCGGTTTGCCGTCTTCGTCCCTGGCCGCGGCGGCTGGCGACTGGCATCGGGGCGCCCGGGACCCCCAGGGCGGCGACGCTGCCGCCGGTGCCGCCGAGCCTTTGTTCCGCCGCCGGGGCCGGTTTCACGCCTGTCGCCCTCGCAAGCAGCCGCGGGTGACAGGAGCCTTAGCCGGCCTGGGGCGCGGACCCTCCCACCCGGGGCAGAGGTGTCCCTACGACGCCCCTCGGTTTCGGGTCGCAGTGCGCGGCGGAGGTTCTGCGGCGGCGGAGGGGCTCCTTGGCGACGCTGTCATTTGGGTGAAATGGTGGCGGGGGGGCTTCGGGCAGACGGCAGGGGTGTGGGGAGGGGAGGGAAGCACGATGGGGTGAGTCTGGGGGCCGTGGATGCCGTTGACGAGGAGCTGAGATGCCGTGGCCGGTCCACCTCGCAGGTGGGGCCAAGGCTGCCTCTGGCTCAGACGTCAGGAGCCCAGGCGGACAGGGACTGGCCAGGGGCGCAGGCTTCTTAGAGGATGGGGCAAAAGTGAGGAAAAGATCCTCTGCAGCCTGGGCAGTGGGTGGTCCCCAGGAAACCCCCTGGGTCGTTTGTCCAGTGCACCCTCACCCCAGGAGGCTGCTGGACGTGCCGGAGGATGCCACAGCCACCGGAGCTGGTTGGGGTCCGAGAGCAGATGGGCCAGGGGCTGGGGCAGGCTTCGAGAAGAGGGTTCGGGCTTGGGGAAAGCCTTCGCAGCCATCGGCCAGCCAGGAAGGCCCCGTTGCCGGGTGCAGAGCTGAGTAGAGGGCAGGAGCGGGGAGGCCTAGGCTCTTCCCTTGCGTGTTGGGGGGCTGCGGTGCCTGGAGCTCTGCACACAGCCCTACTCCAGCACCGTGGGAGGCAATGCAGGCTGACTGTCCACGCCAAATTCCGGTACCTTAGGCATTCGAGTCTGTTGACACTGAGTGTCTAGGACGAGGCTGTAAAGGTGGATAAAGCCGGCTTTACAGTCTGCACCTCCTGTGTGAGCCGTGGAAGCTTCTGGAGGGATGGGCGTGGCGTGGCGCCATCATCTCTCTGCATTCTCCTTGGGAGGGCTCCAGAGCCACTGGTCACGGGCAGCTGCCAGGCTGGGTCTGGACAAATGAGGTCTGGGTCCATCATTGGGGATGGGGGCCACTGTCAGGATGGGAGTCTCGCCTAAAGCTTTGGGGTGAAGGTGCTGATGACCAAGAGGAAACTGCGGGGTGGGGACATGTCAGCAGGGGACGAGAATGCATGACCTAAAAGGTATCCAAAGTTAAGGCTGGTGGGGGCTTAGTGAGGAGCAGCAGAGTGGGGTGGTCCAGAACCGTCAGGATCGGGAGGGGGAAGATGGAACGAGACAGCAGCTGCCTACGAGCCAGGGAGCAAGAGCTCTGTGCTTTAACCTGAGGAGCAGGAGCCTGGGAACTGGAGACTCTGGGTTTGAGGTGGGGGATGAATCTGCCATTAAACAAATAATCCCCTTCCCCCCCAAAAAAATCCTCAGAGCACTGGGGAAGGGAAGTGTCCCAGTGACTGAGGGAGGGGAGCGCTGTGGAAGGATGGGTCGGCTACAGCAACTTCAGCCCAGGGATCAGGGAAGAGAGGGTCCAGTCCCTGGCCCAGCGGGGAGCAGGCCCGGTGACCTTGACCTGAGCAGCCCCAGGGCCAGAGGGAGGGGTGGGCCGGAAGGGCCCAGATGCCTCCCTGCACGGGGGGAAGGGGATGGGCTGCCGGGACTCACCCCCTAGGTTGGAAAATGCCTCCCTCTGGGTTGGAGGAGGAGAAAGGCCAGGAAGGAGAGGGAGAGGGACATGGGGAGGGTTCCCTCCTGGCCTGAGGCCTCTCTATCCCCAGGTGTTGAGCTGAGAGAAGTGGTGGGGAGGCCCCTGGGGGTGGGGAGGCCCCTGGGTGGGGAGATTTAAGATGACAGCTGGTCTTGGGCACATTGCTCTCCATTCAGAAAGGCCCCAGCCCCTGGCATTCTTCCAGGAGGGGGCTTGCTTTGCCGCCCTGCAGGGGGACTCTGCAGAGCCGGCCTCTGCCATCTCATGTCCAGGACCACAACCTGTGGCCCCGGCCTGCGCCGGGCCGGAGCTCCGCAGAAGGAAGCCAGCGGGAGGCCTCCTGCCTTTGACTGCCGTGCGTCCAGCCTGCAGCGGGCCTCAGGGGGCCGCCTCGATCCAGCCTGCCCGAGGCTCCCAGGCCTTCGCCCGCCTTGCGTCCAGCCTGCCGGGGGCTCCCAGGCCGGCGCCCGAGCTCTGGCTCCGTGTCTTCACTCCCGTGCTTGTCCGAGGAGGGAGGGAGGGACGGGGGCTGTGCTGGGGCAGCTGGAACAACGCAGGTCGCCGGGCCGGCTGGGCGAGTTGGCCGGGCGGGGCTGAGGGGTCGGCGGGGGAGGCTGAGGCGCGGGGGCCGGTGCGCGGCCGTGAGGGGGTGTGAGAGGTGGCTGACGGCGCCGAGGAGCCCCTCAGAACCTGCAGGTGGGGGGAGCTCCCATATCTTACGGGTGTTTCGGGCCTCACCTCTCCATGCCTCTCGTCAGCCTCTCCCGTCTGCGTGGTGGGGGCTGGGGAGTGGGTCCGCCGGGACCTCGCGAGGGAGGGGCACAGGAGGAGCCGGCGGGGGACGCCACCCACCCTCCTCCCTAGGAGTGCTTGAGCCCTAGTCCTGAGTCTTGGACCAGCTCACTCGGTTCCTGTGGCCCAGCCAGCCTGGCCTGGGTGCCCCGTCACAGCTGAGCCCATCTCAGCTGAGCCCAGGGTGTGTCACCGGGAAGCTCAGCTGGCACCTGCCACCCCCTCCCCCAGGCACGTTTCCCTCCCACTGCCCAGCCCATTACCATCATGTGTCCGGCTGACCTGTGCTCTCCTGGTCTGGGCAGCCTGGATGGGTGCACAGGGCCCCATCACAGCCCACACCCTCGGAGAGACGCCTCCTGAGTCTGCTCAGCCTGGCACAGGCCCCAGGAAAGGACCCGGAGGGGCGGTTCCTGCTCTAAATCCTGCCCCCACGGGGGTGGGACTGGGGCAGAATCCCATCAGTGAATAAAGGCTGCAGAGTGAAGGATGGTCCCTGGCGAGTGTACCTGTGTCCCAGTCTTCTTGCCTGAGGGCGCCTTCCCACCCATGTGAGGAGTGGGGAAGGAGCACCCCTTCTCTACTAGGCCCCAGGGCTCTCAGAGCCGGGCTCTGTCCTCACCCCAGCTGGCTCCCACAAGGCCCTCCTGGCCCCAGACTCTGTTGGACCCCCAACTCCCCCTCCAGCAGGCATCTGGAGGTAAGGAGGGGCGGGGGGCGCAGGTGCACTTGCCATTCCCGCTCTGTCTGCAGCATGGGCACATGTAAGTCCAGGCCCTGGGGAATCCCTGGACCTGCAGCCCCTGCGGAGGACTCCCTCCCCCTCTAGCTCAAGCCAGAGCCCCCTGCATCAGTACATTCCAGAACTCAGACAGGAAAAGAGGGCAAGGAGGGAGCGCTCCAGGATAAGAACCCCTACCTCGGCCCTCCCTCGCTCTCCCAGGCCCCTCTGACAACCTGTCTCCTTGCTGTCATGTCAGCAGGCACAGAGGCTACAGGGGCCAAGCGGCAGCCGCCCAAGCCCGGATTCGGGTTCTCTGTTCCCTTCTCTTGTCTCGGGCTCCTCCCTGAGTGTGTGTACTTAGAGGGTGCGGAAGATCAGCAAACTCAGTCTGACCCAGGCATTCAACCTCTGGGTAGTTACCTAGTCCTGGGTCCCCACCCCAGATGGCCTCTAGTGGGTAAGGGCTTCCTGGACCCCAGGCCTGAGGGGTGACTTCTCTTGCAGTAAGCGGGTAGGGCACTGCCTGCGCTGCTCCAGGCCCTGCCTGCAGTGGGGCTACAGATCCCTGCTCCCACCTCCAGGCAGGGCTGGAGCTGCTGCCAGCTCCCCCAGGACAGCCTCGAGCCAGGTGCCTCTGCCCGGGCTGACCCCGCCCTCGGTCCCGGTCCTGGCTCCCTCTCCTGCCTCTCCTCCCTGGCCTGGCCTTCACTTCCTGCTGACCCTCAGGAGGGCGTAAAAGAATGCAGGACCTGCTGCATTCCAGCCACCCTGGCCCAGGGTCCCAGAACAGGATGAGACAGGCCCCTGAGGCGGCAGTCCTGAGGAAAGTTGCTGGAATTCCTGCTGACAACGCCCCCCCTTGACCCCACCCCTCTGACCAAGCCAGGCTCCTGCTTCCACCTCTCCACTGTGCCTGACCTAGGCCAGCACCAGGAGGGCCTTAGAGGCGGGGGACGAGGCCCAGAAGGAACAGTGTGGCCCCGTCAGTGTGGAGTCCTGAGCTTAGGCAGCCGGAACCACTTGCCCCCTCACTGTATAGCTGGGACGAGACCTCATCCCTGTAAGCCCCGGTTTTCTGGTTAATAAAATGAGGATTGCGGCAGCCTTCATCACAGTGCGATGCACACCCTTTAAAAAATGCAGTTTTTCCTGATGCCACACACCCATTCCAGGTGGGCCCTGAGGTGTGCACAGCAGGGCTGAGAGCTGACTCAAAGCCTGTCCTGTCCCCACTCCCCACAAGGAGGTGAAGCTGTCTCTGATGGCAGTGCCGCTGTCACTGCCTCGGACGCTGGAGCAGAGTAGCTCATGGCAGGCTGCAGAGGAGGGGACTCCACAAGGACACCAGGAGGCACAGGGTGCACCCTGCAGGGCTTGGGGCATGGTCCAATGACCCTTTCATGGGGCCTGCCAGCTGCACCAGAGCACACCTGCCCCCATACCAGACTCGTGCCTGGGGTCCTGCAGGGCCACTGCCTCTGACCAGCCCACTGTTGGTGGGATCTGCCGTCCTTGCAGTGGGAGCTTGGTGCCCCCCAGGGCTGGTGTGGGAAGAGAGGGGGATTGGATTCCTTCCTCCTTCCCCATCCTCAGACATGGGCCCAGGCAAGGGGTGCCTTTCGGGCCTGGGAGCCTTCTCCACACTTGCACACAGGAACCTGAGGCCAGTTCTTTGCTTGCAGCTGCTGGGACAGCAGGCTGGGGGGCAGGACTTGCCCAAGGGGCCTCCTGCCCTGTAGAGGCAGCCGTGCTCTTGTGTCACGTGTGGGAAGCTACGGGACCGAAGCCAGGCCTTTTCCTCCCTCCACACCCCGACCACTTCTGCCTTCACCCAGGGCACCCCCCAGGCTGGCCCACCCCTGAGCTGTGCTCCACCCTGGGTCTGCCATCCTGCCCAGGAGAGCCTGAGGGTGCCCTCCTGGCTCCCAGTGCTGTCCCAGCCCCTCTCCCTCACACTGGCCTTTCCCCACAGGTGAGCACCTGCGGATCTGTCCCCAGGGCTACACCTGCTGCACCAGCGAGATGGAGGAGAACCTGGCCAACCGCAGCCATGCCGAGCTGGAGACCGCGCTCCGGGACAGCAGCCGCGTCCTGCAGGCCATGCTTGCCACCCAGCTGCGCAGCTTCGATGGTGAGTGCCTCCCACGGGCGCTCGGGGCCCGCAGGGTGCCGGTGCATCGGGGGAGGGGCACACTGGGCCTTGCCTGGTGTGTCAATGCCAAGGGTGGGGGATTGGCAGGAGGAGGTGGGGGAGTTAGTGCTTTGGGGCTAGGGCGCTGGGTTGAAGCCCCAGCTGGGATTTGGGGGCTGCCCTCAGGCAGGGATCTGCAGGGTTTGACACCCCCCTGGGAGTGTGCACAGCCCATTCCCAGTGCACATTTGGGGACAGAGGGCCTATCCCATCAGCCCCTCAGAGGCTCCTGTCACCAGCAGATTCTCCTGAGCACCTGCAGGGAGACAGGCCTTGGCCAAATCCTGCCTGCAGCTCGTCAAGTGCCCCAGGCCACTGCCCCTGGGGACCAGGTGGCCTGGAGCCAGGGAGCTCAGTGCAAGGGCTGAGACTGGGGCTGGGGACAGGGCTGCAGAGTGCAGGGCCTGCCTGGGGTGGCCGCCACTCAGCCCTTTATATCGGGGCAGGAGTCTGGGGGCCGCGGGGAGTGACCCCTGCAGGCCTTGAGGCCCCGCCAGCTGCTGCATTAGAGCCACGTACTCCTCGGCCCAGGCTGGGCCTCGCCTTGTGTCTGGGCAGAGAGTGGCAGCCACCCCCAGGGGGACAGTGTGGGGTCAGGAGGTCCTCCATGAAGTGACCTCTGATCAGAAACACGAGGACTTGGTGGAGGGAGGCGGCCCGGGCTGAGGTACTGCCCCTGTGTCCGGGCGGAGCCAGGGCGCCGGGACAGTGAGCCTGGGCAGACAGGAGGGAGGGAGCGCTGAGGCTGCAGGGCTCCATTGTGGCTGTGAGGGACGGCAGCTGCTGCTGGGGCCCTGGGGTTTGTCTCAGCGTTCCTGCTTCTCCGGCTCCTGGACACCTGCTGTGGCCTCCCAGGCTCCCGGGAGAGTCTGCCTGTCCCCAGGAGCCCCCAAGGCCATTTCCACAGGGCTGTGGGACCTCAGCTGTTGGCGTACACCTGGGTAGCAGTGGGTCAGAAGCTCCCTCTCTGTGACTTGGACATCGATGCTCAGAGCTCAGCCCTCCCCGCTGGTGTGGGGCCCGTGGGATGCGCGTGGCCCCTCTGGGACTCTCCTTCCTCCTGCCCAGCTGGACCCGGGGAGCGAGCCCCTGCACCCTGAGTCAGGAGCCTTCCTGAGCCACTTGGTTCTGTCCCATGTGTAGGGACCCGGCTCACCTCCTCCACTCTATCCTGGGCCTCAGTTTCTCCCCAGCGCCGCTGAGCCCTGGCTCCCGCCCCAGCGTGCCACCCAGCCCTGCCCCTTCCCCTCTCCTGCTAATACCCTTGCCCATCACACCATCCTCCTGGCCTGGGGACATCCTGCCCGCCTGCTTCCTCCTGGCTCTTAGGGGGTTGGTGTCGCTGCCCTGCTCTGGGGCCTGTCCCGTGTCAGTGCCCTGCCGCCGCCCTCCCTCTGCTGCCCTCTGGAAGCCTCCAGCCTTCCTGTTCAACTCTCCTATCTTTGACCTGAAAACACAGACACCCTTTGGGGACATTTGTATTAAAAATGACCCACTATGTGATGTGCCCAAGGCCCACCTGTGCCCCTACCCCAGGGAGTCTTGTCCAACCCCCACCTCCTATGTCCTCCCCTCCCACCCCTGCCCATGGCAGCTGCTGTCCCCTCCCAGCCTCCGGGGCAGCTGAGGGCCCCTGGGTCTTTGTCTGCAGTGCTGGTGGGAACCAGTGGGAGGCGGTAGGAGGGGAGCCTGGCTGGACCTCTGGTTGCTGTGTTCAGGGATTTGGAGCCCTGTGTCCGCCCCCCCACCAGCCTTCAGGAGCAGCTGAATGGGTTCTGGCAGGAGGTAGAGCTGGGGACTGCACCTGGATTTGGCCCATGGCCCTCTAGGTGTGTCTGGGCTAATGCATGAACCACAAGCCGCCCCTTTCCGGG
The DNA here is from genome assembly GCF_000001405.40 of Homo sapiens. Lineage (NCBI taxonomy): Eukaryota > Metazoa > Chordata > Mammalia > Primates > Hominidae > Homo > Homo sapiens. Next base: position 240,461,123 of record NC_000002.12, read on the forward strand.
ACAGGCCAGGGCGTTCCAGGCGCCAGGACCCAAGGTGGACACTGGACAGCTGTGTGGCCCGTCCACCCTCCCCACAGCGGCCTGGGAGCTCTCTGTAGCCCTGCCAGCCCTGAAGCCCCAGGCCTTGCCAGGGGTCAGCGTGGGGGCTGATCCAGAGATCTCAGGCTTGACGGCCCCCGTGCCTCAAAGGAGAGCCTCTGCCCTGCTACCCTGGAGCACCTTGTGGTGGGCCATCGAGCCCCCGGTACCTGTGGGGCAAAGCCGGCCACAGCCCTAGGGACGCTCTGAGCAGTTACAGACCTGGAAGTCCCACTTCCAAATGGGATGGGGAAGTCCAGGGTCCCATCTAGGCCCGGGGTACGGGGGCTTTTCCCTAAAGCCCCTGCAGCACATGTGGAGGTCTGAGGGTGAGCCTGTGCCTCCACACCCCCTGCCCAGCAGGGGAGATGTCTGGGGTTCTAGGCTGCAGGAGGCCCCCCAGAGCCCTCAGACAGGCCCGGGGTGCTCACAGCTGAAGCTTCTAAATCGCAGAAGCTGAGAGAAGACAAGAAGCCTAGGAGAGCAGCCGAGACAGGGTGGCGGGAGGGGCAGCAGCCCTGGAGACTCGCAGGGCAGGCGGCTGGGGCCACGGGGAGCACAAGTGGGGACCAGTGGAGAGAAGGAGCGGCTGGCAGGGGGGCACAGACCGGCCCTGCCCCTCTTACCCCAGTGAGTCCCCATCTCCACCAGCAGCCCCTCCCTGGGTGTTCTCAGGGGGTCACTGAGTCACAGAGCATCTGTTCTGCCCAGGGCTCAGCTCAGAAACTGCCACTGGAGCCCCAGTCAGAGGCCCTGAGACCCGAGAGGACCCCCTGCCACCTGGGCCCCTGCTCCCCAGGCCAGGGGGTGAGGTCTCGGGGCGCCCCATGGATGCCCACAGGGCCCACAGCCGCTGCAGTGTGGCGTCCGACTCCGAGGTCCTCAGAGTGTATCCTCAGAGCTGAGTCTCCCGGGCTGAGTCCCCTGCTCTGGTCCAGCTGCCACGGCGGGGGAAACATGGTCCCGATCACGCCCCCTCCCTGTGCGCAGACCACTTCCAGCACCTGCTGAACGACTCGGAGCGGACGCTGCAGGCCACCTTCCCCGGCGCCTTCGGAGAGCTGTACACGCAGAACGCGAGGGCCTTCCGGGACCTGTACTCAGAGCTGCGCCTGTACTACCGCGGTGCCAACCTGCACCTGGAGGAGACGCTGGCCGAGTTCTGGGCCCGCCTGCTCGAGCGCCTCTTCAAGCAGCTGCACCCCCAGCTGCTGCTGCCTGATGACTACCTGGACTGCCTGGGCAAGCAGGCCGAGGCGCTGCGGCCCTTCGGGGAGGCCCCGAGAGAGCTGCGCCTGCGGGCCACCCGTGCCTTCGTGGCTGCTCGCTCCTTTGTGCAGGGCCTGGGCGTGGCCAGCGACGTGGTCCGGAAAGTGGCTCAGGTGCGCACAGCCACCCAGGGCTCTCAGAAACCCCTCCAGACCCCCATGCTCTGCCCAAGGGACTTCCTCTTCCCCCTACTTTAACCCTGTGCCCCTGGGCCTCTGGGCCAGCCTCTGACCTCAGCCCCACAGCCTCAGTCCCTCCTGCATTGGCTGCTGCCCATGGCCTGCTAACAGCGTACCCACAGATGTGAGCCTTGCTCTGGGCAGGCGGCTCTGGGCTGGCCCATCCCTGCCCAGAACCATCATGGGCCAGGATGGGAAGGGCCAGGGGCTGGGGCTGGACGCTGAGCCAGGCTGTGGAGTGAAAGTGCAGAGGAGACAGAAGAGAACAACATGCGTGGGGGCCGGGCAGGGTGGGGCCCCAGAGCCTCGCAGGCCAGGGGGATGCCTTGGTCCCTTGCGGGGCACGTGTCAGACCCAGCTAAGCTGGGACATAGGGAGGGCGTCAGCCTCAGACCCACATGCCCTGGGTGGGAACTGCCCCCACCTCCAGGCTCCTGGGCAAGTCATGCCTTGGTTTCCTCAGCGGCATGCGGGTGAGGATATTCTTGCCTCCCTGTGACCCTCGAGATCATTAAAATGAGGGCCGTCTGGGCTGGCAGGCCCTGCGAGTCAGGCAGCGACCACCACGAGCTGGGGCAGAGCAGAGGCCTCCCCTGACTTCCCTCCAGAGCCCCCTACCCTGGGGCTTCGTTAGGGGCTGGCCGGGGCCAGGCACCCCCAGGGCCTCGGGGCCTGGCTTAGGGTCCCTTGCTCCCCAGGTCCCCCTGGGCCCGGAGTGCTCGAGAGCTGTCATGAAGCTGGTCTACTGTGCTCACTGCCTGGGAGTCCCCGGCGCCAGGCCCTGCCCTGACTATTGCCGAAATGTGCTCAAGGGCTGCCTTGCCAACCAGGCCGACCTGGACGCCGAGTGGAGGAACCTCCTGGGTGAGCCCCCACCCGCGAGAGCGGCCTGGAACTGTCTTGGGGAGTGCACGACTGGGGGTCCTGGGGGGCGGGTGGTCCCTAGCTTAGAGCTTGGACCCAGGGACCTGATCAGGGATGCCCTGACCCGGGCCAGATCTGGGTGGTGCTGCAGGGTTGAGGGGCCAGGGTGCCTTTTGAATGTCCTGAGTGATGTGTGACTTGGGGCAGCTGCCAGGGAGGGAGCCCTGTGGGGTCATAGTTTCTTGTCCTTCCCCACTTAGCAAGCACCTCGGTGTGCATACATGCCAACACGTGTGACTCATCGAGGACCGGCACTTGTTTAAGCTAACACATACATGCACCGTCACATGACAGGCTGACACATGCGAACTGGCGTGCTCACTTGCTGACACACAGTGGGCCAGTGCCCACCAGTACAGCGTGTGCTCCTGGGCGCATGTGATGACATGAGCTGGGCTGACCCGCATCAATGCCAACACGTGTGTGGTAATATGTACATGCTTATCCAGATCCACTAACATGTACACATGCTTACATGAGGGGGGACAGCATGCATCTGTGCCAACACGTGCTAGCATGTGCTGACACGGGGCCAACAGGTGTGTGCTAACGTGATGGGAGCTGACAAAATGCATGAGCTTTACTTGTACATGTGCTCACCGTGCACGCAACACACACATGAACTAAGGTGTACATGGGGGGGGCATGAGGTAAGCCAGCATGCATACACACCAGCTCACACGGGCTCATGTGCACACAAGCTGGACCAAGGTGAGCCAGCGTATGTACATGTCAACACCTGCATGAGCCAGCGTGGACATACGAGACACGGCAGGCCAGCAAGCATGCAGAATGGCCTCTGTGTATGTGCGTGTTCACCTGTGCCCGTGGCACAGGTGCACACGTGGGTGTGGGCCAAGCTGAGTGCACGTGGCCTGCACATGTCACACGGGCCAACCTGAGTGCACACGTGGGATCTCCCATGCTGACCCGTGCTGTCAAGACTGCATTAACATGCACACGTGGTGACGCCTGCGTGTGCGTGTCAACGCCTGTGTGCGCGCGTTAACGCCTGTGTGTCCGCGTGTTAACGCCTGTCCTAGACTCCATGGTGCTCATCACCGACAAGTTCTGGGGTACATCGGGTGTGGAGAGTGTCATCGGCAGCGTGCACACGTGGCTGGCGGAGGCCATCAACGCCCTCCAGGACAACAGGGACACGCTCACGGCCAAGGTGCGGGCAGGAGGACGTGACGAGCACAGCGGGGTGGGGGTCCTGGATGTGGCCCCATTGGGCTTGAGGGGCCCCACTACCCCCCAAGGACCCTGCAGTGTCTCTCCAGGTCATCCAGGGCTGCGGGAACCCCAAGGTCAACCCCCAGGGCCCCGGGCCTGAGGAGAAGCGGCGCCGGGGCAAGCTGGCCCCGCGGGAGAGGCCACCTTCAGGCACGCTGGAGAAGCTGGTGAGTGGCCCCTGCGTGTCCACTGGACCAGGCATGAGGGAGGCAGACAGGCAGAGGCGGGCGGGCCCTGGCAGCCCAGTGGCCTGACTGCTGCCCCACAGGTCTCCGAAGCCAAGGCCCAGCTCCGCGACGTCCAGGACTTCTGGATCAGCCTCCCAGGGACACTGTGCAGTGAGAAGATGGCCCTGAGCACTGCCAGTGATGACCGCTGCTGGAACGGGATGGCCAGAGGCCGGTAGGTGCCCACCTGGCTGGCACAGCCCTCCCTCCCATGCCGCCTCCATTGGGCTGTGCCTGGGCCAGGTGCTGTCTGCACGGGGCCACGTCCCTTGCTGGAGGGCTTGAGCCCCACTTCTCTGCGGCCTGTGTGGGCTCTGCTCGGTCCCTGGAAGCTGCTGGGCATCTCAGGCTCAGAGCGTGGGAGAGTGTCCTGCTCAGGTGATGGCCCTTTGCAGGGGCTGGAGCAGTGACCTGGGCTCTGCCTGCCTTTCCCCCAGGTACCTCCCCGAGGTCATGGGTGACGGCCTGGCCAACCAGATCAACAACCCCGAGGTGGAGGTGGACATCACCAAGCCGGACATGACCATCCGGCAGCAGATCATGCAGCTGAAGATCATGACCAACCGGCTGCGCAGCGCCTACAACGGCAACGACGTGGACTTCCAGGACGCCAGTGAGGGCAGGGCCTGGCCGGGCGGCCAAGGGGCCAGGGTTGGTGGGGGTGCCACAGGGGTGTGACTGCCCTCCGGGTTCCCCCACCCGAGGGGCCCTCTGCTCCGGCATCACCACAGTGAGTCTGAGGACGCTGTGCTGCCCAGGCACGATCACCGAGCCCTGCACCTCTGCGGCGCCCTGGAGGCCTGGCCGGGATGTCTGTTGGCTTTGGCTCCAGGGACCAAGGGAGGCAGCCCCAGGGAGTGAGAGTCTCCCAGCCTCAGGGGTCAGCGGGGATCAGGTGCTGCTGGTCCTGGGATTCCACACCGAAAGGATGTTGGGGTCACCTGGCACGGGCCCTTACAGGGTGGTGCTGCACTGGGGTCTCCTGTGGGGACCTGCCTGCCGGAGCCTCCTCTCCTTCCCAGGTGACGACGGCAGCGGCTCGGGCAGCGGTGATGGCTGTCTGGATGACCTCTGCAGCCGGAAGGTCAGCAGGAAGAGCTCCAGCTCCCGGACGCCCTTGACCCATGCCCTCCCAGGCCTGTCAGAGCAGGAAGGACAGAAGACCTCGGCTGCCAGCTGCCCCCAGCCCCCGACCTTCCTCCTGCCCCTCCTCCTCTTCCTGGCCCTTACAGTAGCCAGGCCCCGGTGGCGGTAACTGCCCCAAGGCCCCAGGGACAGAGGCCAAGGACTGACTTTGCCAAAAATACAACACAGACGATATTTAATTCACCTCAGCCTGGAGAGGCCTGGGGTGGGACAGGGAGGGCCGGCGGCTCTGAGCAGGGGCAGGCGCAGAGGTCCCAGCCCCAGGCCTGGCCTCGCCTGCCTTTCTGCCTTTTAATTTTGTATGAGGTCCTCAGGTCAGCTGGGAGCCAGTGTGCCCAAAAGCCATGTATTTCAGGGACCTCAGGGGCACCTCCGGCTGCCTAGCCCTCCCCCCAGCTCCCTGCACCGCCGCAGAAGCAGCCCCTCGAGGCCTACAGAGGAGGCCTCAAAGCAACCCGCTGGAGCCCACAGCGAGCCTGTGCCTTCCTCCCCGCCTCCTCCCACTGGGACTCCCAGCAGAGCCCACCAGCCAGCCCTGGCCCACCCCCCAGCCTCCAGAGAAGCCCCGCACGGGCTGTCTGGGTGTCCGCCATCCAGGGTCTGGCAGAGCCTCTGAGATGATGCATGATGCCCTCCCCTCAGCGCAGGCTGCAGAGCCCGGCCCCACCTCCCTGCGCCCTTGAGGGGCCCCAGCGTCTGCAGGGTGACGCCTGAGACAGCACCACTGCTGAGGAGTCTGAGGACTGTCCTCCCACAGACCTGCAGTGAGGGGCCCTCCATGCGCAGATGAGGGGCCACTGACCCACCTGCGCTTCTGCTGGAGGAGGGGAAGCTGGGCCCAAAGGCCCAGGGAGGCAGCGTGGGCTCTGCCAATGTGGGCTGCCCCTCGCACACAGGGCTCACAGGGCAGGCCTTGCTGGGGTCCAGGGCTGTTGGAGGACCCCGAGGGCTGAGGAGCAGCCAGGACCCGCCTGCTCCCATCCTCACCCAGATCAGGAACCAGGGCCTCCCTGTTCACGGTGACACAGGTCAGGGCTCAGAGTGACCCTCAGCTGTCACCTGCTCACAGGGATGCTGGTGGCTGGTGAGACCCCGCACTGCAGACGGGAATGCCTAGGTCCCTTCCCGACCCAGCCAGCTGCAGGGCACGGGGACCTGGATAGTTAAGGGCTTTTCCAAACATGCATCCATTTACTGACACTTCCTGTCCTTGTTCATGGAGAGCTGTTCGCTCCTCCCAGATGGCTTCGGAGGGCCGCAGGGCCCACCTTGGACCCTGGTGACCTCCTGTCACTCACTGAGGCCATCAGGGCCCTGCCCCAGGCCTGGACGGGCCCTCCTTCCCTCCTGTGCCCCAGCTGCCAGGCGGCCCTGGGGAGGGGTGGTGTGGTGTTGGGAAGGGGTCCTGCAGGGGGAGGAGGACTTGGAGGGTCTGGGGGCAGCTGTCCTGAACCGACTGACCCTGAGGAGGCCGCTTAGTGCTGCTTTGCTTTTCATCACCGTCCCGCACAGTGGACGGAGGTCCCCGGTTGCTGGTCAGGTCCCCATGGCTTGTTCTCTGGAACCTGACTTTAGATGTTTTGGGATCAGGAGCCCCCAACACAGGCAAGTCCACCCCATAATAACCCTGCCAGTGCCAGGGTGGGCTGGGGACTCTGGCACAGTGATGCCGGGCGCCAGGACAGCAGCACTCCCGCTGCACACAGACGGCCTAGGGGTGGCGCTCAGACCCCACCCTACGCTCATCTCTGGAAGGGGCAGCCCTGAGTGGTCACTGGTCAGGGCAGTGGCCAAGCCTGCTGTGTCCTTCCTCCACAAGGTCCCCCCACCGCTCAGTGTCAGCGGGTGACGTGTGTTCTTTTGAGTCCTTGTATGAATAAAAGGCTGGAAACCTACAGCAGGGCGAGGCCTCGGGGGGAGAGAGAATGTGTGCGTATGTGTGTGTGTGTCTGTCTGTCTGGGGCTTGGGCATGGACCACACTTCCGTGTTTGGGGTGAACGTGCAGCCCCTGCCAGCTGCGCCCTTCAGCCTGTCTGCAGCTCCACCTTGCCCTGGACAGACTCCGGTCTGTCCGCCCCTCTCCTTGGTGCAGGGGAGAAGGAAAAGGCCAGGGCACGGAGACCCAGATGGCCTCCAGCAGGCCCCACCTCCCATCTACCTCTTCCTGCCTCCTGCCCCTGCTCTGGGCACACACAGCACAGAGATCCTCTACCCCTGGAAGGTTCTGGTTCCTGCCAGGTGGCCTCAGAGATGCCCAAGGGGCTAGAGAGAAGGAACCAGCATTGTCCCAAGGATGCCCTGGTGGTCCAGTTTGTCCCCAGCCACCTTTCTCTCGAGGCGGAGGGTCCTGTATAACCCTAGGGGCTCCCTATAGCCCCGCTCCTGTTCCTGTGGGGTCATGGCCAGAGGCTAAGTGGCACGGCGGCACTGGCAGAAGCGCCCACTGTTCTGGGTGTGTCCCTCAACTGCTTTATTGAGAATTGCAGCCAGTACAGGTTGGTCTGGTGAACATTTTTAACATTGCGTTTCCATCATCTGGGACCCAGGAATAGAGGGCCCCCTAGCAACTGGGACCTCCAGGCCCCTTGTGAGCGTGAGAGCACAGAGGGGTGGGTGGGCACCCCAGGAGGGAGATGCAGCTCCACCCAGCCCTGCTGAACTCCACTGCTTAGTAGGTCCCAGCTCCGGGCAGGACGAAGGGCTGCACACAGGCCTCCCACAAAGCATCTGCAGCCGCCAGGTCCCTGGTAGCCACGGTCCTCACTTGCAGGCCCCTCCGCAAGTCCCAGAGGCCCGGCTCCTCCCCTGGGAAATGAGGGTGGGGTGGAGTCCTCTCCGTGGCGGGCCAGGGGATGCAGCCTGGGGGCTCAGCGGGGCCCCTAGGGGACAGGTGAGCAGCCAGACACTCATCAGCGGCTGTAGTTGTGGACAACGCATTTGGTCCAGCCGGCAGGATCTCAGGCTTCCAGGCACCACCTTGCCCAGCTGCTTCAAGACTTCCACAAGCCCTTTTTGAACCTGGGCAAATGCATCTTTCATGTCAGGGAAAGGAGGACACAGGTGCGTGTGCACTCTGTGCAGAGCCGACACCACGCCAGGAGTGGGTGGGCAGGGGCACCCGGCTGGTCTCAGCCCTGCCTTCCCGGCCACACCTCAGACCACCAGGGAGCTCCCAAGTTCTGCCCACCCTAGTGCTGCCCCAAGAGGCTGCTCAGGGAGAGACCCCTTCCAGCCAGGGCTGGCTCTCAGTCCCTCTCGGTTCCTCACAGGAATTCCAGAAGCCACAGACAAACTGACCCACCCACACTGATGGGCAGAGAGCAGCCCCTCAGTCAGCCTCCCTTGAGCAGCTCAGCCCAGCCGTGGTGGGTGGCCCCAGCGTCTCCCACACCATCTGCAGGCAGCCCCGGCAGGCCAGCATGGGTGTCTGCTCCACACGAACATACACCCATCACACGGTGCACACACATGCACATGTGCACTCCACATTTACACACACAAACGAACACATACAACACCCTGTACATGCACACACAAGCACACATATCCATACACGTGCACACACTTCTGCACATGCACGTCCTCACATGCCCACATGCCCATGCACATGTGCACACTCCTACACATGTACACACATGCACACACATAGGTATGAACACGTACAATGCCCTGTGCATACACACACAAGCACACATATCCATACACGTGCACACACATCCTCCTGCACATGCATGCACTCACATGTACACATGCCCATACACATGCATGCACATGTGCACAGGCCTATGCACGTGCACACATGTAGACAGGTACACATGCCCATACACACATGCACACATTACATACATGCACAGTATACACGCATGCACTCACACAGAGACAGACACACCCGTGGGTGCACACACTGCTCCTGTCCAGGTGACCCTAAGTATTCTTTATCTGGGGACAAGGCCCTCTGTCGAGAAACACCATTTATAATCGCAGTGCTCCCTTGAGTTTGGGACAGACGACTAACTCCCACCTCTCAGTCCACCTTCCTCCTGCCCTAAGCCACTACTGAAATCATGGAAGGACCATAACTGGGCGTCCATCTCTCCAACAGACAGCATGTGTCACAGCCATCAAAGAAGTGGGTAGAGTCTAGGGAAGGTGGGATTCTGAGAGACCCCAACAAGGCCACCACAGCTTTCCTGAGGGGAAAGCACACAGGCTTCACAGACGCCAGGGCTGTGGATGAGCCGGAGGCAGTCACTGCCCAGCAAGCTCTCCCCGTGTGCACAGCAGCCCCTCCCAGATGAGACCACCCCACAAAGCAAAACCAGTGAGTCTAAACATTTCCCTCCTTCTTTCATATGGCCTGGAAATATGAACAGGAACCCTCATGGTTTCTAGCACAAACCCATGTTTACACTCAATCTGGGAAAGCACAAAAAAAGAGCCAGTAAAAAACTCATAGGAGACGTCAAAATATGCAGCATCGGCCTGGGAAGTCAGACCAAGCGTCCTGATGTGAGAATTAAAAGAAACAGGAGGAAACACTGGGAAATGTTGACTTTGAAAAGATCACAGCAACACAGTAGACTCAGCTAAAATAACCCCCTCTCCTCACAGACACGTTGAAATTCTGGAAAAAGTCAGTTTCGCAAAGTTAATACCTATCTGAGGTCACAGGAGAGCTAAAAACCTCATGTGCTGAAAAGAAAAACAAAGTGAGAGGCTTCAATGAATGGGAAGTGGGGAGAGTGGTGTATCAGGCACAGAAATACCCTCTCAGGATAGAAGCTTGGGGTGAGGGGTACCCACAGACCTGGGTGAGGGCTGGGAGCTGGAACTGGAACCCCAGGTGACCTGGAAACCGCAAAGAAACGAAGTTCTCCCTATTGCCAGAGATGGGCCAGGGAAGCTTTTGCTGCCTAGGGATCTGGGCAGGAAAAAAAAAATCCTCCTTTTTGAAGAATCAGTGGCTGGTGACAAAAGATAATGAGTAAATACAAAAGTACCTAGAGGGTTTGTCCACAGTGAGGAAGTGAGATTCCCTCAGAGAAATCACAACGCCTCAGGGACAGGAACTCAAATTCTTTTTTTTTTTTTTTTTGAGACAGAGTATCTGTCTGTCACCAGGCTGGAGTGCAGTGGTGTGATCTCAGCTCACTGCGACCTCTGCCTCCCGGGTTCAAGCGATTCTCCTGCCTCAGCCTCCCAAGTAGCTGAGATTACAAGATTCTTTAAAATTTCAAAATGAAAAAATAAAATAAAATCTGCCACCAGAGCCAGCAGCACCCTGAGAACTTTAGATGACAGAGCAAACTGAAATGGTCTATAAAATAAGTATTTTGTGTTATCAAAGCGAAAAGGGGGAGAAATAGAAACCATAAGGATAGAACAATTCCATTTTTAAAAAGAAAAAACAAGGAGATTGGAAAAAGTACCAAGTGGAAGTAATGTCAGCAAGATGGCAGAACAGGGGACCCCCTGCTTTTAGCCACCCATTGCAACAAGAATTTGGCAGCCATCCACACACAAAAGTGCCTTCGTGGGAGCCTCAGGACTCTGGTAGGAGGCTGGGAAATCCTGATGGAGCCCAACTGAGAAGGGCTGTTTTAAGAGGGCAGGTTTGCACCCAGGTTGCAGCTCGCCAAATGGGGTCCTTTGCAGATCCAGAAATGGCCTCATCCCCCTATGGACTCAATGGCAGCCTTGTTTGGCTCTCCTGACACAGGAACCATCTGCCCAGGGATCTCCTGGAAGATACCCCAGTCCATCCCCCCTGAAGGCAGGCCCACCAACCTTGGTTCCACTGCAGATCCCGAAATAGCCCTGTAAGTCAGCTCCAACCCCTCAGCTGCAGTCTGAAAGCAGTCCTGCCTTCCCAAGGACGTGCTGGGAGACACTCGTCTGAGTTAGGCCACAAAATCCCAAAAGAAGTGTTGAAATGGTTCTGAGTTTACTCCATCCTTCCCCAGTCACAGTCCTGGAGCGGTCCTGCCCACCCAGGGATACTGAGACAAGCCCAGCTGTACGCTGGGAGGCAGGCCTACCAATCCACGGCCGCACGCGGGGAGGCAGGCCTACCAATCTACGGCCGCACGCGGGGAGGCAGGCCTACCAATCTACAACTGCACAGGCTGAAGGAGCCCTGTGACCCAGCTCCAGCCCCACTCTGCCATGGTCTGAAGGCAGTCCTGCCCTCCCCAAGAACCTGACAGGAGGCATGCCCATCTGTGCCCCCAAAGGCAGGCCTACAGACCTCAGTCTCAGCTGTGAGCCTTAAACCAGCCTTGTGACTTGGTTTCATCTCCTTTTAACCACAGTCTGGGGTCAGTCCTGCCTGTCAGGGACTCACGCAGTGACTGAGTGCACCCTTGTCCCAGAGCTAGCCCTGTTCCTCAAGGTCTTAGAGGCAGTCCAGTCTGCCCAGGGACCAGACATGTTCAATGCCTGCTCCTTCCCTGAATAGACTCACCAACCACAAACCCCACTGTAGACTCAGCAGCAGCCATGTGACTAAACTAATCCTGGAGGCAACCCTTCAGAGACCCAACAGATCTTTATCTGCCAAAAATCAGTCTGTAAAGGCTGAAAGAGGTGTTTGCTGCTTCAAATTGAGACACCAATGCAAGGCTCTATGAATAATAAAGAATCAGGCCAACATGATGCCACAGCTGGGCATGGTGGCTCATGCCTGTCATCCCAGCACTTTGGGAGGCTGAGGCAGGTAGGTTGCTTGAGGTCAGGAGTTCGAGACCAGCCTGGCCAACACGGTGAAACCTCGTCTCTACTAAAAATATAAAAATTAACCAGACATGGTGGTGCATGCTTGTAATCCCACTACTCAGGAGGCTGAGGTGGGAGAATCTCTTGAACCCGGGAGACGGAGGCTGCAGTGAGCTGAGATTGTGCCACTGTACTCCAGCCTGGGCGACAAGAGTGAAACTCTGTCTAAAAAAAAAAAAAAAACAAAAAAAACCACCAAAAGAAACTAGTAAAGCTCCAGTAAGTGATCCCAAAGAAATAAAGATCTATAAATTGCCTGACAATTCAAAACAATCATCTTAAAAAAACTCAATAACATGCGAGATAACTGAGACAACCAAAAAAATAAGAAAAACAAATGCATAAAATGTAAAGTTTAATAGAAAAATGGAAACCATAAAAAAGAACCAAATAGAAGTCCTAGAGCTGAAAAACACAATGACAAAATTGAAAAATTCAATAAAGAGCTTCAACAGACTCGATCATACAGAAGAAAGAATTGGTAAACTTGAAGACAAATTATTTAAAACTAACCAATTAACCAAAAAAAAAAAAAGAATAAAAAGGAGTAAGTATTAAAGAGTGAAAAAAGCATACGGGACCTACGGAGACCAACAAGAAAATAAATATGTGAATTATAGAAGTCTCAAAAGAAGACAGAAACAAAGGGGCAGAAAGCTTATTTAAAGAAACAAAGGCGGAAAACTTTCCAAAGTTGGGGTAGATATGGACAGATTCCATATGGATGTGGATATATGTTGATGCAAGGTTCAACATATGAAAACCTATAAATGTGATACACCATATTAACAGAATAAAGGATAACAATCATATGGTCATCTCAATAGATACAGAAAAAGTATTTGACAAAATTCAACATCCTGTTTCGGTAAAAACTCTCAACAAACTAGATACAGAAGGAATATACCTCAACATAATAGAGGACATATACAACAAGCCTACAGCTAACATTACACTCAATAGTGAAAAGCTGAAAGCATTTCCTCTAAGATCACGAACAAGACAAGGGTGCCCACTTTCACCACTTCTATTTAATGTGTTATTGGAAGTCCTTGCCAGAGCAATTAGCAAGAAAGGAAATAAAAGGCATCCACATCAGAAAGGAGGAAGTTAAACTGTCTCTGTTTGCCAATAACATGATCTTTTTTTTTTTATTTGAGACAGAGTCTCACTCTGTCGCCCAGACTGGAGTGCAGTGGCGCAATCTTGGCTCACTGCAAGCTCCGCCTCCCAGGTCCATGCCATTCTCCTGCCTCAGCCTCCTGAGTAGCTGGGACTACAGGCGCCCACCACCATGCCTGGCTAATTTTTTTTTTTTTTTTTTTTTTTTTTTAGTAGAGACGGGTTTCACTGTGTTAGCCAGGATGGTCTAAATCTCCTGACCTTGTGATCCACCCGCCTCGGCCTCCCAAAGTGCTGGGATTACAGGCGTGAGCCACCGCGCCAGGCCAACATGATCTTTTAAAAAACAACTTTTAGGTTCAGGGGTACATGTGCAAGTTTCTTATATAGGTAAACTCGTGTCATGGGGGGTTGTTGTACAGATTGTTCCATCACCCAGATACTAAACCTAGTACCTAATAGTTATTTTTTCTAATCTCTCCAACCTCTTACCCTCCACCCTCAAGTAGGATTCAGTGTCTGTTGTTCCCCTTTTTTGTATCCAAATGTTTTAATCATTTAGATCCTACTTAATATAAGTGAGAACATGTGGTATTTAGTTTTCTGTTCCTGCGTTAGTTTGCTAAGGATAATAGCCTCCAGCTCCATCCACATTCCTGCAAAGGACATGATCTCATTCTTTTTTATGGCTGCATAGTACTTCATGGTGTATATGTACCACATTTTCTTGATCTAATCTACCACTGATGGACATTTATATTGATTCCATGTCCTTGCTATTGTGAATACAACTACAATGAACATATGTGTGCATATATGTCTTTATGGTAGAAAAATTTATATTCCTTTAGGTACATACCCAGTGATGGGATTGCTGGGTCAAGTGACAGCTCTGTTTTTAGCTCTTTGAGGAATCACCACACTGCTTTCCACAATGGCTGAACTAATTTACATTCCCACCAGCAATGCATATGCATTCCCTTTTCTCTGCAATCTCACCTGTATCTATTAATTTTACTTTTAATCATAGCCATTCTGACTGGTGTGAGATGGTATCATATTGTGGTTTTGATTTGCAGTTCTCTAATGATCAGTGATATTAAGCTTTTTTCATATGCTTGTTGGCTAGATACATATGTCTTCTTTTGAAGAGTGGACATGATCTCTTACATACACAAAATTCTAAAAGTTCCACCAAAAAACCTGTTAGAATAAATGAATTCATTAAAGTTGCAAGATACAATATCAACATACAAAAATTAGTTGTGTTTTTATGCACTAACAATGAACTATCTGAAAAGGAAATTAAGAAAACAATCCCATTTACAATAGCATAAAAATAACAAAATACTTAGCAATAAATTTAAGCAAGGTAAAAGATCCTTGCTTAAATACTTAAATAAAATACTTAGCAATAAATTTAAGCGAGGTAAAAGAACCTTGCTTAAATACTTAAATAAAATACTTAGCAATAAATTTAAGGGAGGTAAAGGATCCTCACTTAAATTTATTGCTAATTATTTTATTATTTTTATGCTATTGTAAATGGCATTGTTTTCTTAATTTCTTTTTCAGATAGTTCATTGTTAGTGCATAAAAACACAACTAATTTTTGTATGCTGATATTGTATCTTGCAACTTTAATGAATTCATTATTACGTCTAACAGGTTTTTTGGTGGAACTTTTAGAATATATACTGAATACCATAAATATATAAATACTATAAAATATAGAATATATACTGCAAACTATAAAATATTGATGAGAGAAATTAAGGTACAAACAAATGGAAGACATTTTATGTTCATGGATTGGAAGAATACTGTTAAAATGTCCATACTACCCAAAGCAGTTTACAAACTCAATGCAATGTCTATCAAAATTCCAATGGCATTTTTTTTTACAGAAATAGCAAAAACAATCTTAAAATTTGTGTGGAATCACAAAATACTCTAAACAGCTAAAGCAATCTTGCAAAAGAACAACAAATCTGGATATATCACACATCCTGTTTTAAAGTATATTACAAAGCTGTAGTAATCAAAACAATATGATACAGTCATAAAAACAGATACAATGAAACAGAATATAGAGTCCAGAAATAAACTCACACATATGCAGCCAACTAATCTTTGACAAGGGGACCAAGAATATACAATAGCAAAAGGAGCCTCTTTAGCAAATGGCGCTTGGAAAGTCGGATATGTACATGCAGAAGAGAGAAATTGGACCCTTATCTTACACCATATACCCTTATCTTACACCATATACCAAGTGACCACAGTATCATCTCACAAGCCAGAAAACTCTGCTCAAAAGATGCCAACTGTCTGCCAATCAAATGAAACAAGATAATTGCTAAGTCCCAACGAGACATTTTAGAACTTGACACACACTGCACAATTCATCTGGAAGAAAAAGCACATGGTCACCGCAGGGCCTTTCACAGGGCCGGTGAAGAGGAGGGTGGGCCTGTCCTGGCAGATGTGAAAAGGCCACAGAGCTGCAGGTGGAGACAGCAGAGCACAGAAGGGGCCCCTACGGCAACTAAGAGGCAGGCATATGCCCACCAGGGAAAAGAAATGGATTACTCGATCACGCCCATTGTTTGGGGATAGATCTAGATAGCTGGCTCTCAAACCTTACACAAAAATTAATGCTAGATTGGTTATACAATTACAGGTTAAGCAGTAATTCATTAAAACGGTGGTGAGAATCTGGGCAAAGGCTACCCTTGCATACATAAGCCCAGCAAGGGACTGCTCTCTACGCACTCCAGCAAGCCAGGCCCTGAGGAAAGGACACGTGGATTTCACAACACGAGAAAAACTTCCACGTGCAAACTGCAAACTGCAAGACAGTTATTTGCACACAAGGCATAGGAGAAGTTGCTGTGCTTTAGAGAGTTCCCATCCATCAGGAAGAGCAAACATCTCCAATGAAAAGGGACCAGTGGAGGCCGGGCGCAGTGGCTCACGCCTGTAATCCCAGCACTTTGGGAGGCTGAGGTGGGTGGATCACGAGGTCAGGAGTTTGAGACCAGCCTGCCCAACGTGGAGAAACCC
The DNA here is from genome assembly GCF_000001405.40 of Homo sapiens. Taxonomy (NCBI): domain Eukaryota; kingdom Metazoa; phylum Chordata; class Mammalia; order Primates; family Hominidae; genus Homo; species Homo sapiens. The sequence continues at coordinate 240,477,145 of NC_000002.12, forward strand.
CATCTCTACTAAAAATACAAAATTAGCTGGGCGTGGTGGCGCATGCCTATGATCCCAGCTACTTAGGAGGCTGAGGCAGGAGAATCGCTTGAACCCAGGAGGCAGAGGTTGCAGTGAGCCAAGACCCTGCCATTGCACTCCAGCCTGGGTAACAAGAGAGAAACTCTGTCTCAAAAAAAATAATAAAAATAAAGAATATGTTCCCCAAAATGCTCAGAATGCTTATCCCTGAATTTTAAGATTAAGATGATTTTCTCATTTTTAAAAATTAGTTGTTAGCATCTTTCTCTCATCCAGGCCAGAGCACAGTGGTGCCATCACAGCTCACTGTAGCCTCACACTCCTAGTTCAAGCAATCCTCCCACCACAGCCTCCTGAGTAGCTGGGACTACGGTGTGTGCGACCACACCTGACTAAGATCTTTTTTTTAGAGACAGGGTCTATGTTGCCCAGGCTGGTCTGGAACTCCGGGGCTCAAGCAATCCGCCTGCCTCGGCCTCCCAAGTCACTGGGATCACAGGTATATGCCACCTCCCCCAGTTATTTTTATCACTCTTGTCTTTGCTGTCTTCTTTCTTAAATAAGCGTATATTGCATATATAATAAAAAATAAAGCTATATTCATTTGGGGAAATTATGTTGCAGAAAAATATTTAATAACATAGATGTTCATGGCCTAGTTCAGAACAGAGAGGATGCTCCCACTTTTAGATACACGTCTGTCTGTGTGCACTCATGCCTGTAGAGATCAGAAGGACACACACAAAGCGTTGGCCATGGTAATATCCAGGTGTCTGTGATACGCTTTGGATCTATGTCTCTGCCCAAATCTCATGTTAAATTGTAATCCCCAATGTGGGAGGTGATTGGATCCCGGGGGCAGACTTCCCCATCTGGTGCAGTTCTCGTGGTCATAGAATTCTCACGAGATCTGGCTGTTTTGAAAAGTGTGTGGCAGCCCCTCCCCTTCCTCCCGCTCCAGCCATGCGAAGTGCCGGCTTCCCCTTCTCCTTCCGCCATGATTGAAGCTGAGCACATGCCGCCATGTTTCCTGTGCAGCCTGCAGAACCCTGAGCCAATTAAACCTCCTTTCTTTATACATTTTCCGGTCTCTGATATGTACGTGTAGCAGTGCGAGAATGGACTAATACAGTGCGGATAATTGTCACTTACAGGTTCTTTCTTTTGCTTTGTAGATATTCTCTAACTTTTATAGAATTAAGTGTACCATCAAATAAGTATCCATTAGCAGCTTTTTCCTTTCTAGCAGAGGTAGTGGAAGCCGGGGGTGCCTACACCCACCCAGCATCCCAGACCCCCCTGAGCAGGAACAGCTCTTGGCGGCAGGGAGCCAGCTCACACAGTTACGACCCTCCCAGGGGCAGCCTGTGGCTGGTGACCAGCCGATGCAGGGGTACAAAGGCCTGGTCCCTGCGTCCGTTGGGAGCCCCTATGAAGAGCCACCCAGCGGTCAGCTTGTCCCTCTGCCCAGGCTCACTGCTGACCCCTTACAGAAGCCTTTCCCAGGGCACCCCCAACAAACCCCCAGCATGGAGCCCATCTTTGGCGAGACCAGGAAAGTCAGTAAAAAAAAAAAATCACTGCAGGTGCAGCTGCTTTGACAGCCACAAGCCAGCCTGGAGCGGGGTCTCACCTGCTTGGCTCCAGCCCCGACACAGGCTCCCACCCCCCACACTCCCAGCTATTCTGCCCTCAGCAGCAAACCCCCATCGTCCTCATCCCTGGACGCTGTCCCCTTGTCTCCGGGGATGCTGTCGTCCTTCTCCAGGTCCGCCCCTCACTGCGCATCTTCCCCTGCCCTCTCCGTGAATTTCCACGCAGGCCACCCTCGAAGGCAACACTGCTCCCTGTCATGTGCTCCAGGCCCTCCTTCCTCTCATTCCCAGTGATTTCCACAAACACCATCGTCCCCAGAACACTCAGCACACAGCAGACACTCCGTAAGTGCACGGGGAACAAACGAGCACCGCAAACCCCAGTAGGAGCCTTGCACCCATGGGCACCTGAGCAGGGAGTGGAGCCTGCTGCCGCGGGCTCCTGGCAAGGTCCCAGAACAAGCTCCAGAGACCCAGGAGCTGCCCCCACCGCCATCTCTGCAGCAGGCTCCGAGTCCTGACCCTCACCTGCCTCGTCCATCAGGATGGCCCAGGCCATGCCCCATGGGAGGCCAAGCAAGATCAAAGCCAGGGGCAGAGGCAGGCACGGGCTCCACAAAAGCTCTGGGACTTTGCCCAGCTAGGGGCAGAGCACAGCACAGACTGTCAAAATCACCCCGTGGGGCCAATTTATTGCGAGGTCGCAAGGGAGACACTGCTACAAAGCATGACCCCAAAGGTGCAGAAATGCCTGCATTAGGCTGGAAGATTCCCTGAGGTGGCTCAGGCAGGTAAGAAACCCACACAGTCCTGGGTCCTCCCCAAGCCTCGGACGTGCAGCTGCTGCTTCACTGGAATTCTTCTCTCCTCCTGGAAACTTGCTCCAGTTGTGTCACTGGAGGAGGAAAAGGTGTGGGGGAGGGGGAAGAGGGGGCTGGAGCTGGCCTCCCCCGAGGCCTGGCTCCAGAACTCGGGCTGTGTGGGGCGGCTGAGGACTGTGCTCTGTCTAGAGCTTTTGCAGGCAAGGAGTCGGGATGCAGCAAGGACTGAGGGCTATCTGCCGTGACTCTTCAAAGAGGGGCCTGCCACACCCACCAAGTCCCATCCTGGAGTCTACAAGCCAAGGAGCTGCGACCTCACCGAGGGCGCCTGTTATTAAAAGCCCCATTGGCTGCGCGCGGTGGCTCATGCCTGTAATCCCAGCACTTTGGGAGGCCGAGGTGGGTGGATCACCAGATCAGGAGATCGAGACCATCCTGGCTAACACGGTGAAACCACGTCTCTACTAAAAATACAAAAAATTAGCCTGTAATCCCAGCTACTCGGGAGGCTGAGGCAGGAGAATCACTGGAACCGGGGAGGCGGAGGTTGCAGTGAGCCAAGATCATGCCACTGCACTCCAGACTTGGCGACAGAGCAAGACTTCGTCTCAAAAGAAAACAAAAAGCCCCATTTTATGGAGGGGGAAGGAGGTCAGCAGCCATTCACTTCAGGGCACAGGCCTAAGGGGGCAGGGGCTTTCCCAGACCCACTCCCGTCCCCACCAGGCCGGGAACCCAGCCAGGTCCCAGTAGAGCGGTCACCACTGCACAGCTTCGCACACCAGCCTCGGCAATGCCCGCCACCCTTGCGGCACCGGGCCCTGTTCACACCAAGGAGGTGAGGAGGGGCTTGCGGGAGACCAGAGTGTTTCTAGAAGCAGACACCTGTTGACGTCCACACTAAGACAGACATCTGAGACGGCAGGCTGGGAGGAAATTTCCTGAAGGAGCCCCAAGGCCAACTGCCCTGTGGTCCAGAGGCACTGGTGACCAGCAGAGCCCCCAGGTGTCAGTGAAGCCTCTGGATGTCAGCAGAGCCCCCTAGGAGTTCAGTGAAGCTCCCAGGTGTCAGCAGAGCCCCCAGGGGTCCATGTTCCAGCTCTGCAGGGATGGGGTGGTGTCCCCTTCCAGGACGAGGACAAGCATTATGCTGCCACAGTAGGTGAGGAAGAGCCAGGCTGCCTCAGTGGCCCCGATGCCCACCTCCCAACAGGCCGATCTGGAAATGTTGGGAAAGTGGCCTGAATCTGGAGAGATTTTGGGAAATGAGGGTGCCCCTCACCAGCACCCCAGGCCTGCGCCTTCGCCCTCAGCAGCAGCGGAACCCTTGCCTCCCAGCCTGAGGGCCGACCTACCGATGGCCACCAGGTCCCCGCAGTCCTTCTTGTGGAACTCGGTCCAGGCCTTGGTCTTGCAGTACTTGCTGCAGGTCAGGATCCCGTAGCAGCGAGGGCAGGGCAAGAGGCGGACCCCGATGGAGCGGCCACACTGGTAGCAGAACTTGAAGAAGGGAATTCTGCAACAGAGCCTCACCGTCAGCAGGCGGCCACTCCAGAACCTGCTTCCCCACAAACAGCCGCTGCCTGGGAGCTGTGCCTGGCCCTGAGCTCCTGGGCTATTCCCCACCGTCCCGCACTGTCCCCTGCATTGGGCAGCCTTCACACACAGACAAAAACCCCCAAGTCCTCGTCCTGAGGATGTTCAGCACAGTGATATTTAGAATAGGAAACCAACACATTCCGAGCTCTGGGAACCACCTGTGCCCACCAGTAGGGGCTGGTTCAGTGAATGCACATCCATTCAGGAGACCGCCGTGGGGCCACACACACGATGGTGCGGAACTCCTAGGCACATAGGGAAATGTCTGTGGTACAGTGTTGCATGGGAGAAGTGACTCTTCGAGGGCAGGGCATGGAGGCTGCCTTTGGGGTGAAACTCTAAGCACCAGTCTCCTCTGCTTTAGGAGGAAAAAGAGCCTTCCTGTCCTGCACCAGTCCCCTCTCCATCACCTCGATGGGTTGCTCAGGGTTTATGAGGTGGGGATGCCAACAAGAATAGGGCCTGGTTCCTGCCCTCTCATCTCAGAGGGGCACACAAGCATGTAAAGAGACTGTTCTGGAACAGCAGAGTGAGTGCAGGGTTGAGACTCCAAGGAGAGGCCAGTGGTGGAGGGAGGGGCTAGGAAGGTGCAGGTGTGCAGGCTCTGCCGCATAGCCAGCAGGCCAGGCAAGCCTCCACAGGACATCTTGCAGAAGCAAAGCCTGGGCTCAAACCCCACTCAGCGGCCGTCTCTGGGATGGGAGGTGGCCACCCTCCTGCAGGACATGGAACCCCTGTCTGTGACCCACTCGGAGCAGCCCAGGGCAGCTCCATGAGTGTGCCCTATGACTCTGCACCCTCATCTGCAGGGTGCATCATCTGCACCTCATCTTGGTTGAAGCCCACAGCCTGCAAGCAGGACTTCCTAGAGGAGGCCATGCCACTTGGGGGTCAGATGGCATGGAGGCTGTCCCGGGATGAGGTGGTCAGGCCAGGCACAACAGCACTGTCCAAACCACAGGCTGCCATCCTGGAAAGAACCCAGCCTGCAGACACACTTACTGCCCCTGCTCCTTCACATCCAGGCCCCTGGGCAGGCTGGGGCCCTTCTTCTTCATCCTGTGGCTGGGGATCAGCTCCGCTGCATGAGAGAGGGTCCCGCATTAGTACCCACGTGGCAGGGTGGGGGCCACCACTGCAGAAGCCACCTCCTTGCGCCCTCCCTGTGGTGCCTGCCTGCACTACTCGGGAGGCGGATAGGGGGAAGCAAGCCTTTGATGGCTCCATAGTGGGTGCGAGGACGCAGAGCGGGATGTGGACCTGGAGGCGCAGGGCAGTCCACAGGCTCCAGGGAGGGGCTTCACTCTTCAGTCTGCTGCTTCGCCTGTGTTGTGTCTTCTTTTTAATTCATTTCAAAGTGTTTCAAATTTCCCCTTTGGGTTCTTCTTAAACTTGTTATTTAGACATGTGTTATTTTATGTGAGTTTCCCAAATGTCCTTCTGTTAGTCATTTCTAATTAAATTCTACTGTGGTCAGAGGATATGAAATGTATTATTTCTATTCTCTTAACATGATTAAGGGATTATGATCTATATACAGTCTGTCCTGGAGAATGTCTCCAGTATGCTTGAGAAGAACACAGGTTCTGTTCCTGTTGGGTAGAGTGTTCTAGAGATCTGGTAGGTCTAATAGGCTTGTATGGTTCAACTTCCTGTTCCTTGGTGACCTTCTGCCTAATTTTTTGATCAGTTGTTGAAAGTGAGGAGTTGACATTTCTGACTATTATTGTTGAGTTATCTGTTTCTCCATTTCTGTGGCTTTTTGCTTCATGTATTTGGGTGTCTGTGATTAGGTGCATATGGGTTTATAATTGTTACATCTTCCTAACTGATGATCCTTTTATCATAAAATGTCCCTCTTTCTCACCAGTAGCATTTGTAAATCTATTTTTTCTGATATTAGCCATTCCAGCCTTCTTGTGATTGCTGTTCCCATGTTAGTTTTTCATCCTTTTACTTTGTCTGTTTGTATCATCGAATTTTTTTTTTTCTTTTTGAGACAGTCTTGCTCTGTCAGCCAGGCTATAGTGCAGTGGCATGATCTTGGCTCACTGCAACCTTCGCCTCCTAGGTCCAAGTGATTCTCCTGCCTCAGCCTCCTGAGTAGCTGGGATTACAGGCTTGCACCACCACACCCAGCTAATTTTTGTACTTTTAGTAGAGACAGGGTTTCACCGTATTGGCCAGGCTGGTCTCAAACCCCTGACCTCAGGTGATCCATCCTCCTCGGCCTCCCAAAGTTCTGGGATTACAGGCGTGAGCCACCGCATCTGGCCTGTATTATTTAATTTATCATGTGTCTCCTGTAAACAGCACATAGATGGATCTTGTGTTTTTATCCAATGTGACAATCTCTGCCTCTTGTTTAATCTCTTCACATTTAATGTTATTAATGATATCCTGTAGTTGGATTTACATTTGATATTTTGCATTTTGTTTTCTATATGTCTCAGAATTTTCCTCTTCCTTTATTCTTCCTTTACTCTTCCGCATCAAGTGGATTCTTTTTCTTCTTATTATTATACTTCAAGTTCTGGGGTACATTTGCAGAACGTGCAGGTTTGTTACCTAGGTACACACATGCCATAGTGGTTTGCTGCACCCATCAACCTGTCATCTACATTAGGTATTTCTTCTAATGCTATTCCTCCCCTAGCCCCCCACCCACCAACAGGTCCCAGTGTGTGATTTTCCCCTCCCTGTGTCCATATGTCCTCATTGTTCAACTCCCACTTATGAGTGAGAACATGAGGTGTTTGGTTTTCTGTTCCTGTGTTAGTTTGCTAAGAATGGTGGTTTCCAGCTTTATCCATGTCTCTGCAAAGGACATGAACTCAGCCTTTTTATGGCTGCATAGTATTCCATGGTGAATATGTGCCACATTTTCTTTATCTAGTCTATCATTGATGGGCATTTGGATTGGTTCCAAGTCTTTGCTATTGTGAATAGTGCTGCAATAAACATATGTGTACATGTGTCTTTATAGTAGAATGATTTATAATCCTTTGAGTAGATACCCAGTAATGGGATTGCTGGGTCAAAAGGTAGAGCTTGTATAGCGAAGACAATCCTAACCAAAAAGAACAAAGCTGGAGGCATTACGCTACCTGACTTCAAACTATACTACAAGGCTACAGTAACCAAAACAGCATGGTACTGGTACCAAAACAGAGATATAGACCAATGGAACAGAACAGAGGCCTCAGAAATAATGCCATACATCTACAACCATCTGATCTTTGACAAACCTGACAAAAACAAGCAATGGGGGAAATGATTCCCTATTTAATAAATGGTGTTGGGAAAACTGGCTAGCCATATGCAGAAAACTGAAACTGGACCCCTTCTTTACACCTTATACAAAAATTAACTCAAGATGGATTAAAGACTTAAATGTAAGACCTAAAGCCATAAAAACGCTAGAAGAAAACCTAGGCAATACCATTCAGGACATAGGCATAGGCAAAGACTTCATGACTAAAACACCAAAAGCAATGGCAACAAAAGCCAAAACTGACAAATGGGATCTAATTAAAATAGGGCTTCTGCACAGCAAAGGAAACTATCATCAGAGTGAACAGGCAACCTACAGAATGGGAGAAAATTTTTGCAGTCTATCCATCTGACAAAGGGCTAATATCAAGAATCTACAAAGAAGTAAACACATTTACAAGAAAAAAACAAACAACCCCCTCAAAAAGTGGGCAAAGTATATGAACAGACACTTCTCAAAAGACGACATTTATGCAGCCAACAAACATGAAAAAAAGCTCATCATCACTGGTCATTAGAGAAATGCAAATCAAAACCACAATGAGATACCATCTCATGCCAGTTAGAATGGTGATCATTAAAAGCCAGGAAACAGCCAGGCGCGGTGGCTCATGCCTGTAATCCCAGCACTTTGGGAGGCTGAGGTGGGTGGATCATGAGGTCAGGAGATCAAGACCATCCTGGCTAACACAGTGAAACCCCGTCTCTACTAAAAACACAAAAAATTAGCCAGGTGTGGTGGCATGCACCTATAGTCCCAGCTACTCGGGAGGCTGAGGCAGGGGAATGGCGTGAACCCGGGAGGTGGAGCTTGCAGTGAGCCGAGATCGCGCCCCTGCACTCCAGCCTGGGCGACAGAGCGAGACTCCGTCTCAAAGAAAAAAAAAAAGAAACAAAAATAGTCAGGAAACAACAGATGCTGGAGAGGATGTGGAGAAATAGGAATGCTTTTACACTGTTGGTGGGAATGTAAATTAGTTCAACCATTGTGGAAGACAGTATGGTGATTCCTCAAGGATCTAGAACAAGTGGATTATTGTTAATGTAATGTCTTAACTTATCCAATAATTTTAAACTATATTTCGAGTTCTTTCCTTAGTGGTCACATCAGCCTTTACCACATGAATCTTCTTTTTTTTTTTTCTTTTCTTTTTGAGACAGGTTCTCACCTTGTCACCCAGGCTGGAGTGCAGTGGCATGATAGTGGCTCACTGCAGCCTCAACCTCCCAGGCTCCAGTGATCCTCCCACCTCAGCCTCCTGAGTAACTGCGACTACAGGCCCATGCCACCACGTGGGGCTCATTTTAAAAAAAATTTTTGTAGAGACAGGGTCTTGCCATGTTGCCCAGGTTGGTCTTAAACTCCTGGGCTCAAATAATTCTTCTGCCTTAGCCTCCCAAAGTGCTGGGATTATAGATGTGAGCCACCATGCCTGGCCTACCATATGAATCTTGACTGGTCATAATCAGCTTCAGACCTATACTAACAGCAGTGAGATATTAAAAAGTTATTCCTATATAGGTCTATTTCCTTTTCTGCCTTTTTGTGATATTATTACACATTACATCTATAAAGGTTATAAATCCAACATTATAAGATTATTACTTTATATAATTTTATGTATTCTAAAGAAGCTGAGAGAAGGAGAAAATGTATATATTTATAGCTTTGGTTATATCAAAATCATTTACCATTTCTGGATCTCCATTTCATCTTCTCAATTTGAGTTACCACTTGGAGTCATTTCTTACCACAACAGAACTTTCCTCCTGCCCACTTCCTTTGTACTGTTATTGCCAAATATAATACATTTCTATATGTTACAGGCATACACACATATGCAACCACACACGCATGCACACACACACATAATATATAAATTCAATGCATACATATATATATACAAATTGCTTACATATAAATTATTTTTAAATTGCTTTTAAAGTCAATTAACAAAGAAGAAATATGCATTTATATTCTTCTTTACAATTAACTTTTCCAATGCTCTTTGTTCATGTGTATCATTTAATTCCTACCTTAAGTTACTTGCTTTCAAAATACCTTTAGTATTTCTTGTAAGGGAAGGCTATAACAACCAATTCTCACAGGTTTTATCTGGAAATATGTCAATTTCACTTTCATGTTTGCAAGTTAACTTGCTGGATATAAGATTCTCAGTTAACAGTTTATCTAACTCTGAGCACTTTGTTTTTTGTTTGGTTACTTTTAATTTTCTTTAAATAGAGACTGGGTCTCACCATGTTGCCCAGGCTGGTCTCAATCTCCTGGGCTCAAGCAATCCTTCTGCCTCAGTCTCCCAAAGTGCTGGTATTACAGGCATGAGAGCCACCATGTCCAGCCATCTTTGAGCACTTTGAATACGTCATCCCACTGTCTTGAGTCTCCTCTAACAACCCTCCATTGCATCCTTTTATTATTATTTACACAAATATTATTATTATTATTTACACAAATTTGTGGAGCACATCAAAAAGTTTTGTGACATGTATATACTGTGTAGTGATCAAGTTAGGGTATTCGGGTGTCCATCACCTGAATAAAATACATTTTTGTTAAGTATAGTAATTCTACTCTGCTCTAAAACATTGACTTTATTTCTTCTATCTTACTGCATCTTTGTACCCTTTAAACCTCTTCTCTTCATCCTACCCACTTTCTCTACTCACCCTTCCCAGTCTCTGTTATCTATTTTTCTAGTCTCTACCTCCATGTGTTCAAAATGTTTAGCTCCCACATATAAGTGAGAACATATGATATTTGTCTTTTTGTGCCCGGCTTATTTCACTAAGATACTAATCTCCAGTTCCACTTGTGTGGCTACAAATGACATGATTTAATTATTGTCTATGTCTGAATAATATTCCATTGTGTATATATACCACATTTTCTTTATCCATTTATTTGCTGATGAACATTTAGGTCAGTTCCATATCATAGATAGCTATTGTGTATTGTGCTGCAATAAATAGGCAAGTGCAGATACTCCTTTGATATACTGATTTTTTCCCCTTTGGGTAGATAGTAGTGTGACTGCTGGATCAAATGATAATTTTTTTTTTTAGAAATCTTCATACTGTTTTCCATAGTGCCTGTACTAGTTTACATTCAACCAACAGCATATAAGAGTTCCCTTTCCTTGGCATCCTTTCTACCGTCTGTCATTTTTTGTCTTTTTATAATAGCCATTCTGACTGATTTGCATTTCTCTGATGATTAGTGATGTTGAGCTATTCTTTTGTTTTTTTTAGGCATAAGACGAACAGATGAGCATTTTTTCATACACCCACTGGCTGTTTGTACGTCTTCTTTTGAGAAATGTCAATTCATGTCATTTACCCAAGTTTAATAGGATTATTTTTTCCTGTTGAATTGTATGAGTACCCTGTATATTCTGAATATTAGTCTCCTGTCAGGTAAATAGTTTGCAAATGTTTTCTCCATTCACCAGGTTCTCTTCACTATGTTGATTATTTCTTTCATTATGCAGAAACTCTTTAGTTTTATTAAATCCCATTTGTCTATTTTTGGTTTTGTTGCCTGTGTATTTGAAGTCTTAGTCATACCTTCTTTGCCTAGATCAATGTCCAGGAGAATTTGCCCTAAATTTTGAATATTTTTATAGTCTCAAGTCTTGTGTTTAAGTCTTTAGTCCATGTAGAGTCTATTTTTATATATGGTGAGAGATAAAGGTCCACTTTCATTCTTCTGCATGTGGCTATCCAATTTTCCCAGCACCATTTACTGAAGAAAGTGTCCTTTCCCCAGTGTATGTTCTTATCAGCTTTGACAGAGATCAGTTGGCTGTAAATATTTGGTGTTATTTCTGGGTTCTTTATTCTGTTTCATTGGTCTATGTGTCTATTTGTACATCAGTACATGCTGTTTTGGTTACTATAGCTTTGTAGTATATTTTGAATCCAGGTAATGTGATGTCTCTAGCTTTGTTCTTTTTGTTCCAGACTGCTTTGGCTATTTGGGATTTTTTTGGTTCTATATGAATTTTAGGATTGTTTTTTCTGTTTTCGTGAAGAATGGCATTGGTATTTTGATAGGGATTGTATTGACTCTGTATATTGCTTTTGGTGGTATGGCCATTTTCACAATATTAATTCTTCCAACCCATGAACATGGGATGTCTTTCCATTTTTTTGTGTGTCCTCTTCCATTTCTTTCATCAGTGTTTTATAGTTTTCCTTATGGAGATCCTTCAACTCCTTGGTTAAATTTATTCCTAAGTATTTTTTTGTAGCCATTGTAAATGTGATTGCCTTCCTGATTTCGGTCTTGGCTAAGTCATTATTGTTGTATATAAATGCTACTGATTTTCTTGTATTTTAGTTTTGTATCCTGCAATTTTACTGAATTCATTTATCAAATCTAAGAGTGTTTTGGTGGAGTCTTTAGGTTTTTCTAGATATAGAATAATATCATCAGCAAAGAGGGATAATTTGACTTGCTCTTTTCCATTGTGGATGCCTTTTATTTCTTTCCCTTGCCTGATTCCTCTGGCTAGGACTTCCAGTACTAGGTTGAATGGGAGTGGTGAAAGTGGGCAACCTTGTCTTATTACAGTTCTTAGAGGAAAGGCTTTTAATTTTTCCCTATTATGATGATGTTAGCTGTGGGCTTGTCATATATAGCCTTTATTATTTTAAAGTATATTCCTTCTGTGCCTTGTTTCTTAAGAGTTTTTATCAGGTGGGCATGGTGGCTCACACCTGTAATCTCAGCACTTTGGGAGGCCACGGCAGGCAGATCACCTGAGGTCAGGAGTTCGAGACTAGCCTGGCCAACATGGCAAAACCCCGTCTCTACTAAAAATACAAAAAAATTAGCTGGGCATGGTGGCAGGCACCTGTAATCCCAGCTACTCTGGAAGCTGAGGCAGGGAGAATTGCTTGAACCTGGGAGGCAGAGGTTGTAGTGAGCTGAGATTGTGCCACTGCACTCCAGCCTGGGCAACAGAGCAAGACTCTATCTCAAAAAAAAAAAAAAGAGTTTTTATCATGAAGATTTGTTGAGTTGTATCCAGTGCTTTTTCTGCATCTATTGAGATGGTTATATGGTTTTTGTCCTTCATTCTGTTGATGTGATGTATCACATTTATTAATTTGCATATGTTGAACTATCCTTGCATGCCAGGTAGAAGCCTCACCTAATCTTTTGAAAGTGCTGTTGGATGTGGCTTGCTAGTACTGTATTGAGAATTTCTGCATCTAGATTAATCAGGAATATTGACCTGTAGATTTTTCTGCATGTGTCCTTGTCTGCTTTTGATATCAGGGTGACACTGGCCTGATAGAATGAGTTAGGGAGAATTCCCTCCTCCTTAATTTTTTGGAATGGTTTCAGGAGGATTGGTATTAGTTCTTCTTTATATATTTGGTAGAATTCAGCTGTGAATCCATCTGGTCTTGGGCTTTTCCTTGTTGAGAGACTTTTTATTGCTGATTCAATCTTGCTACTCATTATTGCTCTGTTCAGGTTTTCTAGTTATTCCCCATTCAATCTTGGTAGACTCGATGTTTCTAGGAATTTATCCATTTCCTCTGGGTTTTCCAGTTTGTCATATAGTCTCTGATGATCTTTTGTATTTCTGTGGTATCAGTTGTAATATCTCCTTTTCCATTTCTGATTTTATTTACAGAGATTCATTTCTTCAAATAAGATATGGAAGGAGAAATTTATTCTCTCTTCTTGGTTAGTCTAGCTACCAGTTTATCAATCTTGTTTTCAACTTTTTAAAGAATCAACTTTTTATTTCATTGATTCTCTGTATTTTTTCTCTATTTCATTTAGTTCTGCTCTGATCTTTATCTATTTTCTTCTAATTTTGGATTTGATTTGTTCTTGCTTTTCTAGTTCCTTGAGGTGCATTGTTAGATTGTTAGTTTGTAATCTTTCTACTTTTTTGCTGTAGGCATTTATTGCTATAAAATTCCCCTTAGCCCTGTTTTTGCTGTATCCCACAGGTTTTGGTATATTGTGCTTTTATCTTCGTTTGTTTCAATACTTTTTTATTTCCATCTTAATTTCTTCGTTGACTCAATATTAATTCAGAAGCATGTTTAATTTCCATGTTGCAAATTTGTATATACATAGTTGTATATATTTGTATAGTATACATATTTAAATAGTAGAAATTATGCATTTGTATAGTTTACAGAGTTCTTCTTGGTACAGACTTCTAATTTTACTCCATTGTGATCTGAGAAGATACCTGGTATGATTTTGATCTTTTAAGTTTGTTGAGACTTGTTCTGTGGTCTAACGTATGGTCTATCCTGGAGGATATTCCATGTGCTGATGAAAAGAATATATATTCTGCATTTGTTAGATAAAATGTTCTGTAAATGTCTGTGACGTCCATTTGGTCTGATGTCCTGTTTCAATTCAATGTTTCTTTGTTTATCTTCTGTCTAGATAATCTGCCTAATGCTGAGAGTGTGGTATTGAAGACCCCCATTATTATTGTATTGCAGTATATCTATCTGTCTTTAGATTAGTAATATTTGCTTTATGAATCTGGGTGCTCCAGTGTTGGGTGCATATATATTTAGCATTGTTATATCCTCTTGCTAGATTTATCCCTTTATCGTTATATAATGACTTTGTCTTTTTTTTTTTTTTTTTACTCTTCCTGACTTAAAGTCCATTTTATCTGATATAAGTATACCTAGTTACTCCTGCTCACTATTGGTTTCTGTTTGCTTGGAATATATTTTTTCATCCCTTTATTTCAGTCTATATGTGTCTTTAATGATAAGGTGAGTTTCTTGTAAGCAGAATCATTTTTTGATCATGGATCATTTTTAATCCACTTAGCTATTCTAGCTTTTAAGAGGATAATTTAATTTGTTCATGTTCAAGGTTATTCTTGATATGTAAGGCTTTGTTCCCGTCATGTTGTTTTCTCATTGTTTCATATACTTCTTGTTCCTTTCTTATACTTTGGCATTGTGCTTTGGTGGATTTCTGTAGTGGTAGCATTTGAGTTCTTTCTCTTCCTCCTTTGTATAACTGCTTTGCCAGTGACTTTTATACTTTTGTGTGTTTTCATAATGGTAAATGTTGTCCTTTAGCTTCTATGTTTAGGACTCCCTTGAGCATTTGTAGAACTGGTCTAGTAGTAATGAATTACCTCACCATTTGTTTGTCCGGGGTGACTTTATATCTCCTTCATTTATGAAAGATAATTTTGCTGGATATAGTATTCTTGGGTGGCAGCGTTTTTTTTCTTTCAGCATGTTGAATATACCACCCCATTCTCTTATGGCCTGTAATGTTTCTGCTGAGAAATTTGTTAGTCTTAAGGAATTTCCTTTATGGGTGACTAGATGCTTTTCTCTTGCTGCTTTTAAGATTTTCTCTTTGACTTTAGACAGTCTGAGTATAATGTGCCATGCAGAAGATCTTTTATCATTGTATCTTCCTGTGGTTCATTTGAACTTCCTTTATCTGACTGTCTATATCTCTTCCTAGACTTGAGAAGTTTTCATCTATTATTTCATTAAATTAGTTTTCTTTTAAAAAAAAAAACTGATTTATTTTTAGAGATAGGGTCTTGCTCTGTCACCCAGGCTGGAGTGCAGTGGCACAATCCTAGCTCACAGTAACCTAAAACTCCTGGGCCCAGCCTCCCAAGCAGCTAGTACTACAGGTGCATGCCATGACACCCAGCTAATTTTTTTCTTTTTTGTAGAGATAGGGTCTTGCTATGTTGCCCAGGGTGGTCTCAAATTCCTGGCCTCAAGCAATCTTCCCACTTGGCCTCCCAAAGCACTGGTATTATAGGCATAAGCTACCACACCTGGCCCTACTTCATTAATACATTTTCTAATCCTTTGTTTCTTTGCCCTTAAGGATACCAATAATTTGCAAATTTAGTTGCTTTATGTTGTCGTAAATATCATGAAGCCTTTGCTTATTTGTTTTTATTCTTTTTTCTTTACCTTTGTCTGATTGGATTATTTCAAAAGACCTGTCTTCAAGTTTTGAGATTTCCTCTGTCTCATCTAGTCTATCGTTGATGCTTTCAAATGTATTTTGTATTTCCTTCCATGAATTCTTCAGTTCCAGAATTTCTGTTTGGTTATTTTTTAAAATGTCTCTTTGATAAATTTCTCATTCATATCCTGAATTGTTTTTCTAATTTATTTGTATTGTTTGTTCAGTATTCTCTTCTATTTCAGGTCCTTTTAAAATCAATTATTTTGAATTTTTTTTTAAATTTGAGACAGAGTCTCACTGTGTCGCCCAGACTGGAGTGCAGTGGCACGATCTCGGCTCACTGCAACCTCCGCCTCCCGGGTTCAAGCAATTCTCCTGCCTCAGCCTCGCTAGTGGCTGAGATTACAAGCATGCACCACCACACCCAGCTCATTTTTGTACTTTAGTAGAGACAAGGTTTCACCACGTTGGCCAGGCTGGTCTGGAACTCCTGACCTCAAGTGATCTGCCTGCCTCAGCCTCCCAATGTTGGGATTACAGGCGTGAGCCACCTCACCTGGCCTAAAAATCAGTATTTCAAATTCTTTATCTGAGATCTCAAAAGTTTCTTTTTGGTGACTGGGTGTGGTGGCTCACACCTGTAATCCCAACACTTTGGGAGGCTGAGGTGGGTGGATCATCAGGTCAGGAGTACGAGACCAGCCTGACCAATATGGTGAAATCCCATCTCTACTAAAAATACAAAAAAAAAATTAGCCAGGCATGGTGGTGCATGCCTGTAATCCCAGCTACTCAGGAGGCTAAGGCAGGAGAATCATTTGAACCCAGGAGGCAGAGGTTACAGTAAGCTGAGATTGTGCCACTGTACTCCAGCCTGGGTGACAGAGTGAGACTCCATCTCAAAAAAAAAATTCTTTTTGGTTAAGACCTATTGCTGGATAATTATGATATTCCTTTGAAGGTGTCATATTTCCTTGCTTTTTCATGTTTCCTGTGTCCTTATGTTGATATCTGTATGCCCTCTTTAACAGTTGCTTTTTCCTATTTTTATTTTTATAGGAGAGGACTTTCCTGAAGATGCATTTATGGTGTTGGTTGGGTAGGGTACTTTGGCTTTGCTTCTCAGCGTGTGCAGTAGTGTAGTCTCTGTGTGGTTTCTTTGGCTAGTATCTGTAGCCAAAGCATTGGTAGTATCTGTGATTTTCTTGGTGGGTTAGGGTGTGTTTATCAGTGGAGGCTGTGGCAAGGTTGTGTGCTAGGGCCTGGGATGCCAGGTAGGCCAATCTTCAGGCCCCAGAGGTGGCAAGGATGGGGTAGGCATGCCTATCTTTGTGCCCCAGAGTGGTGTACACTGGCACTTGTGTTGGCAACTACTGGCAGGTCAGTTCTTAGGGCTCCAAATGGCTTGTTTAGAATGCCAGCAGTGGCTGCAATGGAGTAGGTGGGCAGGCAAATTCTTGGATCCCTGGGCAGCTGAGCTGGCACAGCATGGGCAATGGCAATACCAATGGCATGAAAATTCTCTGGGTCCCAAACAGTGTGTACTGATGTTGGCGGCTGTGATGAGTTGGGTGGATCAGTCTCCAGGCCTGCAAGTGGTGCTGGCAGGTAGGTGCCAGCTGAGGTGGTGGTAGCAGGGAGGTTAGGTCCAACCTCAGGCCCCCAGGAGGAGTGCTCTGTCTTGAAGCCAGGCTGGGTGGGCTTGTGCTCAGGCCCCCCACTGGTGAAAGTAGGCACCAGCTGTTGTGAGTGGGCATGGAGTGATCTTCAGGCAGGTGGAGTGCTCAGGTGAGAGATGGTAGTATCCACACTGAGGCTCTGCTACTGGAGAGGGTGGGGCCAACTTTGGTGGCCACAGCCTGGACCAGTGGTGGAAAATGCATGTCTCCTTCATGCTCCAGCATCACTGGGTCTCACCCCTGCCACCCTGACTGCATCAGCCCATGCCCAGCTCACAACCAAGTCCCAGAAGCAACTCAAGCCCCACTTACATCCCTGTCTCAGATCACAGCAGTGCTCACTTCCCAGACCCAGCCACTGCCACTCAGGCCTTGCTCACTTCCTAGCCCCTACTGTGGGAGCATACCTGGCTTGCTCCCCTGTCCCAGCAGTGACAGCTTGAGTTTCCATAATACTCCACAGTCCCAGGGCCACTGGGTCCCAGGACAGCATGTAGTTTTCCAGAGGCTAGTTTTGAAAATGGTGACTTGCTGAGGCCACTTAGGTCTCAGAAAGGGTGTGGAACCCAGTGCAACCTTCCTTCCTGGAGCTCTTCCATCCCACAGTCTCCTGGAAGCTTCCTATATTCGCTTCAAGGGTTGGGAGGGTCAAGGGGTTGTCTTGCCAGGATTGCATGATTCCATGGTGAGGAAGTGGGCCATTAGAAATCTCCTACTTGTGGGTGGCAAGCCACCCAGGTGCCGAGGCAAGAGACAGAGGGCACAAGCTGTTCCAGTGTAATAAAACATATAAAATAACAAGAATTATACTAGATACAGATCATAGATATGATTATATATAAATATCATTAATCATTACTTGGTAGTAATTACTCTTTATTCCAATATTGTAATAATCCTCGATCTACAATCATAACCTAGAAAAAACGAGGCCATACAGAGATAGGAGCTGAGGGGACATGGTGAGAAGTGACCAGAAGACAAGTGTGAGCCTTCTGTTATGCCCGGACAGGGCCACCAGAGGGCTCCTTGGTCTAGCGGTAACACCAGTGTCTGGGAAGACGCCCGTTACCAAGCGGACCGTGGTCTAGCGGTAGTGTCAGTGCCAAGGAAAAGTACCCACTACTTAACAGACCGGGAAAGGTAAAGGGAGTCTCCCTTTCCCCAGAGGAGTTTAGAGAAGACTCTACTCCACCACCTCTTGTGGAGGGCCTGACTGATGTCAGGCCCGCCCACAGTTATCCGGAGGCCTAACCGTCTCCCTGTGATGCTGTGCTTCAGTGGTCACGCTCCTGGTCCACTTTCATGTTCCACCCTGTACACCTGGCTCTGCCTTCTAGATAGCAGTAGCAGAATTACTGAAAGTATTAAAAGTCTCTGAAATGCAGAAATAATGGCGTAAGCTGTCTCTCCTCTCTCTCTCCACCTCGGCTGCCAAACAGGGAAGGGTCCCCTGTCCAGTGGACATGTAACCCATGTGACCTTACCTATCATTGGAGATGGCTCACACTCCTTACCCTGCCCCCTTGTCTTGTATCCAATAAATAACAGCACAGTCTGGCATTCAGGGATGCTACCGGTCTCTACGTCTTGGTGGTAGTTGTCCCCCGGGCCCAGCTGTCTTTTATCTTTTTGTCTTGTGTCTTTATTTCTACAATCTCCTGTCTCCACACATGGGGAGAAAAACTCACAGACCCTGTAGGGCTGGCCCCTACACCTACTCACCTCTTCCCTATATTGGGAATTCACTCCTGATGCCCAGCCGAACCCAGCCAGAGAGGCTGCCTCTCCTCCTCCTTCCCCACTTTTGGTGTTCCCTGTCACTTCTCTGTTGAGTTCCAGCATTCTCTCTTGGATAATGTACTTTGAGTGTGACTGTCTGTACACTGCTCTGGTTCTACTAAGTGGAAGAAGTGGGCATGAAATGCTTATCAGCCATCTTGACCACCCTCCAACCAATTTCTTCTGATGAGATGCTGGCTAGCTGTTAATCTTACTGGGATTCCCTTGTAAATTTTGAGTTATTTTTCTCTTGCTGCTTTCAATGTTTTCCCCTTGTCTTTGACTTTCAGTATTTTAACTCTGATGTGTCTGTTTTACAAATCTCTGTTTTATCCTACTTGAAACTCCATTAAGCTTCCTAGATAGATAAATTATTTTTAAATATGTTTAGAAAGTTTTTATCTATCATTTCTCCAAATATTCTTCCTGCTTCTTTCTCTCTCACCTCTGCTTCTGGTACTCTAATTAGATAGATAGATAGATAGATAGATAGATAGATAGATAGATAGATAGATAGATAGATAGATGTGCTTGATGGTGTCCACTTTCCCCTGATGATCTCTTCATTTCTCATCATTCTTTTTTCTCTCTTAGTCTCCCACTTTTCTCTGAGGACATGTTCATTTTCCTTCATTCTTCTCCCTTGGGGCTGGATATTACTATCTGTTTGCTTATTTGGTTAATGACCAGCTGGGTTAATTGTGTGAAATCCATTTCTCCCCTGCATTATAAAGCTTCTGAGGTTCCTTCTCATGGAAGGCAGCCTTGGGTTTGTTCACAGTGACCCTAAGGTGACGGTGGTTTGGACAAGGATCTCTTTGACTGTCTCCTTCCATGACCAAACGCTCCTGTTTAGTTCTGATAATTGCTGGCTGATTGTTCATAATTTGCAACAGTGCCCTGGGGTATAAATGGCTTCCTAGACTGATCCAATTAGAATTCGATCAGAGCTCATTGAAGGGATAGTTCCAAAGGTCAGTATTGAAGATTGGTTCTGACTACAGGAGGGCTCTTCCCAGCTATCTTTCCTTATTTTTCTCTGGCATAATTTATAGTTAATACAAACCATGGTATATAATTGCTGGCAGATTATAGTTTCACCTATATTTCCAGTAAGTTTACCAATCTTCTTAATATTGCCCATCATAACCTCCAGTAATTCTGAGTGCACCACTTCCTGGCCATCTTGGAAGCTGAGGATAAGAATGGAGCCGCCACCTCCTCGCCATCTTGGAAGCTGAGCATAAGAATGGAGCCGCCACCTCCTCGCCATCTTGGAAGCTGAGCATAAGAATGGAGCCGCCACCTCCTCGCCATCTTGGAAGCTGAGGATAAGAATGGAGCTGCCACCTCCTCCCCATCTTGGAAGCTGAGCATAAGAATGGTGCCGCCACCTCCTGGCCATCTTGGAAGCACAGTAAGTCTGAAGCAACAGGAACTTAGCCTCAGCAACAGGTAGCTGGGGGCAGGATGAGAATTATTGACATCCATGCCCTCTTCTACTGTGTTCTTGGCTGTACTGGTCTGGAATAGAGTTTCTGCCTCCCTGAGCTGGGAGGGTGAAAAGGAAGGTAGACCTTGGTTTAATACCACAGACATTCTCTGTTCTTACTGAATTTTAAAAGATTTTATTGAATAAATGTTTCTTTGTATGCTGTGTGCTCTTTAGATCAGTCCTTGGGGTGTGTGAGACTTGTTATGACCACAGGAAGGCTTCTCCTGTCTCTCTTTTCTTAGTTTTCTCTAGCAATTAGCCAGTCTATAGTTTAGTCTGTTACTCCAGTGAATTTACCAATCTCCTTCCAAATGCCTCTCAACATTAGGCTTGAAACTGTCTTTGCTCTGTTAAAAATGAAATCGGTTTCTTTGTGATGAGGTGTGAAGCTCACTGTTTTATGGTGTGTCTCTCCCCTGGGCAAAAATCACTGAGCCAAGGCTGTGGAGCTGGGGGTCGGGACAATGGGATACTTCTCCGTAAGTGACACCTCCGTTTTAGGACCTAATCTCTGATGGAAAGGAGGAGGCAGTAGACATGGGTCTTCGCAACTTGCCTCTCCCTGCCTGGTCCTCCGCTCATGGGCCAGTACAAGCCTGATTAGAACCCCAGTATCCTCAGGGGTGTCATGCCCAAGGCAGAGCCTGTATCCCCCAAGTGGGGCTCTACACAAATGGAGGCCTCACCTTGCAGGAACCCTGGCCAGGAAGTAGCCTCAGCAAAGGTGCATTCATGTGTGCTGGTGGGCGAGCCAGGTGGGAAGAAGTTTATGTTTGTGTCGAGGGGAGGTTAGTATGTTTGTGTTGGGGGGGGACATATGGGAGTGGCTTGTGGCTGTGTGCATGTGTAAGGCATGGGTGGCAGTGGGTGAGTTGGTGAGGGCTGGGGTTGGATGGGGCAGGTGTTGGGGGTGGGGGGGGTTTATGCATGGGTGGGCACATGTGTGACGGCACATAAGTGAGTTTGGGAGGTGGGTGTGGGGTGTCCGTATGTGTGTGGAGATGTATGCAGATTGTGGTTGGGTGGGATGCGGGGAAGCAGTGTGCTGTGTGGGTGGGGACAGGCACGTGTGTGGGTAGGTGTGCAGACAGCTGTGGGGGTGGAGCTGAGGGGGGTGTGCGGGCAGCTGTGGGGGTGGAGCTGAGGGGGTGTGCGGGCAGCTGTGGGGGTGGAGCTGAGGGTTTCAGGGCGTGTGTCCTGAGGAGTATGCAAGCGTGTGGGTGGGCCTGTGGCTGGCTAAATATTTGTGGGGACACAAGCATGCCATGTAGTTTGGATGTGTGTCCCCTCCAAATCTCATGTTGAACTGTGGGCCCCCCTGTGGGAGGTGGGGCCTGGTAGGAGGTGACTAGATCGTGGAGATGGATCCCTCATGAGTAGCTTAGTGCCATCCCCTTGGGGACGAGTGAGTTCTCAGTTAGTTCACATGACAGCTGGGAGTTTAGAAGAGCCTGGGACACCCCCGCCTTCTCTCTCTCCCTCTCTCTCTTGCCATGTGATGGACAGGCTCCCCTTCGCCCTCCACTGGGAGTGGAAGCTCCCTGAGGTCTCTCCAGAAGCAGATGCTGGTACCGCACTTCCTGTGCAGCCTGCAGAACCACAAGCCTATTAAACCTCTTTTCTAATTACCCAGTCTCAGGTGTTCCTTTACAGCAACGCAAACGGACTAACAGCACGTGGAAGTGTGTGGGGCGGAGCACTGTGTGCTGGGAAGGCACCTGGGGTGTTGCTCAGTGGGGGACTGTGTGAGGCTGCAGGAGGCTACTGCATGCTGAGGGCTCGGTGTGGGGGCGGGATCAGCAGGTTCCGGTGTGTGTGTGCACACACGTGTTAACACGTGACAGGTTTTTATGTGAGGAGAGGATGGCTGTGGGTATCAGTGTGTGTGGATGTGTAAGTGGGTCTGTGTGTGCGAGGTAGACAAGAGTAGGTAAATGTGAGGGTGGGAACATGAGGGGGTATGTGGGGGTGGGGGTGAGTAGGTGGGTGGGGATGTGGGGGTAGGGAGTGACTATGTGGGGGTGGGGGTGACCAGGTGGGTGGGAGGTGGGTATGTGGGAGTGACTAGGTGGGTGGGGTTGAGTACGTGGGTGTGGGTACATGGGGGAGTAGATGTCAGTAGGTACTGCGTTTGTGGAGTGGGTGCATGTGGGGAGCTGGGGACATGTAGGGGTGTGCAGGATGCACCCTGTAGGGAGGGGTGTGACCATGCAGGGGAGCAGCACCCCAGGCCTCGGGCCCACAGTCCCTGTGCCGGATAGACTGGCACTCCTGACAGGGCTCCCGCAGCAGTGCCTAGTTCTCTCCTGGGCGTGGGGCCCCTCTGACCTGGGCCCTGGCCCTAGGCCACCAACTCCTCTTCCCAGGGACATCTCCCCAGTCCAGACCCCACTTCTCAGTCTCTCCTGGACGAGCTCCTTGGACGACGGGACACAAAGGGGACAAGCCGACGAGCCCAGCCCCAGGAAGGCCCCTCCAAGAGCCCCAGGGGGTCCAGATCTCCAGGGATAACAGCCCCAGGCACGAGGCCGGAACGCCGCCCTGTGGAGCAGAGCAGAGCAGGGCCCACTGCTCACCTCTCTTGCACAGGTACAGCCACGTGGGGTCCCACTGGCTCTCCTTGGCAAAGACAGCCTGCCGTAGCTGCAAGCCCATGTACTCCAGGAGCCGCTTCCGCGCCAGGAACGTCTCGCGCTCTGCTGGCATCAGCGTGTGGAAGGGGCAGCGGGCAATCCTCCGGTCCTGCGGCACAGCACCAGGGTCACCACAGGGTCCCGGGCCCGCCCCTCACTGCTGGGGTGACTCTCGGTGATCGAGGGCTCCTGTCAGCTCTTGTGATATATAACTGAGGACGAACCCAGACAGACACACAAAGCTGGGAGCACATACAGCTGCACCTGGCATGAGCTCAGCACTTTGGGGGGTTCACCTCTGCAGCCAAGGGGCTGCTCTGGGGGCGGCGCTAGGAACCTTGAGCCCAGCTTTGCCCCAGAGAAGCTAATGCCCCAGCCGGGGGCCCTGCACGTGACCCACACTCCCCCTCCTTCCTCATGGGAGGCTCACCACCTACCTGGAAGAATCTGAAGTAGCCATAGTCCACGGCTGTGCCCACTGCCTCCTTTTCTCCCTGCCTGAGCATTACAGGCTTCAGGATGTCGGCCCCGTGACTGATGAGTCGGTCAATCTGTGGAGAACAGAACCAGGTCAAACACGCAAGGACATCCCGGCTACTGGGAGCAGCGGAAGCACCGCCTGAGAAGGGCCATGGTCACCTGCAGTCCCCACCAAGGCCGCCCTTGCAGTGTGCGGGAATGCCCATGAGACAAACGGGGAGAGGGAGATGGAGACGGGGCTGACCTCAAGGACAAGGAGTTGGGGCTGAGCCTCGCCCTAATGATGTCACAGCGAAGTCAAGGCTAGGCCACGCCTCGGGGAGCCCTCCCTGGCACCCGACTCCCAGCACCATAGAATCGACAGAGTCTGTGACATCCATTACAGTCCTGCTCCCCTCAGGCTGTCAGTGACATGAGGCAGACACCGGGCAGCTCTTGTTCTTCATCAGATCCCAACACGCCAGGGGGCATGTTGCTCAACAAGACAGCGAGTGCACGCGTATGCTTGTATGTAGATGTGTGTGGGGCGGGGGGCCAGTGTGTGTGCATGCATGGGTATGTGTATGTGTGTTCATGGGTGGCTGGGTGTGTGCCTGCGTGTATGTGGGTGTGTGGATATGTGTGTGTGTGTGCAGGTGTGGGGCTAGTGGGTGAGCGTGTGTGGATATGTGCATGCATGTTCATAGGTGGGTAGGTGTGCAGTATGTGTGCGTGCATGCGTGTCTGTGCATGAGTGGGGGCCAGTGTGTGTGCATGTATGAGTAAGGGCATGCATGTGTGTTTGTGAGTGAGTGCAAGTATGCCTGACAAATGTGTGAATGCATGCACCTATGTGCATGTGTGCCTGACTTGTGGCAAATATACCACAGCAATGGTCTCTGGCTCAATAGGTACAACAATCCCATCCAAAGCAAATATCATCTAAAGAGGCTGCCCCACCTGACATGGGAGGAGGCAAGTTCTATCAGGGGGCCTGGCAGGCTCAGGGCAGCCTGTGTGAGTGGATGGAAACCAGGCCATCATCTGTGGAAGGCTCACTGCTGTGTGCGTGTGTGCCTTGCTAGCCAAGTGCAAGCACGGCCAGAAATCAGGGATACACAACTCCCCCAGTGAGATCCTCACACTCTGTGACATGCGTAACACACATTCCACGCAAACACTGGAGCCCTGCATTCTCAGCAACACATGAGCACAACGCCTCGGGCATGGCACCAGGCACAGTGCGGGACGGTGGAATGGCCAATGCCACCAACACTAGTGGCCAGCCTGGCCTGAACGGCTGACTCCCTGGCACATGGGGGCATGGGTGGAGTTTATACAGATTCCTCAAGGCCAAGTGAGGCCAGGCAAGGCCTACGCCAGGCAGAGGAGGAGGCTGCTTTCCACTGCTCCTGAGGATGGAGCCAGCCAGATCCACCCATGAGACCCCCATCGTCTTCACTCTCCTTCCTGCGGAAGCCATGATAACTTGCCAAAAGTCCCATGAGTCGGTTCCCTGCTGGACATCCCTCCGAGGCCCCACCACCTCATCAAATCTTTTTCAGGAAAAGGTGGGCAGATGGTTGGTAAGCGAGGGCTGGGTACAGGCTGCCACAGGGGTGTGGTGATGGACAGGTGGGTGGATGATGGATCGACCTTTCCCTGCCCAATGTTGCTGGGGGACTTGCCAGCCCACCCCCACCCCCCAAGTCTTGTCTACGTAGGGCACCCAGGCCTCACTCAGTCCTGGCACCGGGACGGCTTCTCTGGACAGCTCTGCCAGGGC
This sequence comes from Homo sapiens, assembly GCF_000001405.40. Classification (NCBI taxonomy): domain Eukaryota; kingdom Metazoa; phylum Chordata; class Mammalia; order Primates; family Hominidae; genus Homo; species Homo sapiens. The sequence continues at coordinate 240,502,260 of NC_000002.12, forward strand.
AGTGATGCAGCCACCTACCCCACCCCACCCCCAGGCTCCCAGGACTGGCTACTCAGCAGCACCTGGGATTCACCTCTTAGTCTCACCCTGCTGGGCACCTTCTCCCCTCTGGCCCAACATCTCAGCAGAAGCCTCTGCCCAAACATCATTCCTGGGAACCTCTGCATCCCCACAGCTCCCACGTCTCCACAGACCCTTCCACACTGACCCCAACCCCTGGGAGTCACTGGGGACAGCCAGCCCCAGCAGGGTATGCAGTGTGTGCTTTGGCCTGAGGCTTTCTCGCCCCAGGTCCCATGTCCTCACCCCTTCCTCCCCAACCACAGCCCCTCCCCATCTGCTGACCTGCCCGTCGCTCACCAGGAGTGTCTTCCCACCCTGGCCCTGGCTGCCCAGAGTGACCACCTCATCCACGGTGAGAACTGAGATACACTTTGCTGTCCCAGTGCTATACCATTCACTCACCAACGCTCTCCTCCAGACCCTCCCCTCCCAAGCCCCCACATCTGAACTATGACATCACTGCATCCGCCCCTCACTCACCAACACTCTCCTCCAGACCCTCCCCTCCCAAGCCCCCACATCTGAACTATGACATCATTGCCTCCGCCCTACACCCCCAGGCCCCCTGCCCCACCTCCACGGCCCAATGACCCCGTTCCCCTGCTGAGGCTCCCCAGGCATGCCCTCGGCTGCAGCTGGATGAGCTGGCCCCTCCATCCCCAGAGCCCGTCTCTCCAGTGGCCCTGTCCTCCACACCTCTTTAGACCCCAGCAGCATCAGCACACTCTAGAAACCAGCCCTGCCCAGGGGCTCTGCCTCTGAGACCACAAACCCTGCTGAACGGCACCGGGAGGGAAGGCTGGGACCTTTCCGGTAAGAGGAAGGGGCGGCCTGAGGCTGACCAGCCCAGCGTGTGTCTCTGAGGAGTTTCTCAGGATCAGTGGGCTTGAACATGGATCTTTCAGTGGGATTTGCTCTGCTCTCAAATTAGGGAAATTTGGGGCCCCATATCTCAGCAGAGGCTGCCCAGTGAGAGGAGCTAGAAATGTTCGTGAGAAGAGGATTTTGTCCCCCTGGAGGGGACTTTCTGAAGGTCCCCTGGCTGATGAAAGCTCCTTTCTGCAGTGGCTTTTCTCCAGACACTGCTAACCCATGTTCTGGCAGCCCCTTCCTTGGCCGTTCAAAGACAAATGTGGAACCCATGCCTGGTGCTGCAGCCATCCAAATGGCGGGGCCCAGGGAGTCAGGGGGGCCCAGGGTCAAGGTTCGAGCTTCACGCGTTCATTTCTGGGACAATCTTTAGAAAGTTTAGTGTGAGAATATTCAGGAGGCCTGGTGACCCCAGACCCTGAACAAGCTCCACCTCAGGCCTGTGCATCCCACAAGCTCACCATGGGCCGAGGCCAAGAACAGTAGCCAAGGAGAAAGGAGAAGAGGACTGAAAACGCCGAAGCCATGTGTGGTGGGTTCACCTGGGTCCCCTAAAAAGGTAAGTTGAAGTCCTAAACCCCGGGATCTGTGAACGTGACTTTATTTGGACATAGGGTCGTTGCAGACGATCAAAGTAACATGAGGTCCTTAGGGTGGTACCTGGTCCAATATGACCATTGTCTTTTAAGAAGGGACTTTTGGCTGCAGAGACAGACATGCATGCAGGCAGAGCACCATGAGCTGAGGAGGGCAGAGGTGGCCACCAAGCCCCCAGAAGCCACAGCGAGGTCTGCACCAGGGTCACAACCCTGCAACACCTCGATCGCGGCCTCCATCCTCCAGGACCAGAGCCAGCTCATTTCTGTGGCTTCAGCCGCCCAGGCTATGGTCTGCTGCAGCAGCCACAGGAGTGCCCAGAGGAAGAGCCCCTGAAACAAGGTTCTGCCACAGCCTGAACAGCAAGACGTGGTGGGAGATGGAGGCTTCGCCAGGACCCAGGCAGCCCAGGCCTCTAGCAGAAGGGTCCTGCAGCACCATCATTTATGTATACCCCCAAGCCAGGGCACCCCTAGGGTTTCAGGGACTCTCTGGACTCAGATCCCATGAAACCATCATAGAGAAAAGCACCAGATTCTCCAGGAGGCTACGGAAAAGTATTCGTGAAAGGTCCTAGCTGAAACTATAAAACTCTTAGAAGAAAACACAGGAAGAAGCTTCATGACGTTTCTTGGCTATGACACCAAAGGCAAAGGCAACAAAAGAAAAAATAGACAAGCTGGACTTCATGAAAATTAAAAACTTTTGTATATCAAAATATTTATAAATTACATACCCGATAAGGGATTAACATCTAGAATAGATAGAAATGTCCTAAAACTCAATAATATTAAAAAAAAAGATTCAAAAATTGCCAAAGGAGTTGAATAGACATTTCTCCAAATAAGATATAGAAATGGCCAATAAGCACATGAAAAGATGTCCAACATCACTAATCATTAGGGAAATACGAATCAACAAAACCACAATGAGAAGGCCGGGTGTGGTGGCTCACGCCTGTAATCCCAGCACTTTGGGAGGCCAAGACAGGTGGATCGCTTGAGGCCAGGAGTTCGAGACCAGCCTGGCCAACATGGCGAAACCCCATCTCTACTAAAAATACAAAAATTGGCTGGGTGTGGTGGTGGGCGCCTGTAATCCCAACAAGAATCACTTGAACCCGGGAGGTAGAGGTTGCAGTGAGCAGAGATCACATCACTGCACTCCTGCCTGGGCGACAGAGTGAGACTCTGTTAAACACACACACACACATACACACAATAAAATACCATCTCGCATCCATTAGGATGGCTACTATCAAAAAAACAGAAAATAACAAGTCTTGGTGATAGTCTGGAGTGACTGGAACTCTGTGCACTGTTGGTGAGAACATGAAACAGTGCAGCTGCCGTGGAAATAGTATGGAGGTTCTTCAAAACATTAAACGTATGGCCGGGCGCGGTGGCTCAGGCCTGTAATCCCAGCACTTTGGGAGGCTGAGGCGGGCGGATCACCTGAGGTCAGGAGTTCAAGACCAGCCTGACCAACATAGTGAAATCCCGTCTCTACTAAAAATATAAAAATCAGCCGGGTGTGGTGGCGCACACCTGTAATCCCAGCTACTCGGGAGGGTGAGGCAGGAGGATTGCTTGAACCTGAGAGGCGGAGGTTGCAATGAGCTGAGATCACACCTCTGCACTCCAGCCTGGGTAACAGAGTGAGACTCTGACTCAAAAAAAAAAAAAATTAAACATAGAATGATTATACCATAGGACCCAGCCATCCCACTTCCAGGCAAGTTCCCAGAAGAACTGAAAGCAGGCTCTTGAAGAGAAACGTGTCCATTGGCTGAGGGGGAGGGCAGGGGAGACAGAGACAGAGACAGACAGGGCCAGAGTTGGGGGCATGGTCAGGTACTCAGAAGTGGTGAGTCTAGGTGAGGGCTCAGGGTGTCCTTGTACTGCTTTCAACTTTTCTGTGAGTCTGAAAAGAATTAAAATTAGTAAATAAACAAACAGTAATGAAATAAAGAAGTCGAAGCCCAGTCAGCTGATTTCAGGTCTGGGGTGAGAATATACGTGGTATGTAGGGGTCACCTGGATGCCCCAGAAAGCCAGGCAGGAGTCAGGGCCAGGATCACAGCAAAGGACCAGGAATCAGCTCACAGCACACAACAGTCAGAGATGAGACCATTTAAGGGAGGTTTAAAAAAAGGAGCCCTTCCCCTTCCTAAATATCCAGTGGAAGCAGACAGCATGGTTAGGGTTGGCAGCACTACCAGGTTCCCTAACCCCGGATGAGGCACCGGGGAGCCTCCTAACCCCGGACAAGATGCTGGGGAGCCCCCTAACCCTGGACGAGGTGCTGGGGAGCCCCCAACCCTGGACAAGTCGCTGGGAAGCCCCCTAACCCCGGATGAGGCGCTGGGAGCCCCCAACCCCGGACGAAGGACTATTCTGTATGTTCAAGGCACATTCAGCGTCCACACACAACAACGCTGCCCCCTGAGCTGCCTCTCCCGTCTCGCGTCCTTTCTCTATTTACTCAGACTTAGATGAACAAGAGACTGGTCATCAATCCTGGGCCCTATGAAGCTCCGAAAGAACATTAGGGGGCCCCTCCCAGCCCCCAGGTCCAGAAATGGTGCCGACTACCCACACACACTGTTTCATTCCATCCTCTGCCGCCTATGGAAAACTGACTTCTGCGTCCTCACTTAGTCTATCCAGACAGAACAGGGTCTTAGGAAGAAGGACAGGAGACTTAAAATCAGATCTGGAAACAGCATCTCAAGATAAGTCTCAGTTCTTTTAAGTAAAGCTACCCTTTTGTGACGTCAAACAACCTTCCAGACGCCTGAGTCTCGCCCTTCCCCTTCCAAATGCCTGGGTCTCGCCCCCCATTCCAGACGCCTGAGTCTCACCCCCCTCCTCCTTCCCCCTTTTTCTCCCTCAGACAGGTAAGAACCAAAGTGTGTACCAAGATGGATTGAGGAAAGCAAGGTCGTGGGTGGTGCCCACAGCGGACACAGGAAGGGCTGGCATGGGCGGAGGGCAGCAGGCAGCAGGGCACAGAGGGAGGCCCTGCCTGAGCCAAAGCCACTGAGAGTTTCCCAGAGCCACATGGGAGGGACACTCCAGGGACGTGCCTAGGGCTCAGGACAGAAGGTGTCTCCAGCGCGGGCAGGATTTCCCGACTGTGAGCTTCCACCTAAGAAAGCCGCTCCCTGTGGCCAGGAGACAATGCCCCAAACCCCCGCCCAGCAGCTGCGTGGACCACTGAGAAAGCCAGAATTGTGCAGCTGGACCAAGGTGAGGTCTATGTCTATCCTGAATCTTGTTTTCACCGAGACAAATTTCAGGGAACTTTTTTGTCTGGTCTGCTGAGTGGATTTGCCACTTCATATTTTTTAAGGCCTGTAAAATACTAAAAGCAGACAATATTTTGTCCTTTCTCCACTATTTAGACCACCAAGGCTTGGAGAACACAGAACAAATGACCCACCGCCCGCCAGGAATGACAGCCAGGCAGAGAAGTCCATGAGGACCCCACCCCCAGACCCCACATTCCCCATGCTCAGGGCCAGCCCACCTCACACTCCTCCCTCCCCTCACCCAGGGCCACCCCAACCTCCCGCCCCCCCTCACCAGGGCTACCCAGCCCTCACACCCCTGCCACCCAGGGCCACCCAGCCCTTATACCCCTCACCCAGGGCCACCCACTCCCCTCCCCGCTCATCAGGGCCACCCAGCCCTCACACCCCTCACTCAGGGCCACCCCACCACCCTCAAACCCCCTCACCAGGGCCACCCCAGCCTCCTGCCCCTCACCAGGGCCAGCTTGCTGTCCATGTTCCTCTGGTGCTCGTAGGTCAGGTCACAGGCAACACACAGGGCACTGCCCAAGCCTTTGGTCAGGGGCAGGTTGGGGTCAGCTCCCTGGGTCAGGAGCTCCTTCACAACCTGAACATACACAGACAGTCTCATCAGTGGCCACCATGTCACTTCCCCTGACAGAGGGGAAGGCCCCAGGGCTGGGCCACTCCAGAACTAACCCCTGAAAGCAGGGGCTTCACGGAGGCCACCGCTGGCCCTTCCCACGGATCCTACCCACAGTGGGTCCCGCTGCTGGCCTGTCCCACAGAGGATGATGCTGGGCGGGGAGGGGTCCCATGGCTGGTCTGTTAGGGAGGAGCTGGAACTCCACCCAGGTGGGCCAGTTCCAGCACTTTCTCTGTCCCCTGACAAAATGGGGATTCTCCAGCGTGGTTCCCAGCTCCCACCTTGCTCTTCAGCCCCAGACAGAGCCAAGCCCAGGGGCCAGTCCCAGCACAGGGTTAGGAGCACATTTGCCTGGTGCCCAGGCTATCTGCCTCTGCACCGGGGCACCAGTGTCAATGTGACCACTCGGCCAGGCACAGAAAGAGGCACACCTCCCTTCTCCCTGCTGTGTGCCCAGCCGCCAGCTCAGATTCCACCCAGGAAGAAGGACAGCCGTGGCCAGACACGGGTCCTTAGTGTTTGGCTCTCACAAGCTTCTGCCCCTCAGAACAAAGCTCTCTTCCCTCCACACCCCTGCCTCTAACAGGGCCTAGCCCTGAGCAGGGGCCCCACATGACTTATTGAATGGATGACTCCGTGCAGGAGAGAAGAAAGCAGGGAGCAGAGGTGCTGGCCTCTGCAGAAGCACCTGGAAGCCCCATTCTACGTCAGCTTTCACAAATTCTATGAATGCCTTCAGCTTTTGCAGACCTCTGCTGAAATGTCACCTCATCTGAGAAGCATTTCATGCCACCCTGCTAAAGTAGCCTGCCTTCCCATCACTCTCCATCCCCTCACTAAGCTTTATTTTCTTTATAATACTTGTCATTTCCTGAAACTGTGTTACATACTAGTTTATGGCCTGGCTCCTCCAACGAGAATATAGGATCCTTGAGAGCAGAGACTGTTTAATTCAACACCTAGTGCCTAGAATGGTGCCTGCCAGGTACGTAGCAGATGCTCAGTAAATAACAGTTAAATGATAGATGGATGAATGAATGAATGAATGAATGAATGGGTGGACGGTAGATCCTTCCAACTGGGTGAATGAAGGATGATGATGTCTAGGTAGGTGGGTGGGTGGGTGGATGGATGAATGGATGGATGGATGGATGGACAGACGGATGGGTGAATAGGTGAATGAATGGATGGGTGAACGGTTGAGTGGATAGGTAGTTGGGTTGATACATGAGTGACTGGTTAAAAGGATGGATGTATAGATGGATGGATGAGAGGATGAATAAGTGGGTGGGTAGTTGGGTGGAAGGATGGATGAATGGATGAGTGGAGGGTAGATGGATGGGTGAGTAGATGGATAAGTGGATGAGAAGTTGGGTGGACAGGTGGATGGATGGATGGAAGAATGGGTGGATGGGTAGACAGGTGAGTGGAAGAGTGAGTGAATGGGTAGTTGGGTGGATAGATGGGTGGGTGAGTGGATGGGTGGATGGATGAATGGATGGATGGATGGATGGATAAATGGCCAACAACTTCAAATCCCAATGACGGACTGGTGGGGTGGGCACTGGAGACGGAAACACATAGGTGCACAGGTCTGTGGGTACAGAACATGCTCACCAGCTCATTCCCACTGGCAATGGACAGGGAGAGCGGGGAGTGGCCACTCCACAGCAGGTTAGGATTTGCTCCGTGGGATAGAAGGAGCCGGACTATGTCCCTGGCACACTGGGTGGGGAGAAATGACAGGTTAGAGAGGCACCCCCACCCATAAGCAGCACCTGATGGTAGTCATTAATTTAAATGCCATGAAATCAATGTAGTCACTCAACGGCTACTTCCTGCCAACCATTACCTTGCCTGACACAAGGTGTTCAAAATTGTGGATGCATAGATGGATAGGTGAATGGGTTGGGAGGTGGATGGATCTTCAAATGGAGAAGATATTTTCTAAGCATTCATCACTTCCAAATGAAAAGTAGGAGGACATTGATGCATAAGTTGATTTAAAGTTTGTTTTCAGAGGACAAGGGACAGTCCAGACCACATGACCACGTGGCAGGTCCTGGCATACAGCAGGTGTGACTGGAGGAGCACCTCCTCCACCAGGGCTCAGTGATCGTAGAGGACGGCCTGAGTGTAAAGAGCCCCACCCTCGGCTGGTGGAGCACTCTCTGCACCAGGAGGGCAGCCCCGTCCATGCCTCCCTGCCCTCCTCCCCCATCCATGCCCTCCCTGCCTCCCTGACTCCTCCCCTGTCCCTGCCCTTTGTGCCTCCCTGTCCTCCTCCCCCGTCCCTGTCCTCCCTTCCTATCTCCCTGCTCTCCTTCCCCATTCTTGCCCTCCCTGCCTCCCTGCCCCCCTGCTTCCCTGCCTCCTTGCCCTTGTCTTCCCATCCTTGCCCTCCCTGCCCTCCTCCCCAATCCGTGCCCTCCCTGCCCTCCTCCCCCAGTCCTTGCCCTCCCTGCCCTCCTCCCTAGTCCGTGCCCTCCCTGCCTCCCTGCCCTCCTCCCTACATCCTTGCCCTTCCTGCCTCCCTGCCTCCTGCCCTCCTCCCCACATCCTTGCCCTTCCTGCCTCCCTGCCTCCTGCCCTCCTCCCCCGTCCCTGCCCTTCCCGCCTCCCTGACTCCTCCCTGGGAACCCCTCTGTTTTCCTGTCCATTCTCTCATCCTTGCTCCCCTGTCAGAACGTCCCATTGTGCAATCCTCAGCTGCTCCCTTCTCTTCCTCCTCTTCTCCCAGAAGTGTTCACTAGGACCTGACCTCTGCGACTCCTCCTCCCCCACTGCAGGGACTCTTCTCTGGCCCAGCTCCCTATCCCAGTGCTCTGCTGGGACTGTGCCCCTCAGATGCGGCAGACCCTGTGTCTGGCTGGCCCAACCACCATGCACACTCCCCTTTCCCGCAGTCTTGCTGGCCAGGCCAAGGAGGTGCCCACAGAAGTCTGCTGAGGGGCTCCTGGGAAAGGGACCCCTTTCCCCTCCCTTCTGGGATACAGATGTGATGGCTGGACTGCTGCAGCCGTCACGCCTGCAGCACTGAAGTTCCACCTGCCAGTCTGTCCTGTACCCAATGATAGTGTCACATTCAGTGTCTCCTTTTATTTCCCCACAACTTTCCCAATCTGTCATCAGGACACAAGTGTGCGAACAGAAAGCCCTGTGTTCACTGCCCAGGCCTCGTCCTTCACGGTGGGAGCCTTGACCAGCCGCCTTCCTGGAGCCTCACTGTTCATTCCTAACGTGAGTTCCTGCCACCCTTCAGGTGGTCTACTCAGGGCAGAGCGCCTGGCCCCAAGAAGACCCAACAGACCTGCTCCTTCTCCCTACCCTCCAAGGAGGCTCTGACCAGACAGGGATGTTCTGAAGCAGGGAGGCCTGTCAGTGCCCCCACCTCCCCACCTCCCTGTCTGCCCATCCCCATCCCAGTGTCACCCGCATGCCCACTAGCACACATGGCACTCCTGCACACTCATCCTCACGCTCATGTCAGGACCACACAAGTTACCACCTTGCTGAAGGCCCAGGATCATTAATTTCATTTGTAAGTGGGTAAACTGAGGCTCGGTGTGCCATGTGCTCCGTGGCCAACTGGCTTGGGCTGCATCTGCTGCCACACGGCAAAGCTGAGACTTGGCCTCAGTTTCCCCGCATCCACCCCAGCCGCTGGGCATCCTCGGAGTGGTTCCCACACCCAATTTGGTAGGAATTAACCCTCGAGGCAGGCAGGAGGCAGCGGCCACAGGGCCAAAGGGGCACCGCCCAGGGCTCTGGAAGATAAGACCAACCCTGAGGTCCTGAGTCAGAGACACATGAGGATGACAGAGGAGGGTCAGCAGCACCAGACGGTCACAGCCCAGGCCAGAGGCTCCCAAACACGTCTGACCAGGCCCTGTGGTAAGAAGTAGACTTCATGCCGCCACCCAGGCCCCGTGCGCAGGCGTGCGTGTGTGCATGTGAGTGGGAAATCCCGTCCTCCCGCCTTGCCTTGCTTCCCTCCCCATCCTTCCAAGCTCCCTGGCTTCTGCCTAAGACTCAGCATGAGAACACATGCTTCCGGGGGCACAAGGCCCTGGAAGGTGGCCCCACCGCTGGGCAGCCCTGTGCCCCCGCCAGGCCCTGGCTGCCCTCACCTTGTTGTCATCCTCCCGCTCGCAGGCCATGTGCAGAGCCGTCCTGCCCCCCTCCTCCGGGAGGGCTGTGTCCGTGCTGTAGTAGGCTTGGGGAGGGCCTGGCTCATTGCTGAGCTTCAGACTTGAGGGCAGCAGGTCCAGCTGTGTAAAACGGAGGGCTCCGCCAGCGCCCACGGACCTGCCGTGTGCCCACGGGAAGGCAAACGGAGCAAGGGAGCTTCCTCCCCAGCCTGCGGGTCTGGAGTCTCACCCTGCGAAACCCTCTTGAAGGCGGATGCCTGACTTTGTTCGAGCCTCTCCCTGCATGCCTGTCTCTGAGACACCCCAACATCCACAGAGGTCAGAGCCATTCTGTGCCCTCCCCTCCCACGTCCCCCACGCAGTGGGTGAGCTGCGCACACCATGTCCAGCATGTTCGTGCGCTCAATGGCTCCTGCTGTGTGCTGGCGACTGAAAGCCTCAGAGCTCCTGCCCTCAAGGGGCTCAACCCCTTGTGGAGGAAGGAAGACATGGCCTTGCGGCCCATGACTGGGGGTCTTTTGGAGCTTGGCAGGGCCTGGTGGGACAGGATGGCTTCGGCCTGGAGGAGGCCCTGGGGACATGGAACTGGCCTCTGTCTGCAATTATGAACCTTCGGAAAGGCGTGAGATGGAGTTACCTGCAAAAGGTCCGCATGGGGACCCCCACGCCCTGTGGACTGCCTGAATAATCAAGTTCTTAACTCATTCCAATCAACAATTTTTGCCTCTTGATATCAAAACAAGCCCACTGGCTAAGGTTCTCATCTGGACGGGTTGTTTCTATGCAGGATTTCCACTGCCCAGGCCCCAAGCCAGGAGGCCCATCATGCTCGGCAAGCACAGGCTAGGCAGAGTGTGTGAATCCATCCAGGCACACCTGGCCAAGGCCCCATACCCCTATCCAGGTCGCGAGGTACACACCTTGCCGGGCTTGTAAGTGTCGTCCTCGTCGGATGCCTTGGCGTCCACATCGGTGATGGCATGCAACAGCAGCTCCACAATCTGTACCCCCTCCTCCCCAGGAAGGGCGGCAGCGATGTGGAGTGGTGTCAGGGTGCTCAGCTGCAGAGGAAACACCGGGGCGGGCAGTGAGGCACATTCTCGTAGGGAGAGACAGGTGAGGTACCTGAGGGACCCAAATGCCAGGGAAATGGCTGAGACTCCAAGGGCACCATTCTCAGCCTCACCTGCCTCACAACGTGCAGGCTACTGGTCCCTGAAGGCAGTGTGGGCAAACTCCCAACACGCTGAGCAAGACATACATGTTGCTTCCAATGCCTAATATGCCTCTGTCTGCCAGGGCCACAGGTAGGAAGGCCCACCCTGAACCAGTGTGATTTTAAGCCACTGTCCACAACTTCCTCTAAGAAAAGCCTCTCCCTGCCCTGCCAGGCCCACCACATTAACAGCCGTGCAGCTCCTGAGTGGCCTCCTGACTCCAGCCCCTGACCTGTCCATTCTCCACTCACAGTGTCCCCAGCCATCAGCTGACAGCATCCATAGAGGCCACTGCTGTGCAGCAGTGACGCAGAGGTGTTCACAGGGGCCCTGGCCTCTGGAGGCAGCCCTGCCGTCCTAAGGGAGAGCCCGGCTGAGAATGGACAGTGGGCTTTGGGTCAAGAGATGCTCCCCAGTCCCTTAAAGACCAGCCTCGCTCCAACAGGAAAGAGAAAAGAACCCAGGAGGGACCCCTGAGGGGGAGACAGGTGAGCCTGGATGGTGGGAAGAGCCACCAGCATGAGGACCAGCCACAGGAACTTGGGGAGAGCAGCCGGGTGTGCCCATGCATGCCCATCCACCGGTGACCAAGGGACATGGCACCTGAGGCAGAGGGCAGGGCAGGTTCCAGGCAGCTGCTGACTCCCAGGAGGAGCAGTACTATCCCAGCTTGACAGCAGCCCCTGCGACCTCCACACAGCCCAACACCCACAGCCTCAAGCATGACCAGGGCCAGCAGCGTCCATACCCAGCAGAGGCATGCAGTGAGAGGACAGAAAAGAGAATATAATGCAGGCATCGCCTGATGTTGGGGAGGCCGGTGCTGCAGGCAACAATCTACTGACCCCAGAGGGACGCAGACCCAAGCAGGCAAGTGGAGAATGGGCAGCCCGCTGCTCCATGGTAACCACAGCCCAGGCCACCAGGAGGCGCACGGGGCCGTGCATCTACAACAGTCAGCCGGAGGCCACACCCTCCTTACATGTTATGTCACCCCTAAAACAGCAGCAGCAACAGCAATAACTGAGCTAATAACAGAACCAACCCAGCTGAGGGGTGAATCAGGAAATGATTAAGCTGAGGAAATTCCCCAAAACAGCAGAAGCACAAAGACATATAAAGCACTCCAAAACAAAATCAGGGTACATGAGAGAGAGAGCTGGGGTTCTAACGTCTCTCAGGTAGGAGCTCCAGGCCAGTAGGGAGAGCACAATAGAGAGAAATACTAGAGAAATAATGCAAGAAAATTTCACAGACCCACAGCTCTGACCCAGTGCTAAGGTGACTTAATAAGGAGGGAGGGAATTAACCCTTACACAGACACAGGAGGCAGGGGGGCATCACACTTCTCATTAAGTCCCACGAGTCCCAGAAGGACAGAAGACAGTGAGACAGGACCTTCAAAGGTCTAAGGGAAAACAGTTTGGAACCAGAATTCTGTATCTAGCTAATCTATTATTCAATCAAGAGGGTAACATGGTGACATTTTCAGTAACATGAGGGCTCAGTTTCCCACCACGGATCCTCTCCACGAGGATGTCCAATGACACTCTGCAGAGAGCACAGAAGGAATCCAAGAGGAAGCTGCAAGGTGCAAAATGCATTGAAGAGCAAAGAAACCCCTGGACTACTGCCAGGTCCAGGTGAGACTGGCAGTTAGAGTGGGACTTGAAGCCACAACTGCGCAGCATGGTGGAGGGAGGCAACCCCGAGAGTCCCATTCCTCCTGGGAGTCAGCAGCTGCCTGGAACCTGCCCTGCCCTCTGCCTCAGATGCCCCAGCCACCTCCCTGGGTTACCAGTGGATGGGCATGCATGGGCATGAGCACTGGGACTTGTGTCTGCCACAGTGCTGATGTTCTGCTCTTGCTGGTCTTCAGACCTGGGAGAAGGTGTCAATCAAGATGAACTGCTCTTGTGAGACACAGGGCCAGAAATTAAAACTATTCAATCCCTCTAGGCCCAGAGACTATCGTAAAAGAGGTGAGCACATGAGATTGCAAGGGGCAATTCTGAGGGATAAAACTAGTTCAGAGTTTTTCTATAAATTAACATTAATATCAAAAGTACGTGGTTACAAGGCCAGTGTCTGGGCCCCAGTGTCAAAATAATAGGGTTTTCTTTGAGATCTGATTTGCTCTTTAATAGAAAATTGTTGGCTGGACGCGGTATCTCACACCTGTAATCCCAGCACTTCGGGAGGCCAAGGTGGGCGGATCACTAGGTCAGGAGTTCAAGACCAGCCTGGCCAACATGGTGAAACCTCGCCTCTACTAAAAATACAAAAATTAGCTAGGTGTGGCGGCAGGCGCCTGTAATCCCAGCTACTCAGGAGGCTGGGGCAGGAAAATCACTTGAACCCAGGAGGCGGAGGCTGCAGTGAGCTGAGATTTTGCCACTGCACTCCAGCTTGGGCGACAGAGTGAGACTCAGTCTCAAAAAAAAAGAAAAAGAAAATTGTAAAAGGTTATAAACGTTTTATGGAAGTCTTACCTTGTGATGTTTAAACTGACTAAAATAGACTCGTTTACAAGGTTTTATTAAAATTAGCTTTAACATTCATAATACAAGGGTAAAATTTGTTTTTCTCTTTTCAACAAAATTTTTGTAGAACATTAATAAAAGATAATTTTTTTTTGAGACTTAGTCTCACACCATTGCCCAGGCTGGAGTGCAGTGGCGCGATCTCGACTCACTGCAAGCTCCTCCTCCCAGGTTCACACCATTCTCCTGCCTCAGCCTCCCGAGTAGCTGGGACTACAGGCACCCGCCACCATGCCCGGCTAATTTTTTTTTTTTTGTATTTTTAGTAGAGACAGGGTTTCACCGTGTTAGCCAGGATGGTCTCTATCTCCTGACCTTGTGATCTGCCCACCTCAGCCTCCCAAAGTGCTGGGATTACAGGCAATAATAAAATATTTTTGTTTCCCTTTTGAGTAAACTGCAGGGAAAAAAAAAGGAGGGACAGATTCAGTTGGCCTCATGCTGTCTTTATTAGGTCTTACTGTTTGGGAAACTGATTCTCCAATCAAAGAGTAAAGGTTTTTGTGGGGTTTTTTTTTTTTTGAAATATTTGAATTATTTTGGCTAAAGGATTGGCAATTGTATAGTGACCTGTGAACCTGTTTTATAATATCAAGTGTCTTTAACCTTTGATATATGACAAACTCCAAAAGCAAAATTTCAAGTTTTAAATTCAGTCTTCTTTACCTCAAACTACCTTTTTGGGGGGTATTGGGTCCCTAAAGTCCTAGAGAGACATATTAGGCTTATTTGGCACGTTAGAATTTTACAGAAAGTATTGTCAAATGCAAAGTGGTGTTTAACCTTCTCTAGGTTATATGTATACAGATACGTTGTTCCTATGTGTTCCAGGATTGCATGACATTCCTGAAATTCTGATCTGTCTTAATATATGTTGCCAGTGGTTATCCTAATTATTGTTAAGTTGTTGTCTGACACAGAAATAACCAAATTTCCTTGTCAACTGTGTCTTTAACTATGGCTGTCCTAAAACTTTTGTCATCCACAATTATTGTTTTGTTTTCTTTTCACAAAGTGACTTACAATCAATCAGCTACCATCCAGGGCTTACTTCTTTGGGGGAGTTCATGGAAAGGACTATTGAATGCATGTTTCTGATAACTTTGGAGATTGTGCCATTGGATTAGAGAGGAAACTTCCAGGACTCTAACTAAAAAGCTGGTGTTAACCCGGTATGACTGCTAACCCAGTGTGAAGCAAAGCAGGAGGTGACTGCATGGACTGAGGTAACGGAGGACCGAAATAATTGTTAATGGCTTCTTTTTGAAACACTGCTGTTTCTTTTTGTTTCATTTTTTGGAGTCTGGAAAGCTTTTCTCTTTTAAGCTGTTTATATCCATTAAAAATTGAGTAGAGTATATACTCTTGCAAACAGAATTTGAAGCTTTTTTCTCTGTCTTCCTGACTTCTCCAGAATTTGGAAACTATGCAAATATTTTTAATTCATGGCAATGTATTTGTTTGCATACATTTATTAGGAATCTGTTTTTTATAATGGGACAAAGTTGGAAGAACTGGTTATTCTCCCAGGGCTTTGACTGGAATGGCACATTTTCAGAATAAGCAGATTGCTTTGAGAAATTGAGATTGACTTTATAGAGTCAATGAGAACCTCTTAGAATAACTGGCCTCATACCTTGTCTATGCAATTCCTTTGCACACTTCCGGGCATGTGGTAAGTGGACCGTGTCACTTTCTGTCAGGCCCAGGAACCTCAAGTTGTTTTGGGACCTTGAGAAGACTGGTTCTCCCAATTCATGCAGGGATCTGAAGGTACAGATGGATCCTTGGCTTGGCCTGAGAGGTCTTTGAGGTAGAGTCTGAGATTCCTTGTGAAATATTCCCGCAAAGCCAACTTAGGATAGCCTGTATAGGCAATGACTCTTGGCCGGGCACAGTGGCTCATACCTGTAACCCTAGCACTTCGGGAGGCCAAGGCGGGAGGACTGCTTGAGTCCAGGAGTTTGAGACCAACCTGGGCAACATAGTAAGACCCTGTCTTTACAAAAAAATTTAAAAATTAGCCAGGCCTGGTGGTGCCTGTAGTCCAGCTACTCTGGAGGCTGAAGTAGGAGGATCACTTGTGCCTGGAAGGTGGAGGCTGCAGTGAGCCATGATTATACCACTGCACTGCAGCCTAGGTGACAGAGTGGGACCCTGCCTCAAAAGAAAAAAAAGGACAATAATTCTTTCTGCACTTTGTGTGGGTAATCAGGCCACTGAAGCTTATTTTGCAGGTAGGTTGTTCTTGCTGTGATTTGCCTTTGGTGGAAGTGGGGGATTGGAAAGAAAGATTGCATTTTAGAAAAAAACTCTAGTATCAGATTAACCTTTGATTCTTGGGAAGCCGCAGGGACACCCATGGTGTGCAGCTGCCCACGACGCCCCTCCTCAGCATGAAGCAGCGAGACGGATGCGTGGCCTGATTCCTCATGATTGAGGAATTGACGAATGGGGGGGAAGGGTGTTGAAACGGGCCCAATTGTCCCATAGAACTGATGTCTATGGTTTCTTTTAAATAAACATAGAAATTGACCCTTCCATTCTTTAAAACTTGGGAACGTTACATTTGTCTTATCTGAGCTCCTTCCTCAGGAAACCAACCAGCAGTCCTCCTAAATAGTATCAAGGAACAGAGACTCACTAGATCACAGCATCTGGACAGTGAGACCCTAGACCCCTCACCCATCATGCCTGCCTCTGGGACCACCAGCTTCTTGCTGACCAACTCTTTTTTCTTAGCCCTCCTAATTCCTGCTTTCCCACACGTGGTTATATTTCTTCCCTGCTATGAAACCCCCAATTTTAGTCGGTTGAGGACAGGGTTTGAGAACAATCTCCTGCTCTCCCTGGTGCAGCACCCAATTAAAGCCTTCTTCTCTGGCAGTACCTGTCATCTCACTGATTGGCTTTCTGTGCAGTAAGCAGCAGGATCTAGACCGAACCCCTGGCGTTTTGGTGACATGTTCATTTCTGAACCCACTCAAATATTTTAATTTTTAAAAACTTTCTATTTGAAAGATAAATGTGTAAATAATACATTCCTGATCAGCTATGAACAGGTGAATAAACATGTGACACAGTGAAGGATGTCCGTGCCCAGTTTAAAGGTTGTGACCTTAATCAGTTTCAAAGACGGAGTCCAATCAGTAAACCTAAAAAGGTATGAAATTATCCTGAGTCTTAAACCAAAAATTCTGTTTTCTGTGTAATCTTACACTTGGAAGAAAAGTTTAATTTCCAAGCTGAAAGGCTGTGCACTAAGGGGCCTGGACAGTGAGACCCGCCTGCCCTCAAACACTCAATGCCGCCTGAGTGACAACTGGCAAGGCTGGTGCCCAGAGAGAGCCATCAGCTCTCACCCCATCAACACCCTGTGAAGAAGGTAAAGTGCTGAAACGATGGACGAGTGTTTACACAACCGGAGAAGAAAAACAAAATCTACAAATAAATTTCACAGCCAAGTGGACAGAAGCCCATCATGGGTCTGCATAATGGGCCCCCTGTTCTGGGGGCACCCAAAGGTGGCCCTGGTGCCAGTTCGTCACCCATCTGGAATCTTCACAGCCACTGTGGACAGCAGTGGTTTCTTGAGTGTGGATGGGTGGATGCACTGAACGGAAAATTGTGATGGGGTTGGTCTAGATGTTAAATTAGAGAAATGATTGTAGGGTCCTTCAAAATACAAAGAGAAAGAATGACAACAAGGGTTCAGGCAAAGGGATGAAATACAACAGATAACGTCACGTTAAAGTGAACAGGAAACGCCGCAGTGAGCCCACGCTTGCTGTCATACTTCCATCTCGCCCCATCCCCTGTGAACCTAACGAGGCCCTCATGGACTGACGGAGCTGCGAGAGAAGCCTGGCCTCACCCCAGACGCCTCTGAGAGGAGGAGCAGTCATGGGCAGCGACCGATTCCATTCCAGAGCAGTGGAAATTCGGGAAGGAAGCCCTTCCAGCAGCTGTGCTGTGGGAAGGGCTGCAGGAATCTGGGGCCAAGCACGGGGGTACACACTGCCCAGGGGGACAGGTGGGAAAAGGAGAGTTGTTTGAACGAGCTAAGCCCATAAAGCCCTGAGTCCCCAGTGAAACTCAGCAGAAACACTAAACTTTCTTCGAAGAACTAGCAGGCTAATTTATTCCAGAGCAAAATGCCCTGTGAAGCCGCTTGCTCACGGGTGGGTGTGGCCTCAGAGAGGGAAGAAGCCGTCCGCTGGGAAAGGCACTTCTTAAGAAAAAAAATATAAAATCAGATTCCCCTTCGAAGATTTTTTCTCAGCTAAATATTTTGCGGCTGGATCTGTTGAGCTAAAGATAAAACCTCAGCACCAAAACCCTTTGCCTCTCCTGCCTGCGTCCTTGTGATGCTGAGCGTGGGTTGAAAGGAGGCCCGCCTCCTCCTGAATATAAGTCTCCCCTTTCCAAGGGGCCTTCAGGATGCGCTTCCCCTTAGTTTGCTTCAACACTGGGAAAAAAATCACACGGATCGTGAAGTACTCTAAAAACTAGCTCGGTGTCCAAATCCTGTCTGGGGACATGGGTGAAAGAGCGGGCTGTGGGACCCCCCACTGCGGCGCGCCGTCATCACTCACAGCCCAGGTGGTCGCCTGCAAGAGCCCACCCCTCTCTTCCGCGCCTAGGTGGAGCGAGGAGCTTCCCGGCCAGTGCCCGGGAGTCTGCTGCGCTCGTCCCGGCGCCCGCCCGCCGCGGCTCCTACCTGCGGCGGAAAGCAGATGTCGGTCCTCGCCCCGTGCTCCAGCAGCAGCCTCACCCCATCCACGTCCCCGGCCTTCACAGCAAGGAACAGGACCTGCATGGGCACGCAGCACAGGTTGGGGTCCGCGCCCCGGCGCAGCAGCAGCTTGATGGTCCGCCAGCGCTTCCTCCGCCTGAAAAAGACGGTGCGCCCGTGGGCCCCTGGAGGGCAGGCACCTGCACTGCGCCCAGAACGGGGCCATGCCAGCGAGGAGGCTGGGGAGGGGCGCGTAGGGAGTATGTGTGTGCCGCAACTACACAATCACACACACAGCACACACCCACACACGCAGACACACCACACAGCACACAACTACACACAAGCCACACCAGAGCGCACACACACGGCACACACAGCACACCACACAGCACACTCACAACCACACCCACAGCACACCACACAGTACACACAGCACACAACCCCACACACAAGCCACACCAGAGCGCACACACCATAGCACAGCGCACACCACACAGTACGCACACGGCACACCACACACCAGAGCACACAAACCACACTACACATACAGCACACAACCACACAAACCACACACACACCACACACACCACTCACACCACAAAGACACAAACACACAGGCGCACACACACCTCTGAGGGGTCACTGAAAGGCTGGCCAGGTCAGGAGTAAACTGTGCCTCCAGAGAAAACTTGGGCCTCAAGAGAGGCTGGGACCAGGTGGGTGGGGGTTGTGCAGCCGCGCAGGGCTGAGGGAGGAGGGGACTGGGGGTAGGGGGCCCAGATGGCAGCGGGAATGACCATGAGGGCAGGGCAGGTGTAGGATCGAGCCAAGCCCACTGGCCCTGCAGTAGGCACAGAATCGGAGCCGCGGGAACTAGATCGTCCTTGAGCACTTGAGCAGCAGCCTCCAGCCCAGTCTCCAGACCCGTCTCCAGACCCTGACCACTCGGAAGCCCAGGGAGCTGCGTTGACGTGGGTGCTGGCTCTCCTTGTCTGCCGCTACCATGTAAAGCTCAAAAACTGTCAAAACATGTCCAGGATCTATGCCTTTCTGGTGGGTTGTTGGTCTCGCTGACTTCAAGAATGAAGTCGCGGAACTCGCGGTGTTACAGCTTTTTTTTTTTTTTTTTTTTTTTTTTTTGAGACAGTCTCGCCCTGTCGCCCAGGCTGGAGTGCAGTGGCGCGATGCCACTCACTGCAAGCTCCGCCTCCCAGGTTCAAGTTATTCTCCTGCCTCAGCCTCCCAAGTAGCCGGGACTACAGGCACCCGCCACCACGCCTGGCTAATTTTTTGTATTTTTAGTAGAGACGGGGTTTCACCGTGTTAGCCAGGATGGTCTCCATCTCCTGACCTCGTGATCCACCTGCCTCGGCCTCCCAAAGTGCTGGGATTACAGGAGTGAGCCACTGCGCCTGGCCCCCCTTTACAGCTCTTAAACATGGTGTGTCTGGAATTTCTTCCTTCCGGTGAGTTCATGGTCTCACTGACTTCAAGAATGAAGCTGTGGACCTTCACTGGCAAGTGTTAACATCTCTTAAAGGTGATGCGGACCAAAAAGTGAGCAGCAGCAAGATTTATTGTGAAGACTGAAAGAACAAAGCTTCCACAGCACAGAAAGGAAACTAAGCAGGTTGTCGCTGCAGGCTGGTGGGGAGCCTGGCGGTGGCCAGCTTTTATTCCCTTTTTTGGCCCCGCCCACATCCTGCTGACTGGTCCATTTTACAGACCACTGATTGGTCCATTTTACAGAACGCTGATTGGTCAATTTTACAGAGTGCTGATTGGTGCATTTACAATCCTTTAGCTAGACACTGAGCATTGATTGGTGCATTTACAATCCTTTAGCTAGACACAAAAGTTCTCCAAGTCCCCACCCAACCCAGAAGCTCAGCTGGCTTCACCTCTCAATAATGCTCACCAACTTGTTAACCATAACAAACCCACTGCATGTTACTAATAAGTAACACTGTCACAAAAAGTTATTTTACAAAACAAAACCAGTTGGGGAGAAGGATGGCACTGTTTTCCACCTTTGCTGGATTCCCCTATCTGCTCTGCACAGCCTTGGTGGAAGTGAGTGGAGATTCAGCCTCCCCCAGGTACGCGGCTGGACGAAGGAGTATTTGAGCAGCCTTTCTGATCATCGTGGTCTTCCTATTTGAACTACATGAACCCAGGCTGGGGGTGGTGAGCTAGCTACCTGGCGGAGCTGGACACTCATGAACCAGCCTTCTGCGCCTGGCTGCACTGAAGCCCACGGGCCCACCTCTCACTGTCAATGGATCTTCACCCACCTGGCAATGGTTCAACATCAGAACTTGGCCGTGTGGGAAAAGCTGGCTCACCAATAGAAGAGATCTGGGCACTGTCGGCATGTCTTCAGGCAGTATCACAAAACTGCGCTGCTAACGCCATCTCACGTGAAAAACCTCTGAACACCCATGTCTCAAAGTTAAGGGAAGCTATGAAGGTCTTGGTGGTGGTGGCAAGTGTCCAGAATTCTGCTATTCACTTGAAAATGTAAATTTCGCCAGCAACAAATAGTGTCATATGTTTTCCTTAAAGTGGCAGGCTGTGTTCAGGAGAATGAACAGCCACATACCAGTGGTCATTCTTCCAATCAAAAATGGGGCAGGAGGTTGGGAAGATGCCGCATTCTGTTGCTACTCTGGCCCTGGGGGAAGCGCTTCTTGCGGGGAAGCGGTGTGCCTTGGTCTGTGGCAGACACACATCAGTGTCCTTCCCATGTTTTCCGACCCAGAATATTCGAGGGGTGTGTACGCAAGGAGCAAGATTTAATGCAATTTGTCATTGCTTTTCTGCTTTGTCAAAGGCATTCTTCAGTGAGACAGGCATCCCCGCAAGTGCACACCGTGGTGAAGGAATACCATGCCCCCAAGCAGGCCGGGCACTGCTGCCCTGCACGCTGGGGGCTGGTGGTCTGCACGGCCCTGTCTTCATACCATCCACCAACATCAACACAAGGAGAAGGCTAACAGAGTCTCAGGGTTATCAAGAGAATCATTTTGACCCCACAGACTCCCTGAAAGGGTCTTGGACCCCCGGGGGTGCATAGACCACATTTTGAGACACACTGGTATAGACAGGGTGGACAGCAGGGGTGTGAGAGCTGCCCAGGCAGGTGTCACTCACGTGCACTATGGCTAGGATAGGACCCCTGACAGTGGCCCCTGCTGAGGCTCCCACAGAGACACTTCAGGCCAGTGCCAAAGGCCAAAGCAGGGCTGGCGTGGTACTGAAAACAGCCCGTCACCGTGGCACCCCCACAGGGCTGGGGTGGCACTGAAAACAGCCCGTCACCGTGGCACCCCCACAGGGCTGGCCATGGCGTGGAGCCACCGACACAGGGATGCTCACACATTCAGACACACATCTCCAGACACAACGCCTCCCACTGGCACAGGGAAGAGACGTGGGTCTGCTGAGCATAGGATTCAGCCCTGATGGTGGCCCTCCACCCCCACCAGCTGGTGCCAGGACCTACTCGATCATGGACAGCGCCATCCTCCGCATGGTCCCTTTGTCGAAGCTGCTGGTGCACGGTGAGGGCGAGGCCATCTTCAGCAAGCTGTGGGACTGGGCGCTTCTCTCCAGCATGGCCTGCGAGAGCTCGATGGAGAAGTCGCACACACACACGTTGGACTCAAATTTCGTCTCAGCACTGCACAGACTGCCCCGGTCTGTGTTTCCCAACACGTCCTCAAGCCCGCTTTCCACATGGCCAAGGCTGCCCTTCACCAACGGGGAGTCCCCCTTCAGAGAGCTGCTCCTGTGGTCTATGGACCCCCCACACTGCCCGGTGTCCTGGAAGTGGCCGCCCTCGTGGCTGCCTGAGACGCGTGGCAGGAGCAGTGGTGCTGGCGGTGGCCTCAGCTCATAGCTACCCTGGGAAGGCACGTTCACCTCATAGTACAGAGACTCCAGGTTTGTGTCCATAAATGATGATGAAAGGATTGGAACAACTGGGAATTTTGGAGGTTCCTTTGGAAAGAACCAAAAAAGTGTCATTAGAATAAATTGGAGTGATAACCTCATTCTAGGACCTTCTTCAGCAAGGACCAATGCCCGTGGCCTAGAGCTGTCTTCAAAGCAGCTAGGCTGAAAAGACCAGGGCAGCTTTCCCCAAACCCTCAAAGAGAAAAGAACACCCCTGTGAAGGCATCGGACAGAAGCCTGCACCTGACCAGGCCACACCTCAGGCTGCATGGCCCTATACATGGCTGCTAAGCTCACAAAATGTGGCCTGTCCGCACCCAGGTGCTTAGAAGTGAAGGAGAGGTTGGAAAACGAAGGCAAATGCCTTAATGATGCTGCTTATATTGATCACACACCAAAATGATAGGATTTTTAATACATTAGGCTAAATTAAATATATTATTAAAATTAATTCCACCTGTTTTACTTTTTCATGTGGCTACCTCCCAAATTTTAATTACACGTTTTATTTCTGTCACATGGCACTGCCCTGGATCTGTTTGTGTTTTGAGCCATGGTTCCCAAAGTGTGGTCCCTGGACCAGTGGCATCAGTGAAACCAGCCCAAGAGTCCCACAGACAGTTGTTTTTGGATAAACATAGAAATCGACTCTTCTGTTAAAGCTTGAAAACTGTATTTGTTTTATCTGAGTTCCTTCCTCAGGAAAGGACCTTCAGGAAGCACCAGACAACTGCAAGCCACAAGATCACCACACCAGATGCCTCCTTGCCTTGTCCTAGTTCCTGTTTTCTTACACATTGTTACATTTCTTTCCTGCTACATAAACTCCCAGTGTTAGTCAGTCAGGGAGATGGACTTGAGACTGAGCTTCCAGCTCCTCAGCTGCAGCACCCGATTAAAGCCTTCTTCCTTGGCAATACTTGGCATCTCAGTGATTGGCTTTCTGTGTGGTGAGCAGCAGGACTGAGACCGAACCCCTGGTGTTTCAATAACATCGGTACTGCCAGGAAACGGTTAGGCATGCAGATTCTCAGCCCCACCTTGGGGGCATTGTCATGGATGCCCACTCTCCCTCCACAGCACCCCTTTCCTGCACAGTGCTGGCAGGGCAGGTCTCGGGGCCCCAGGCTGCTATGCAGGAGATGAGTAAAGAACACACATACCTTGGCATCTGCTCAGGGTCCCTTAGGGGATGCCCAGGCTCTGTCTCTCTTGCCCACTCCCTGCCTTATAACTCACCCTGTACAAGCCTGGTCCACACAGGAGGGAGGAGGCTTGGTGGACATTTACAGAGACAGAGAAGACTACAGGAGACAGTTGGTGGTGCAGTGGCCACCGGGGGGCTTACCTGGGGCTCAGGTATGGTCCGTTCAGCAACATTGGGCTTGAAGGACTGGGCGGGGTAGTGGAGGAGGAAACACATGCTGAGTGCCGTGAGACCCTCATCTGAGCACTTGTTCACGTCGGCCCCACAGTCCAGGAGAAGGTTGACAATGTCGTTGTGGCAGTGAGTCTGGAGGGAGATGAGGCAGGACTCAGGATGATGCACCTGGCCCTCAGGGGTGGGAAGGGTCACTGGGTGTCCTGATGCCCTCATGAGGCCACCCTATGGCAGGGCAGGAACCAGTGCTCATTCGGGAGCTTGGCAAAGGGACAAGTGTGGGACAGAGGAATGGAACAGGCACTCTGCCCCAAACCCTTCTGCACTGGACCACGAGTGTCACACTCAGCTGAGTGGGTTTCTGCTGAACGGCGAGGTGGAGGTGTGGACAATCAGTGTCCCCATGTACCTCAGCTCTGCTCCTGCAGAGGGGGCCACAGAGGGCCACCCACATGTGTGACCCTCACAGCTAAGCTCCTGCGGGCACCAGCTGGGAGGGTGTGGGGCTTACAGCAGCCGCAGCAAGCACAGTGTAGCCCTTTGCGTCCGCCACGTCAGCACTAGCAAAGTTGTCCTTCAGGATCCTACAAATCCATTCGTGGTTCCCTTCCTCAGCCTTTAGGATCATCTCCATGGAAAGTTGCTCTTTGGGCCCACAGGGTGCAAAGCCACTGCGCTTCCCCTCCAGGATGGCGCCCATGTTCCAGCTGGTGTGAGCTGGCTTGTTCCTGGCAACACAACAAGTTTCAGTGGTCCTAGACCAGGTTCTGCACCTCCCACGAGAAAGGGTCCAGCTGGACCACCTCCCTCCAATGCCTCTCCCTCTTGTGGCTCAGCCCCCCACTGTTCACTCCTCAGGTACCCTGAGTGCTGGCAGCTGCACCCGCAGCTGCTCACAATCCACTAGGTTGCACACGGTGGTGCAGACATGCCACCTGGAGGTCAAGATGCTTGGGCTATATGTCTGTCCCGACAGGAATGTGCTGGCTGCGAGTACATCCATGCATCTCTGATTCATCTGGGTGTTTGCTAAGAAATGGGCTGTAACAGCAAAGGCCCTGGGTAGGATGGAGACCAACATACATGTGGTTCCAGTCTCAGCACCAACACCCACATTCCACCCTCTGCTCATCCATTTTTGTCTGAGTAGACAACATGCATTATCTCATGGCTTACTCATCACACAACACTGATGCCTCCTGGTGTGTACACAACCCCTTTTCACAATCGAGAACCTGTGCATTATAGATGCTTCTGTACCTAACAGTCTTCAACAATTACAAGCCCAGTTGATGTCTGCATGATGGATGGATGGATGGTTGGGTAGGTGGATGTATGTTGCATGAGTGAATTGATGGATGAATGGATGGGTGGGTGGATGAATGGATGGGTGGGTGGGAAGATGGATGGATGGGTGGGTGGATGAATAGATGGATAAGTGGGTGGGTAGATGAATAGATGGATAAGTGGGTGGGTGGATGAATGGGTGCCGCATTGGTGGATTGATGGATGAATGGATGGGTGGGTGGATGGATGAAAGATGCATGAATAGATTGATAGATGGATAGATGGGTAGGTGAGTGGATGACTGGGTAGGTAGGTGGGTAGATGAATGGATGGTTGGATGAATGGATGGTTGGATGAATGGATGTTGCATGGGTAGACTGATGGATGAATGGATGGGTGGGTGGGTAGGTAGATGAATGAGTAGGTAGATGGGTAGATGAATGGATGGCTGGATGAATGGATGTTCCATGGGTGGACTGATGGATGAAGGGGTTGGTGGGTGGATCAATGTTGCGTGAGTATACTGATGGATGAATGGATGGAAAGGTGGGTGAGTGGGTGAATTAATGGGTAGGTGGGTGGGTAGATGAGTGGATGGCTGGATAAATGGATGTTAAGTGGGTGGACTGATGAATGACTGGACGGGTGGGTGGGTGGACAAATGGGTAGGTGGGTAGGTAGATGAATGGATGGCTGCATGAATGGATATTGCATGCATGAATTGATGGATGAATGGATGGCTGGATGGGTAGATGAATAGGTAGGTGTGTGGGTAGATGAACAGATGCCTGAAAGAATGGATGTTGCATGGGTGTGCTGATGGATGAATGGATGGTAGGTGGGTGGGTGATTGGGTGGGTGGATGGATTGATGAATGAAAAAGCAGCCACTTATTCTCAGAAAATATGCATTCTGAAACAGTTTAGTGACATCTGAGGTCAATATTTAGGAAAGGAATTAAAGTGTTCTTGAATATTTTAACTTTTAAAAATTAAACACTTCAACCGGGCACGGTGGCTCACGCCTATAATCCCAAAACTTTGGGAGGCTGAGGCGGGTGGATCATGAGGTCAGGAGTTCAAGACCAGCCTGGCCAATATGGTGAAACCCCGTCTCTACTAAAAATACAAAAATTAGCTGGGCGTGGTGGCAGGCACCTGTAATCCCAGCTACTCGGGAGGCTGAGGCAAAGAACTGCTTGAACCCAGGAGGCGGAGGTTGCAGTGAGCCAAGATCACGCCACGGCACTCCAGCCTCGGTGACAGAGTGAGACTCTGTGCCTGCCCCCACCCCCCCCCCAAAAAAATTAAACACTTCTCCTTAGGTAGTGGCTGACTTTTCTGGAGCTCTGGGTAGGGTAGGAGGGTTTTTGGAAGACCAACAGAGCAGAGCATCTTTTCACGCCATCCTTGGACAAGTCAAAGGCCTGCCTGGGCCCCAACACCACTACTGCCCTGTGCTCCCACCCTTAGCTCTCATGCAGATCCCTTACCACCATATAACAGTAACAACAAACCCTGCTCTCCATGTCAACCGAGAGGAGACTTGGCCCATAGAACACCTAGGCGCTGATGCAACGGTGGGGGCAGGGCACTAGCTATGGCCTGCACAAGGGGAAACGCACAGGGCCCAGGGCCAGGACTCACCATTAGCTCCACGGGCTCAGGAGATTCTCCCCAGCCACATCCCCCCACCAGGTTCTACACCAGCCTCGGGACTCCCCTGGCTGCATGTTCACCAAACCACCTTCTGATCACTCCTGTCCCCAAGAGTGGGCAGGTGGGATCCTGAGACCCTCATTCCCCTGCACAGACGTCCAGGGCCCCAGGACCCGGCCTGCCTCCCAGCTCGAGTCAGCAGGGGCTTTCCCTCCCTTCATTATCGCCCACATCAGTCACTTAATGGGAGGAGTGTGTTTAGGTCACCCTGAGGGAGCACTGTCAGTGGCAGCTGGCCGGGGACCTCAGGAACCTGCCTAGGGCAGCCTGCACAGTGCACGGCCCTAGGGGAGGAGCAGTAGCAGACTAGTCACCTGAACTTGTAAGTTTGCTTCTGGATTTTGACCAACAAAGGGGTCTCATTGATTATGAACCATGGTTCTCCATCCTCAACGAACGGAGGAATTTCATTGAGGAAGATGCGGGCGTCCAGCTCTTTGCGGAAAGAGCTTGTCATGGGCAGGTGGTCACTGTTGGTCGAGTAGACATACATTTCTGGAGGCAGCGTTAGGTTGTCATTCAGAAGAAACCGCTTATAGTCATAGAAAAAGGGATCCTGTCCCTCCTGCAGTCCCCACTCCGTTTTCTCCTCTTCTGAGAGGCTGATCCTGGCAGGGCTGTGGGTGATGAAGCTGGAGAACTCAGGGTATCTGAGGAGGGAGAAGCCACTGGGGATCTGGGTGCACAGCTTGATGAGCTGCTCTCGGAACCACAGCCCCACGTCCTGGCTGCCATCGGGGTAGGTCTCGACACCTGGCCCAAACCGCTGGTCCGCTTTGTATAGCCCCTGCCAAGGAAGCGCAATAGACCGAGGAGAGATAACGCGACCCAGCTGCACATGTGATCATGTTTGTAACGTCAAAAGAAATCCCAAAAAAGAAAACTTTCCCAAGAAATGCATGCATTCAGCCAGTAAACATCTCTGGAGGCTTAGGCTGTGCCGCCCAGGGACCGAGGCGGACCAGCTCTCCCGAGGAACAGGAAGGAGGGCACTCCAGAGAGTGCATGGAGGGGCAAGGGGGCAGCCAGGGAGGTCTCAGTGGCCTCTGAGGTGAGGACATGATGGAAGTCTCATGGTGAAAGCGTGTCAGAGGTACCAGGTCTGGGTTCAATTAGGGAACCCAGCCCAAACACCCCAACAGGCTGGGGCAGCAGTGGGTGGGGAGGAAGTATGCAGGCAGCAGGTCAGGTATGACCCAACAAGGGGCAGGAGAAGGAGGAGGAGATAGAGGAAAGGAAGAGGAGGAGGAGGAAGAGGAAGGAGGGAAGAGCAGGAGAGGAGGCCAAAGGGAGGAGGGGAGGAGCAAAGGGAAGGAGAAAGAGGGGGACAGAGGAAGAAGGGGAGCCAATCCTTGCTTCCAGGAACCCAGCAGCTCCCACGCCTTTGCCTGTAGGCAGTGGAGGCCACAGTGCAAGAGAGGAAGAAAGCATCCAGGAGGGCCTCACAAAACAACCAGTGAGCGGCCACTGCCAGGTGCCCAGGGGAGGGAGCACAGTCAGGGGCCTGCTGCCCAGGGGAGGCGCATCTTCCTGAGATGGCATTGTCCCCACCCAAATCCCAACCCACCCAAATCCCATGTCAAATTGTACTCCCCAGTGTTGCAGTGGGGCCTGGTGGGAGGTGACTGGGTCACAGGGGTGTGTCCTTCATGAACGGTTCAGCACCGTGCCCTTGGTGCTGCCCTCCTGATAGGGCATTCTCACGAGATCTGCTTGTTTAAAAGCATGTGGCACCTCCTCCCCCACTTGCTCCTGCTCCCACCACATGATGTGCCTGCTCCCCGTTCACCTTCCAACATGACCGGAAGCTTCTTGAGGCTGTCCCAGCCATGCTTCCTGTACAACCTGCAGAACCATGAGCCAATCACACCTCTTTTCTTTATAAATTACCCAGCCTCAGGTATTTCTTTGCGGCAACGTGAGAATGGCCTAATACACCACCCATGCTACACACCCGCCTGAGCA
Organism: Homo sapiens; assembly: GCF_000001405.40. Classification (NCBI taxonomy): domain Eukaryota; kingdom Metazoa; phylum Chordata; class Mammalia; order Primates; family Hominidae; genus Homo; species Homo sapiens. The sequence goes on from NC_000002.12 coordinate 240,530,688, forward strand.
TCCAAAAAGAGAAACTAACACTCTGATCGCCATTGAAGGGTGTCAGGAGACCCAATCTCCACAAAAAAATTTACAAATTGTGCTGGTGTGATGACGCACACCTGTAAGCCCAGCTACTCAGAGGCTGAGTTGGAAGGCTCGCTTGAGACCAGAAGTTCAAGGCTGCAGTGAGCTATGATCACACCACTGCACTCCAGCCTGGGCAACAGAGTGAGACCCTGTCTCAATAAATACATAAATAGAATAATAAAATAAAGTAAAAAAAAAAAAGTCATTGTTAAGAAAAGTGAAAAGGTAAGCCACTACTGGGATAAAATATTTATAAGTATCAGAATATATATAAAGAACTCTGTAAGTCCATAAGAACATAAATAACCCAATTAATAATCAGTAAAACAAATAAACACTTCACCATAGAAGATATGTAGATAACAAATAAGAATATGAAAAAATGTCCAACATCATTAGTCACTGGAGCACTAAAAATTCAAACCATAATAACATACCACATACACCCATGAGAATGGCTAAAATAAAAAGACTGGCAATACCAAGTGTCGACAAGGATGTGAAACAAGTGGAACTTTCGTATCTTGATGACTAAATGCAAAACGGCACAGTCGCTTTGAATGACAGTTTGGCCATTTCTTATAAAATGTACCATACACTTACTGTTTTGACCAGCAACCCCACTCTTGGGTATTTATCCAAGTGAAAACAAAGATATATGTCCACTTCCAATCAACCGTTCTGGGCAGCTTTATTCATAGAAACCAAAAATTTGGAAGAAGTCAAATATGCATTTATTGGTGAACCAATAAAAATTTTGTGTTATATCCATGCAATGGAATACTACCCCATAATTTTTTTAAATTGACTGAAATATGTAAAACATGTATGAGTCTCAAAAGAATCATGCCGTAAGCAAAAGAAATCAAACATAAAATACTACACCCGGTAAAATTGTATGTATATAAAATTATAGAAACAGGGAAACTACAATGACAAAAAGCAGATTAGTAGTTGTCAATGGCTAGAGGGTGGAGGTAGGGGTTTACTATAAAGGAGCTGGAAAAAATTCTGGGGGATGATAGAAATATTCTAAATCATGATCAAGGTGGTAGTGAAATGACTATATGCATTTGCTCAAAATTCACTGAGTTGGTTACTTAAAATCAGTAAATCATGTTGCATGCAAATTTTATCTCAATAAAACTGACTAAAAAATGGAAAAAATACTAAGAAAATAATTTTAGTGGAAGAATAGCATGTTCAATATATAAAAATGGAAGACACAGAAATGAGACATAGAGGGTATTGTGAGTAGGTCTAACATACCTGCAATTCGAGTACCAGAGAGAGAGGAGAGAGAATGAGGCACAGGCAATATTTGAAGAAATAACAGTTGAGAATTTTCCAGATCCACAAATGGAAACATCACATTGAAACTGTAGAAAACCAAAGAAAGACAAAACCTCAAAGCAGCCAAAGAAGAGACAGAATATATTCAAAAGAGCAATAGGCTGACAGCTGACTTCTCAACAGCAAAGATGGAAGCCAGGAAACAATGGAGTAGAATCTTCACTGTGCTCAAGAAAATAACTGTCAACCTAGAACTCTGTCCTGTGGGGATATTCTTCAAGAACTGAGGCAAAAACAACTGATTCTCAGACAAGCAAAAACTGACAGAATACCATCTTCAAATACACATTCAAATTCTAAGGGTATTCTTCAGGCAGAAAGAAAGTGACACTTTGGGGAAGGCAATTGTACAAAAAAAGTAATTAATTAAATTCAGGGAGAGTGACTCTTGATAAAAGACCAGAAACACAAGAAGGAGTAAGGGCAGAGAAGGTGACAATACCTGGGTAAGTCTAAAAATGCTGACTATAATAAGTTCTCAGAGAGACTAGATAGATAGACATAGATATAAAGCCACTCTTATTAGGGGTATGACTAACATGTAAAAAGCTGCACATACATGTATACACTTGATGAGTTTAGGAGTAAGTTTACAGCCATGAATCCATCACCACCATGAAGGCCACAGAAATATCCATCACCACCCAAAGTTTCCTCCAATCCCCCCTATATATGTCCTCAAATTCCTGGGCTCAAGCGAGCCTCCCACCTCAGACTCCTGAGTAGCTAGGACTACAGGTGCACGCCATCATGCCCAACTAATTTTTCTTATTTTTATTTTGTAGAGATGAGGTCTCACTATTGCTCAGGCTGGTCTTGAACCCCTGGCCTCAAGCGATCCTCCTGCCTTGGCCTTCCAAAGTATTAGGATTACAGGCATGGGCCCCCACACCTGGGCCCCTTATATATTTTTAATGGATCCCAGTAGCAGCATAGAATTCAAAAAGGGATAAATGGAGTTAAAAAATAGTCTAAGTTTCATACATTTTCCTGGAAAATTAAACGTATCTATAAATACTAGAATTAGTGTATCAAGAATGCATGCTGTAATTTTTAGGGTGTTGCTAAAATAATAGAAAAAGAGTGTATAACTTTGAAACTGATAATGTGAAAACAAGATTTTTTTTAAAATACCATATCGACCCAAATGAAGATGAGAAAAAAGAGAAGAAATGTATAACAGGTGGAACAAAGAAAAACTGCATAATAAGATAGCAGACGTAAAGCAAGTATATTACTATGAGATGTACATGGTCTAAAATCAGAGTTGTACAAAAGAAAAATCATGAGCTAAGTATATAATTTAAAATTTTTACACAGTAAGTAAATGGAAGCTGGTAGAATTATTTTTTAAAAATATTTTTATTTAACTCAATCTTTCTAAAATATCATTTCAACATATATTTAATATTCAAAATTGTTGATGTATCTTACATTCTTTTTTCTTAATAATTCTTCAAGATCTGGTGTGTGGTTCACATTCACAGCACCCCTGAACTTGGCCCAGCCACATTTCAAGTGCTCAGGAGACATGCATGGCTAGTGGCCACCACGTTGGACAATGCAGGTCTAAATGACCAGTGACAATTATTGGGCTGGATTTCAATAAACACACACACACACACACACACACACACACACACACACTTTTTTTAGGTAGAGTGATGCGTCATGAAAAAAATACAAAAAATGTAAAATGAAGAAATATCTAAAACATAATGAAACAGAAAGGTTGAAAGTAAAGTTACAGAGAAAGACGCATCACAGGAAAAATACTGGAGTCCTTCCGTATCTGCAGTTTTGCTTTCCACAGTTTCAGTTACTCATGGTCAACCATACTCCAAAAATAATAAATGGAAAATTCCAGAAATGAACAATTCATAAGTTTTAAATTACATGCCATTCTGCGTATTGAGATGAAATCTCACAGCATCCTGCCTAGTCCTGCCTGAGATGTGAATTGTGCCTTTATCCAGCTTCTCCATACTCCACACACTGTCCACCCACTCGTCACTTAAACCTAGTATATATAAGGCTTGATGCTATCCACAGTTTCAGGCATCCACTGGAGCTTATCCACAGTTTGGGGCATCCACTGGGGCTCTTGACATGCATCCTCGCCTAGAAGGCAGGACTTGACTCCTGTAATCCCAGAAAGCTAATGTAGCCTTGTTAATATCTACAAATTAGACTTTGGGTCATAAAGCATGACAAGAGATTTTTTTAGTGGCTCATGCCTGCAATCCTAAACCTTTGGGAGGCTGAGGCAGGAGGAACACTTGAGCCCGGGAGTTTGAGACCAGCCTGGGCAACATAGTGAGAACTCTACAAAACATAAAAGAATTAACCCAGCATGGTGATGCATGCCTGTAGTCCCAGCTCCTAGGGAGGCTGAGGTGGGAGGATCACCTGAGCCCAGGAGGTCAATGCTGCAGCGAGCCGTGGTCACACCACTGCACCCCAGCCTGGGCAACACAGCAAGACCCTGTGTCAAAGATGATCACTTCATCATAATAATAGATTCAACCTACAGGGAGATATACTAATTCAAAAGTTTGACTCTTCTAACAATATGGTCTCAAAATAAATAAAGCAAAATTTGACAGAATTATAAGAATAATAAATCCACAATCACAGTGAGAGATTCTAACATACCTTTCTCAGTCATCAATGGAATGAGCAGTCAAAAAAAGCATATCGGATTTAGACAAGATGGGGCATGGTGGCTCACACCAATAATCCCAGCACTTTCGGAGGCTGAGGTGTGAGGATCACTTGAGCCCAGGAGTTCAAAACCAACCAGGGCAACATAGCAAGACCCCATCTCTACAAAAATAAAATTATCAGGGTGTGATGGTGCATGCCTATGGTCCCAGCTACTCAGGAGGCTGAGGCAAAGGATTGCTTGAGCCTGGGAGGTCAAGGCTGCAGTAAGCTGTGTCGATGAAAAAAGTCAAACTGTGTGAAATGTTTTAAGAGATTTATTCTGAGCCAAATGTGAGTGACCATGGCCCATGACACAGCCCTCAGGAGGTCCTCAGAACATGTGCCCAAGGTGGTTGGGGTACAGCTTGGTTTTATATGTTTTAGGGAGGCATGAGACATCAAACAAATACATTTAGGAAATACATTGGTTTAGTTCAGAAAGGTGGAACAAATCAAAGTGGGGGCTTTCAGGCTGCAGGTAAATTTAAATATTTTCTGGTTGACAATTGGTTGAGTTTATCTGAACCCAGTTTACTTGGGATCAATGGAAAGGAATGTTCAGGTTAAGATAAAGAACCAAGTTTTATTGTTCAGAGAGAGAGCAGGTTGTAAAATGTTTCTTACGGGACCTAAAAGGGTGCCTGGCTCTTAGGTGATTATCTCCTGCATCTGGAAAGAAAGGAAGGAAAACAAAGGGGAAAGGGGATTCTCTAGAGAACGTGGATTTTTCCCACAAGAGACTTTGCAGGGCAATTTCAAGGTATGACAAGGAAATGTATTTTGAGGATAAATATTCTTTTCTTGTCACATAATGTTATACCAGAGTCAGATTGAAAGTAAGTCATGATATATAGGGTCAAACAAAACCCATCTGGTAAGAATTTATGGTTTGTAGGACATGACTCCCTAGACCCCTTAGGTAGGAATTTGGGCAAGATTTTTAAAAAATCAGAGTTTAGTCCTCAGCTGTGATCATGCCACTGCACTCCAGCCTGGGTGACAGAGCAAGACCCTGCCCCCCAACCCCACCACACCCCCCTAAATAGTAAAGACTAACACAAATAGTAAAAGTGACCCAAGCACATATAAAGACTATGCTCACTAACTGCAAAATGCATATTCTTTTCATAAATACAAAAACATTTAAAAAGTTGGCCAAAGTCTGGGTCATAAAGCAAGTCTCTAAGTTTCAAAGAACTGCAACCATACAAGGCACACAAGAATGCAGAAAATCAATAACAAAAAACTATCTAGAGCCTGAACACTAAGCAATACTCCTATAAGATAAACCATGGGTCGAGAGGAAATCACAACAGAAATGAGAACATATTTTGAACTGAATGAAAATAATATAACCAAATTTTGGATTACAGAGCCATGCTTAGAAAGAATATATATCATTAAATATGTACATCAGGTAAGAAGAAAACTAGAATATCAATAAGTGAGAAAAGAAAAGAAAATTCTTTTTTTTTCTTTTGGAAAAAATCGATGAACTGGATAAGAAAATAGAATCAAATGGCATGCTCAACTGAGCTGAAGGCTGTTTCTTTGGGGAAAATGAATAAAATTGACACCTCCCTGGCAAGACTAGCCAGAGGAAAAACGGAGGGCACAGAAACATGAAAAGGGGCACAGCAGCGCCACTCATTTAGGGAAAGGCCATTTCAGGCCACAGTGCAATGCCACTGCATGACTACTAGAGAGGCTAAAACTAAAGTAACAGTGACAAGACCAGGTGGTAATAAGAATTCAGAGATTCAAACCCTTGAAGCAACAGAGCAAGACCCTGTCTCTAAAAACAAACAAAAAACAATTGAGCAGTAACATAAGATGTATCGCATTGCCTTTCTCTTCTCTACAAGAAAATATTACATATGAAGAGGCAGCTAAAGATTAGACAGTCAAAAAATATACAAGAAGTCTTATAGAGGTGGATCAGGCAGTTAATAAAAAGACTATGCTTTTTCCCTGGATTCTATAATATTTATTGAATGCAGCCACTTTCTTAAATGTATAATTTATTGTAATTTTTTCTCATGCTAAATATTCATTTTGATTTTTTAAAATTATTTTTCTTTTTAAAATAAATAGAGAGAGGGTCTCACTATGTTGCCCAGGCTAGTTTCAAACTCCTGAGCTCAAGCAATCCTCTTGCTTCAGCCTCCCAAAGTGCTGGGATCACAGTCGTGAGCCACCGTACCCATCCAAATATTCACTTTCAACGAAAAAGAAAAAAAGAAGAAAAAGAAAAGAAAAAAACAGCACAGCAAGAAAAACTGTATCTCACAGCAGCCTGAGGAATGTGAGGTTGGCTAAAGTGATGAGGCCCAGAGAGACCAGCAAGAGACTTCAGTCAGGCCCCCACCCTCACCTGCAGCCAGGCCCAGGGTAATTGTTTCAAGGCCTTTTGTTTTTCCTTTCTTTACCTATAGTTTCCAGATTTGCTGATAAGTTACCCAAAATGTTATCATAAGTTCCATAATGTGACCCTCGCCTATTGTCTTCATGTTCGTAGGATTTCCGATACAAAAAACAATATCCAGTCAATAGCTCCTGTGATTTTAATGTAAATTCTTGGTAAATAACTTAAGAATTTCCCCTTTTCCTTTAAAACCTCACTTGTAACTGCTGCTAATTGGAGCGTCTATTCAGGGCAACTTGAATGTATTTCTCTCTGGCTGCAGTCCTCAAACCTTGCAGTCCTCAAAACTCTACTTACATTAAATTTTGCCTCAGTCTCTTCCTTTAGGGTGACAACAACCATTTGGTTAAGCAGTCACCACATGACCCCACAGTCCCACTCCCAAGTATCTTCCCAAGCGACACGGAGGCCCGTGTTTCATGTTGACATGTACAAAACAACGAAGTGTGCATGTCTATAATGGTGTCAAATCAAGTGTAGCCTCAAGCTGCCTCCTTACCTGTTTCAGTTTGGCCTAAAGGTTCTTCTGCACGCTGTAAACCACAACAAGTGGAGGTGTAAACTGGTCATAGCCCACACCTGCGCCAATCGCTGAGTTTTGGCCAATCAAATGTAGCCACTGTTCAAACCATGTTCAAATAAGGCAAACACTGAGCTGCAACCAATCCAGCTGCTTCTGTACCTCGCTTCTCTTTTCTGTATTTCACCTTCCTTTTGCTGTCCATACATTGTCTTCCACCACGTGGCTGCGCTGGAGTCTCTCTGAATCTGCTGTGATTCTGGGGGCTGCCTGATTCATCAATCGTTCATTGCTCAATTAAACTCCTTTAAATTTAATTTGGCTTAAGTTTTTCTTTTAACAATGGTGAGAGGTGACAACGTGCTAGCAGCCCTCGCTCACTCTCGGCGCCTCCTCTGACTCCGCGTCCGCTCCCGCCGCGCTTGAGGGGCCTTTCAGCCTGCTGCTGCGCTGTGGGGGCCCCTCTCTGGGGCTGGCCGAGGCCGGAGCCGGCTCCCTCTGCTTGCAGGGAGGTGTGGAGGGAGAGGCGCAGGCGGGAAATGGGGCTGCGAGCGGCGCTCAGGGGCCAGCGCGAGTTCTGGGTGGGCGTGGGCTCGGGGGGCCCACACTCAGAGCCACCAGCCGGTGCCACTTGCCCCGGGCAGTGAGGGGCTTAGCACCTGGGCCAGAAGCTGCGGAGGGTGCGCCAGGTCCCTCAGCACTGCCAGCCCGCCAGCGCTGCACTCAAATTCTCGTGGGGACTCAGCTGCCTCCCCACGGGGCAGGGCTCGGGACCTGCAGCGTGCCATGCCCGAGCGCCCCCACCTCCTGCACTGCCCCAGCCTCCCCGACAGGCGCCGCCCCCTGCTCCACAGCTCCCCAGTCCCATCCACCACCCAAGGGCTGAGGAGTATGGGCGTGCAGTGAGGCACTGACGGGCACCTCCCCCAGTGGCCCTGGCGTGCGATCCACTAGGCAAAGCCAGCTGAGCTCCTGAATCTAGTGGGGTCTTGGAGAACTTTTGTGTCTAGCTAAAGGATTGTAAATGCACCAGTCAGCACTCTGTGTCTAGCTCAAGGTTTGTAAGTGCACCAATCAGCACTCTGTGTCTAGCTTGGGGTTTGTGGATGCACCAATCAGTACTCTGTATCTAGCTAATCTGGTGGGGACTTGGAGAACTTTTATGTCTAGCTAGAGGATTGTAAATGCACCAATCAGCACTCTGTGTCTTGCTCAGGGATTGTAAACGCACCAATCAGCACTTTGTCAAAATGGACCGATCAGCTCTCTGTAAAATGGACCAATCAGCAGGATGTGGGTGGGGTCAGATAAGGGAATAAACGCAGGCTGCCTGAGGCAGCCAGTGGCAACCCACTGGGGTCCCCTTCCACACTGTGAAAGCTTTGTTCTTTCGCTCTTTGCAATACATCTTTCTGCTGCTCACTCTTTGGGTCCGCACTGCGTTTATGAGCTGTTAACACTCACCGCAAAGGTCTGCAGCTTCACTCCTGAGGCCAGCGAGACCACAAACCCACTGGGAGGAACGAACAACTCTGGACCAGAGGAACGAACAACTCCGGACCGGAGGAACGAGCAACTCCAGACGCACCACCTTAAGAGCTGTAACACTCACCGTGAAGGTCTGCAGCTTCACTCCTGAAGCCAGCGAGACCATGAACCCGCCAGAAGGAAGAAACTATGAACACGTCCAAACATCAGAAGGAACAAACTCCCGACACACCATCTTTAAGAACCGTAACACTCACCACGAGGAGTCCGCGGCTTCATTCTTGAAGTCAGTGAGACCAAGAACCCACCAATTCCGGACACAATAGGATTATTCATAATTGCCAAACACTGGAAACAACTCAAATGTCCTTCATCAGGGGAATAAACTATGGTAGCTCCACACAATGAAAATGTATTAAGCAATAAAAAGGAACCAACTCCTGGAACAAACAGATGAATCTCAGATGCATGATGCTAAGTGTCAGATGCCAGACTCAAAAGGCTGCACATTGTGTGATTTCATTGTAAACTAAAAGTAAGATCCTAATCCCTCTGAACAGACTGAATGGACCCCTCCTGGCCAAGAGGACCCCAGAAAAACCGGAAAAACTGTGTGCTTAGCCATAGCAGGAAGGGAAGTCAGACATACCTTGCTATACCCCCTCCCTTTTGGAGTTTAGACACAACTGACCAGCACTAATGTTAAAATAGAGACCAGAAGGCTGACAAAACAGACTCTCTATAGCAATAAGATACCCAGTTATAAACAGGACCTAAAGCCATGCATGGCAAGGCCACACCTGCAGGCCATCAATCTTGCTATGTAGCATCCTTAACTTAAAACATTCCTTTGTGCTGACTCCAAGTGTTAGAGCCTTTAACCAACTGTAAATTACAGAGTCCCTGAATCCACCTATAACCTGTAAGCCTCCTCTTCCAGACATCCCACCTTTTTGGACCTAACCAATGTGTGTTTTCCATGTATTGATTTAGGTCTTTGCTGTAGTTCTTGTCTCCCTTAAACACATAAGACTGATCTGACTGCCTCAGGCACACTTTCTCAGGACTCCCTGAGATTGTGTTTCCCTGAGCCATGGTCATGAAACCGACCCAACAGCCCCATAGACAGTTTTTAGGATAAACACAGAAATTGACCCTTCTGGTCTTAAAGCTTGAAACTTTGTTTTATGTGCTTCTTTCCTCAGGAAAGGAAGCCCAGGTCTCTCAAAAAGTGTCAAAGAACTGAAACTCACCAGATCACTGCATCCAATGAGACTCCAGGCCCCTCATTCACCATGATTGCTTCCTTACCCCTCCTGAGTTCCTGTTTTCTTACCCATTGTTACATTTCTTCCCTGCTATCTAAACCCTTAGATCTAGTCAGTCATGGAAATGGATTTGAGACTGAGCCCCAGTCTCCTCCGCTGCAGCACCTGATTAAAGCCTTCTTCTTTTGCAATACTCCTGGTCTCAGTGACTGGCTTTCTGAAGGGTGAGCAGCAGGACCTAGACTGAACCCGTGATGTTTCAATAACAGATTTTGGTTCCCTGACAAGGAACGCATTGCTCGTGCATCAGCATTGCTGAAGGCCTGAAGTCTCAGAAGCCCTCCTAAACAGCTGCCAGCCCAATTTTGGCTGGAGGTGAGAGTCTCCGTCTCTCTCTGCCAGCCCCAGAAGCGTTCCTGATTGCCTCAGAAGCACTGTCTTTGAAATTTGACATCTGCATCAAGATAGGTGAGTGTCCTTTGTGGGCCCAAACAGCAGGATCTGCTCCTCTCAATTTGGGAAATTTTTAAAGGAAATTCCATTTGCAGGTTCAACAAGCCCAACTGACTAAGAGAGGAAAGCACCCCAACTGTTTCAGTATGGACACTCCTGAGGGCTTGTTTGTAACTGTGTGTTGTGTGTGTGCCTGGGAAAGTGAGTATCTTTTGTGAGTGCCAGACAGTAGGATCGGCTCTTCTTAATTTGGGAAATTCCAAAGGAATTGTTGTTTGCAGGGTGACCAAGCCCAATCCATGAAGAGAGGAAGCACTCCAACTGTTTCAGTTGGGACACTCTTGGGGCTTCTTTCTTGCTGCAGCAGTTGGATTGTGTTTTGGTGATTGTTTGTGTGTGTGTCGTGGGAAATTAAGCTTCAGTAAACTGATATTCTTTTGTAATACTTTTTGGCCCCAATATTCTTTGGAATTCAGAGTTTGCTGTTCAATGGGAAAGCAAGATTGAGTTCCATGTGGCTTTTATGTTGTTGCTTTTTTTTTTTTTTTTTTTTGAGACGGAGTCTCACTCTCGCCCAGGCTGGAGTGCAATGGCGCCATCTCAACTCACTGCAAGCTCCGCCTCCCAGGTTCATGCCATTCTCCTGCCTCAGCCTCCAGAGTAGCTGGGACTACAGGTCTGTGCCATCACACCTGGCTAATTTTTTGTATTTTTAGTAGAGACGGGGTTTCACCATGTTAGCCAGGATGATCTTGATCTCCTGACCTCGTGATCCACCTGCCTCGGCCTTCCAAAGCACTGGGATTACAGGCGTGAGCCACCACGCTGGGCGTATGTTGCTGTTTTAAGCAGGGTTGGGCCAGATTAGTCTGTTTCAGGTGATGTTCTTCTGGGGTGCTGTTTGGCCCAAGTGCTCTTTGGGGTCTGGGGAGGTTTGGCCTTTAAAAATCAAACTGCTGGCCAGGCACAGTGGCTCACGCCTGTAATCCCAGCACCTTGAGAGGCCAAGGTGGGCAGATCACCTGAGGTCAGGAGTTTGAGACCAGCCTGGCCAACATGGTGAAACCCCAACTACTAAAAATACAAAAATTAGCTGGGCGTAGTGGCGTTCGCCTGTAATCCCAGCTACTCAGGAGGCTGAGGCAGGAGAATTGCTGGAACCCAGGGGGCAGAGGCTGCAGTGAGCCAAGATTGTACCACTGCACTCTAGCCTGGGTGACAGCAAGACTCCATCTCAGAAAAAAAAAAAAAAAAAGGGCCAGGCATAGTGGCTCATGCCTGTAATCTCAGCACTTTGGGAAGTCAGGGCAGGTGGGTTACAAGGTCAGAGTTCAAGACTAGCCTGGCCAAGATGGCAAAACCCCATCTCTACTAAAAATACAAAAATTAGCCGGGTGTGGTGGCAGGCGCCTGTAATCCCAGCTACTCTGGAGGCCGAGGCAGAGAATCACTTGAACCTGGGAGGTGGAGGTTGCAGTGAGCTGATACCGCGCCACTGCACGCCAGCCTGGGCAACAGACCGAGACTCCGTCTCAAAAAAAAAAAAAAATCAAACTGCCATGGAAACTGCTTTACCTAAAATTTTGGTCCACAGCCTTCACTGGATTACCTATTGAGGCTAATAGAGTTCAGACATGTAAACAAATTCGTAGACTGGTGAGTTTGTATTGCTATCTCACGGAGTTCCAAGGTAAGAGCTATTGAATCTTTGTATCTGTGTGTGTGTATACATGTCTAGATATGTTTATATCTATATATATATATATATATGTATAAATTTATTATGTTATAGGTTGAGTCTACCAAGTTGGTTTATAAATAAAAGAGCACTTATAAATTAAGTAAATAAGTCCAAGCAATTTTCAACTCATAAATTAAGGTAAATTTATGAATTGAAATTAAGTAAATTATTTAATTACTTAAGTAAATTATTTACTTAATTTTCATTAAGTAATAAGTAATTACTTATAATTACTTAATAAAAATATAATTAATAATTAGTTAAGTAATAATTAGTATTAAATAAGTCCAAGCAGTTTTCACGAGATTTAAGTAAATCTTCACTAAACAAACTGGCTTTGAAATTATAGGTAAAATAGGCTGGGCACAGTGGCTCATGCCTGTAATCCCAGCAATTTGGGAGGCCAAGGCGGGCAGATCATGAGGTCAGGAGATGGAGACCATCCTGGCTAACACGGTGAAACCCCGTCTCTACTAAAAATGCAAAAAAAAAATTAGCCGGGTGTGGTGGCGGGCACCTGTAGTCCCAGCTACTCGGGAGGCTGAGGCAGGAGAATGGCATGAACCTGGGAAGCGGAGCTTGCAGTGAGCCGAGACCGTACCACTGCACTCCAGCCTGGGTGATAGAGCGAGACTCTTTCTCAAAAAAAAAAAAAAATTATAGATAAAATAAAAATAGAAATGTCTTCAGAATTGCCAGCATATATTTTTATCTGGGTTTTATATTTGTCTTTGCTAGACATTTTGAGATATCAGGGTTTGGCACAGAAGGTTATAAAACTATATACCCAGCCAAAACAAAATTATCTTTCTGTGAATTTTTTGATAAGTACGACTAATTTAATGTTGTTACTTTAATGAAAGCAGCTGAATCTTCTGAGTTATTGGTGAAAATACCCATGTAGTTAACTTTAAGGTTCTTATTTAGATGAATACCTAATATTCACAGGTTATAAAATGGTTAACAAGGAAATAAATGATACATAAATAATCTAGATAAACTGCTAAAAATAAAATATATTTATATACATTATATAAGTGCTATAGGGGAACTTTTTGTGTAATTTGAAACCTTATAA